>NC_000011.10:75904180-76207211 GCF_000001405.40 Homo sapiens
TAGAAATACACCTGACTTGCCTGGAATTACTCCTGCTCATTGGATATGTTAAATTATCTATTTCCCTGAGCAGTTTAATAGGCACTCACCCAGACTTGTTACTATTCTGTTCCTTGAAGAATTGTTAGGCCTGACTTCAGAAGAATTTTGAGTGACATGTAAATCTCTTCTGGGCTCTTTGGCACTTGGCAGTATCTCACACAGATAACCAGATACAAATGAGCCGTTTCTTTCCATTATAATCCTTCATCAGAAGTCTGTTGGGATCGAACATCTGGTGAAGTTAGATGTCATTCAGAACAAGGCTCTTAGCATATTTCAAGAATGTTAATTGCTAAGTGATGGCTGAAACAGGAGGGCTTAATAATGTCCTTAAATTGCCTTAAATGTACATGGACTCAGAATTTTTAGAATTGGAAAAGGTCCTAGAGATCATCAAGTATAGCCTGGTTCTTAAGAACACGGGCTGTGGAGCCAGACTGCATGGCTCTTCTCTTTAATCCTCTTTGTGTCTCAGTTTCCACACCTTTAAAGTGGGGATATTAATAGCACCTGTTTCACAGGGGTTTGTGAGTATTAAATGTGTTAACATTTAACATATTAACAGCTAACGTTGACATGTAAAATACAATACTGCCTGCCACACTGTAAATGCATGTAAACATTACTTTTTATATTGCTGTTATTTTTTATTACTGTTTTTATTAGTAGTAGTTGCATCTCATTTTATAATTAAAGAAACTGAGGCCTAGGAGAGTTAAATTATTTTCCTTACTTATGCGATAGGCAGAGTAGATTAAAACCCAGGATTCTAGCTTTCAGTTGAATGTTCTTTCCCTGTTATAAAGTGTGGCTTTTAGTTGTATGTCGGTGGGTGTGGATAAATTTTTTATAGTAAGAAAAAATATTTGGCAGCTTTTTCCGTAAAATAAGAAAAGCTAAGTAGAACATCATTAATTATTTCTCCTGAGAATCTTAAATCTACTTCTCAAGTCTTCTATTATTTGGATTTTGTTGCTGATTTATAAGACTGTCTCCTCTGTCCTTTTTCTCCTCATCTCCTCTTAAAATGTATTGATTATTTCTTAGCATCCATTTTTTAAAATTGAAGTGAAATTAATGTAACATAAATTAACTGTTTTGAAGTGTGCAATTCAGTGGCTCTGGGTACATTCACAGTGTTGTGTACCACCATCTCTGTCAAGTTGCAAAACATTTTCATAATCCCCAAATTAAACTTTGTACCTATGAAGTGCTCACTTTCTATTTTGCTGTCCTCCAAACCCCTGGCAAACACCAGTTTGTTTTCCATCTCTATGGATTTACCTATTTTGGGTATTTCATACAAATTGAATTATGTAGTATGTGACCTTTTGTTCTGGCTTTTTTCACTTAGTGTAATGTTTTGGTGTTGCATCTACATGTAGGAAGGAATGTACTTCATTCCTTTTTAGGGCTGAGTAATATTCTATTGCATGTGTACACACACAGAGACACACACACACACATTTTGTTTATTCATGTCTGTTGATAGACATTTGTGTTGTTTCTCTTTTTTTGACTGTTGTGAATAGTGCTGCTGTGAACATTTGTGTACAACTGTTTGTTTGAGTCCCTGTTTTCAGTCTTTTGGGTATGTACCTAGGAGTGAAATTGCTGGGTCATATTATAATTCTATGATTACCTTTTTGAGGAACTGCTAAACTTTTTTTTTTTTACCGTGGCTGACCAATACATTCCTAATAGCAATATGTGAGGGTTCTCATTTCTCCACATCCTCACTATCTTCTGTTTGTTTGTTATGCTATTTGTATGTCTTTATTTGGAGAAATGTCTCTTGCAGTTCTTTGCCCATTTTAAAATTGAGTTGTCTTTTTGCTGTTGAATGTATGAGTTCTTTATATCATCTGGAAATTAGACCTCTGTCAGATATACAATTTGTAAATATTTTCTCCCATTCTGTTGGGTTCTTTTTCTACTTAATTGATAGTGTCCTTTGATGCACAAAAGTTTTTGATTTTAATGAAGTATAATTTACTGATTTTTTTGTACTAATGCTTTTTATATCATATCTAAGAATAGATTGGTAAATCCAAGGTTATATAAACCCCTGTGTTTTCTTCTAATAGTTCTATAGGTTTTTTTTAGCTTTATAGTGGGTTTTTTTGTTTGTTTGTTTGTTTGGAGATAGAGTCTCACTCTGTTGCCCAGGCTGGAGTGCAGTGGCGTGATCTCAGCTCACTTCAATCTCTGCCTCCTGGGTTCAAGTGATTCTCCTGCCTCCAGCCTCCCGAGTAGCTGGGATTACAAGCGCGTGCCATCATGCCTGGCTAATTTTTGTATTTTTAGGAGGTACCAGGTTTTACCATGTTAGCTAGGCTGGTCTCGAACTCCTGACCTCAAGTGATCTGCCCACCTCAGCCTCTCAAAGTGCTGGGATTACAGGCGCGAGCCACCGTGCCTGGCCAGCTTTATGGTTTTACAGTTAAGTCTTTGATTCATTTTGAGGTAATTTAAAAATATGGTATTAAGGACAGGTCCAACTTCATTCTTTTAAAAGTGGCTATCCAGTTTTTTTAGCACCATTTGATGAAAAGACTTATTTCCCCATTGAGTAGTCTATGAACCTTTGCTGAAAATCAGTTGATCATAGATGCATCGATTTATTTCTGGATTCTCAGTTCTATTTTGTTGATTTATATGTCTGTCCTTATGCCAGTGCTATCCTGTTTTGACTATTGTTGCTTGGTATTAAGTTGAAATTGGGATATGCGAATCTTCTAACTTTGTTCTCTTCAATATAATTTTGGCTATTGACCCCTTGCAATTCCATATGAATTTGAGAACTGGCTTGTCCATTTCTGTAAACAAGGCTGCTGGAATTTTGATAGAGATGGCATTGAATATCTTATCTAGATTGCTTTGGGTATTGTTCCTATGTTGATAATATTAAGTCTTTATATCCGTGAACATGGGATGCCATTTTATTTATTTTGGTCCAGTTTGGAATACACTTTATTTTTCTTGCCTAATTGTTCTGGCTAGAACTTAGAGTACAAATGTTGAGTAGAAGTGGTGAAAGCAATCACCTTGTCTTTCTTGTTTTTGATATTGGGGGAAGATTTTGAGTCTTTCACCATTGAGTATGGTGTTAGCTGTGGGTTTTTTGTAGATGCCCTTTATCAGGTCTGGGAAATTCCTTTCTATTCCTAGTTTGTGATTTTTTTTTTTTTTAAATCATGGAAAGGTGCTGAATTTTGTCAAATGCATTTTCTGCATCAACTGAGATGACTGTGTGTGTTGTGGTGTATTACACTGATCCTTCCTTCCTTCTTTCTATAATTTCTCTTTTTGACAGAGTCTTGCTCTGTCACTTAGGCTGGAATGCAGTGGCACAATCATGGCTCACTGTACCCTCAAACTCCTGGGCTCAAGTGATCCTCCCACCTCAGCCTCCTGAGTAGCCGGGACTGCAGGCATGCATCACCATGCCCAGCCAATTTCTTTATTAAAACAATTTTTTTTTTTTTTAGAAATGGTGTCTCACTGTATTGTCCAGGCTGGTCTCTAACTCCTGGGCTCTAGTGATCCTCCTGCCTGTGCCTCCCAAAGTGCTGGTATTACAGGTGCCTAGCCTGATTGATTTTCATGTATCGAAATTCCCTTGCATACCGTGTATGAATTTCAGCTGTTCATGGTGTATAATCTTTAAAAAATTTTTTTTGTGGTAAATTACAAATACACAAAATTTACTATCTTAACCATTCTAAGTATACAGTTTAGTGGCATTAGGTACATTCACACTGTTGTGCAACCATTGCCACCATCCATGTATTTCATCTTGCAAAACTTTTCACCTTACAAAACTGAAACTCTTTATTAAACAATAATTCCTCATTCTCCCCTATCCCCTGGTCCCTGCCAGTTACCGTTCGACTTTCTGTTTCTATGATTTTGACTACTCTAGGTACCTCATATGAATGAATGAATGAATGTTTTTCCTTTGATTGGCTTATTTCACTTAATATAATGTCCTCAAGCTTCATCAATGTTTTAGCGTGTGTCAGAATTTCCTTCCTTTTTAATGGTGAATAATATTTCCTTGTATGAATATACCATGTTTTGTTTATCCATCATCTGTCTGTGGACACTTGGGTTGCTTCCACCCCTTGGCTATTGTAAATAATGCTGCTATGAATATGGATATACAAATGGCACTTCCCATTCTTGCTTTCACTTTTTTGGGGTACATACCCAGAAATAGTTGCCAGGTTGTGGGCTGTAATTCTTTTAATATGCCACTAGATCACTTTTAGTAGTATTTTGTTGAAGATTTTTATATCTGTATTCATAAAGGATATTGGTCTATAGTTTTCTTGTGACATTTTGTCTGGCTTTGGTATCAGGATAGTATTGGTCTCATAGAATAACTTAAGAAGTATTTCCTTGCTTTTATGTTTTTTGAAGACTTTGAGAAGGATTGGCATTAAATAATTGGTCAAATTCACCAGTCAAATAATCTGGTTCTGGGCTTTTTTTTTTTTTTTTTTTTTTTTTTTGTGGGAGTTTTGTGATTACAAATTCTATCTACCTCTTTATCTGTTATAGGTCTGTTCAGATTTTCTGTTTCTTCTTGAGTCATTTTTGGTAGTTTCTGTTTCTTCTTGAGTCATTTTGGTAGAGTCATTTTGGTAGTTTGGTAGTTTATATCATTTTGTCTACATTATCTGATTTGCTGGAATACAATTAATTGTTCACTGTATTCTTTTATAAGCCTTCTTATTTCTGTAAGATTGGTAATAACGTTCCCACTTCTTTCCTGATTTTAGTGATTTGAGTCTTCTTTCCTTTCCCTTTGGTTAGTTTACCTTAAGATTTGTCAATGAGCCAGGTGCAGTGGCTCATGCCTGTAATCCCAGCACTTTGGGAGGCCAAGGTAGGAGGATAGCTTGAGTCCAGAAGTTAAAGAGCAGCCTTGGCAACATAGTAAGACACCCTTCTCTATAAAAAATTAAAATTAGCTGGGCGTGGTGGTGCATGCCTGTAATCCCAGCTAATTGGGAGGCTGAGGTGGGAGGGTCTCACGAACCCAGGAGTTCAAAGTCAGTCTGGGCAACATGGAGAAACCCCATCTCTACAAAAAAAATACAAAAATTAACTGGGTATGGTGTTGCATGCCTGTAATTCCAGCTATTCAGGTGGCTGAGGCAGGAGGATCGCTTCAGCCCAGGAGGTTGAGACTGCAGTGAACTGTGATCATGCTACTACTCTCCAGCCTGGGTAACAGAATCAGAACTTGTTTAAAAAAAAAAAAGATTTGTCAATGTTGATCTTTTTAAAAAACAAGCTTCTCTAGTTTGAATTAATATCAACTTAGTTTTAATGCTGTAAAAAGCTTTGCTTCTGTATAGCTCTATTCCCCTACCTTTGTGTCATTGTTTTCACAGATTGCATCTTTATAATGGTGTGCCCATCAAGATAGATTTATAAAGATTGTTTCATGTATTTGTCTAGTTGATTGTTTTTTAAATGGTAGATCAACTAGACATTCTTAGGCTACATCCAGTTAATAATATGTCTTTTTTAATCTTTATAATGTATTGCTGGTTCAATTTGCTGATATTTCGCTAAGGATTTTTGTGTTTCTTTTCGTGAGGGATATTGGTGTATAATTTCCTTTGTGTGTGTGTGTTGTCTCTGTCTAGTTTTGGCATCAGTAATGCTAGTTTTATAAGTTGGAAATTGTTCCCTTCTCCGCTTTCTGAAGGAGTTTGTGTAAAGTGGATATTCTTTCTTTCTTAAATGTTTGATGAAATTCATCAGTAAGACCATTTGGACAGGATTTGTGTGTGTGTGGGAAGATTTTCAATTGCTTATTCACTAAAAAAGTAGATATGGGACTATTTAGATGTTTCATAGTATGTCTGTTTGGGCACTTTTGTGTTTCTTTTCAAGGAACTTGTCTAATTAAGTTGTCACAGTTATTAGCATAAAGTTGTTAATAATATTCTCCTAATATCCTTTAAATGTCTGTAGTGATATAACTTTTAATGATACTACTAGCATTATAGCGAACATGTATGTGGTGCTTATTAAATACCTTTCATTTTACAGATATTAACTTTTAATTCCCGCATTTTGTGAGGCAGTTACTATTATCATCTCCATATTACAGATGAAGAAACCAAGGTTAAACTAAGAGCACTCTGGTTCCTTGCTTAAGATTATATAGCTGTTGTATTGAAGGCTTGAATTGGACTCCTGGTGGGTCCAGAGTCTTTTTTTCTAAATTACTGTGTACTCTCCCCACCCCCCACTTTTTTTTTTTTAAGAAACATGACTATTTATTCCTTTTTATCTTTTTTTTTTTTTTTTGACAGTGTCTTGCTCTTTCACTCAGGCTGGAGTGCAGTGGTGTGACCGCCAGATTGGTTCACCTTGCCCTCTGCCTGGACAGAGCCAATTTATCAAGACAGGGGAATTGCAATAGGGAAAGAGTAATTCATGTAGAGCCAGCTATGCAGGAGACTGGAGTTTTATCATTACTGAACTCAGTCTCCTCTGCCTTTCTTAAATGACAGAGATACCTATTCTGTTCTTC
Source organism: Homo sapiens (assembly GCF_000001405.40). Taxonomy (NCBI): domain Eukaryota; kingdom Metazoa; phylum Chordata; class Mammalia; order Primates; family Hominidae; genus Homo; species Homo sapiens. The sequence goes on from NC_000011.10 coordinate 75,910,782, forward strand.
TTCTGGAATTGTCCTGTATTCTTTTTAGAAAGTATCCTTGCTACTTTGTACCACAGAGTAGAAATATTTGTTTCTGGTGTTCCTAGTCAGAACTTGGAATGCCCTTTTCCCCATAAAAACATTACATATGATGGCTAGGCATAGTTGAAATATTATTGTTAATACTCTTTTTGAGTCACATAATATGTTAAAATGACTTCTGGAGCTTCCTTGGGAGGTTCACCACAATTTATAATGTGAAACATTGTTTCCGTGGGAAACTGTGAGAAGAAATGTATTTTATTTTTTTGACCTAACACCGAATTTATCACTTTTTAAAAACAAGATATTTTCAACAAAAGTGAAGAAATAAGAAACAAATCCAGTGTTCATGCATTCCCAAACTGCAGCCTTGATTCCAGGATACCTCCTTCTCTCAAACCGAGCTGGCTTCCTGGGAATCCAGTGGTGGTACATGGATCGAGGGTTCCTTTGTGCTGCATTTTTTACTGCCTCTCTCCTGAGTTGTCGGGATAGATTCTGCAGGCTCTTGTGCTAGCCCAAAGGTGCCCAGCCTTGACTCCACTTCCGTGTCTTTGATCCTGGGTGGGCACGTTTCCTGGGTCCCTGTGCTCTCAGAAGCTTTCTCAGGCACCTCTCCTTGGTGCTGTTGCCCCAGGTGATGTTCAGCCATCATCTGGAGCTCTCTCGTTGTGGGTGTGATCCTTGTCATCTTCTGTCACTGTGGAGACATTACCAAAGTGGGTCGAGGATCCGTGTTCATCTTTCTCTGGGGATGACTGGTCAGCACAAGGGTGGCAGCGTTGGGCGACATGTCCAAATCTGCTCTGCCCCCTCGGGGTCTGGGGGCTGTTGTCTTCCTCCATGGCTGGGGCGGCACCTGCTGGGCTGGCACTGTGGTGGGAGGGAAGGCCGCGGGACTCAGGGCTGGGCTGGGCGCGCTCCTTCTCCACTCTTGTCAGATCCCCCTGCCAAAATTTATTTTACATTCCCTCACCTGAAAGGTTAGGCTTCTATTACATGGCAGATATACTTTACTTTTTGGAATCTCTAAAATTTTAGATTTACTCAGTTGTTAATATGTCATATTTTTAAAAAGACAAGCATGATTAATTTGTGCATATATTTTATTTTGTTTGGTTTTGATTAATTTGTTGGTTAATGTCTTTCAGGGTTATTCAAATGCTCAGAAGACTATTCTTCTGCAGGTGGATCAGAACTGTGTTCGCAATTCTTACGATGTCTTCTCTTTGCTACGGTAAGAAACTTCTTAGATTGCCCTGAATTCTAAAGAATCTTTCTCATTTTGAGTTTGTGACATTTCAATGTGAGAAAATTAACGGAAGCTTTAGAGGCTGTTATTCAAGCTTAGCATTTTTTAGTGCAAGCGTCATAAATTTTGTAGCTACAGTGATTTAAATTTATCTATTTTACAAAGTCTTTGGAAAGCCATTTCCTTTCTCTGGACAGTGGGAGAGAATATTTGGAAGCCAGTGATCTGAAAACAGACATGAACTGTTTTCTGGTCTTCTGTACCCTACAGAACAGTAATCAAAGTTGCAAAAGTTAGACTTATCAAAGTCTTAACAACTGCGGCATCACTCGGAAAGCCCTTCAACGGCCCCAAACATGGCTTTGAGTTTGGACCTGTTCTTTGTCTTAAAAGAATTATGTTTGGCAAGCCAAAAAAGCTTTGCATGTATCTAATGCTCAGAGGCTTAAAGGCCTCAGCTCTATATTTTCATAATGTCTGGGCTTAATTTTGAAAGATTTTAAAATCTGGCTTTAATTTTAAATGTGATAGATCATCAAGGATATTTTTCCAGGGAGCAAGCCACCAAAATAAATGCAATTCCAAATAAAGTTAACAGCAACACTCAACCAATGTTCACCCTACTCAGACAGATTGTTCATTGAAATTTGATTTTGACAGTATTTTCTAATGTTTACGTGACACATAATACATTTCAGAACATTAGACATCCTTTATATATGTACTTGAGGAAGAATCCAGAAGGATGCTCGGAGAACTGGTTATTTTAGAAACTTTACAAAATTGGCCTTTCGTTTGTGAAACTTGAATCTTATTACACATGATATAGAGTTTGGTCACATGGACTGTGTCCATTAATCTTAAGAAACATGATTTTGACTAAAGTAACCATATACATTTTCTGAGTTTTGGTTCTTGCTTGAGAGATGCCTACACCTTGACTGCTTAGGATATGTAGCAGAACACACAGGATTTAGAAATTAGAGGGTGGAGATTGTAGTAAACATATTTTAATGCCTGTTCAGTTTGAGACACACAAAGTTTTAAGTTTTGAAAAGAAGAAAGTTCAGAAATTATTTGAAATATGAGTAAGCCACTAATATTTCTTGATCTCAGTTTTCCTTAGTAAGTAAAATGAGGCGTAGGGTACAATTATTTTAAAGATATGTTCTAAATGTGAGATTGTGTGACCTTATTAGAGAAAACAGTAGAATTAAAAGAAAAAATACTAAGTCAGGAAGAAGAGGATTTGGGATAGTGCAGTATCATAGATGCTGAAAGAGGATAGTTTCCAGGAGTAGCGAACACTGTGATAATGTAGGAGAGCAGGAACTGAAGAAAGACTGTTGGATCTTGTGAAGCAGTGTGGTATCATGGAGGATGCTTTGATTAATCCTACCCTGCCTTTATCTTTGATTTATCCTAATTCATTTAACCTCTGATGCTTCTAAAAAGTGGAAGCAGTGATGTAACAAATTTGTGTAATTTACAAGCATTTTCACATTTTTTATCTTATTCTCTTAGAAGTCCTTCATGCATCAGGGATGATAGATAGCCCTTGTCTTGATTGTAGAAGCTGAGGCCAAGAGGCATTAAATGTTTTATCTATCTGAGGGCACACAGCAAGTAAGAGCCAGACTGGAGGATGCTTTGACGGTTTTCTGACAATGTTTTTGTAGATCCTTTTAATAGTCTCACCTTCCTAAACTGGTGGTTACAAGGCACACATGGCATAATGACTGTGGACATTCTTTAGAAAACACAATGCCCTACATAAATGCAAAGTCATCAGGCTAATTTAGTAGTTGCTCAGTTATTGAACATTGATCTTGCAATGATTTGGCTCTTGGGGAGTTCATATCTAGAGTATTTTTCAGACTCTTCAGATGTGTCAGTAATTTGAACTGCCTTATTAACAGTGGTCTCCTCATGCCTATTGTACAATTCATGCCTAGCTAATAACACAGATATACTTTTCCTAAACCAGATCACGTGACTATTTATCAACCAAATTTACTGAACCCAGGGAGTTGTTCTGGAATTGGAAACTTTAAATTGCACTTATTAAAGTTGATGAGTCAGATGGGACTTTGGTGATAGTTCTCTCAGACATTAGTAAAGAGTACCCATCATCTGCTCTATTAAATGATCCTCTTTTCCCATAGTGTTTGCCATGATATATGTGAAGTGCTTTCTAGGAAACTTAATTGTGTGCCTATTGAATTAAACTCTAGTTCGTGGTTTCCTCTCTAACATTGTCCTTGGCTGGAGTCATTTTAAAAAATATATCTTTTCTTTTCCTGATGCTTTCTTGGTTTATAAAATTGCTGTTACTTGATCTGTAATTTTGTGTGAAAACACACAGTCTAAATTCTTTAATGCCACTTAACTCTATAAAATTCTGCATGCTGTTTAGAGTCATGTTTAGAACCCTGGTCTCCTGATTCTGTTTTTTTTGAGACAGAGTTTCGCTCTGTCACCCAGGTTGGAGTGCAGCGGCCCGACCTTGGCTCACTTCTGCCTTCATCTCCCAGGTTCAAGTGATTCTCCTGCCTCAGCCTCCCGAGTAGCTGGGATTACAGGCATGCGCCACCATACCCAGCTAATTTTTGTATTTTTAGTAGAGACGGGGTTTCACCATGTTGGTCAGGCTGGTCTTGAACTCCTGACCTCAAATGATCCACCTGCCTTGGCCTCCCAAAGTGCTGGGATTACAGGCGTGAGCCACTGTGCCTGGCCCCGATTCTGTTTTTTGAGAGTATATTCTAGTTAATTAATTTTCACTGTACTGTTGGGCCACTAGGATACATCTGTTCTCTCTCCTTTTTGTGTGGGAGTGTCACAGAAAAATGGGCACTCTTGACTAAGGCAAGGACTTTGGAGCACCTAAAACCAGGTGCTCCTTCATGCTGGGTGTGGTGGCTCATGCCTGTAATCCCAGCACTTTGAGAGGCCAAGGCAGGCGGATTGCCTGAGGTCAGGAGTTTGAGACCAGCCTGGTCAACATGGTGAAACCTCATCTCTACTAAAAATACAAAAATTAACCAGGCATGGTGACACATGCCTGTAGTCCCAGCTGCTCGGGAGGCTGAGGCAGGAGATTAGTTTGAACCTGGGAGGCGGAGGTTGCAGTGAGCCAAGATTGTGCCACTGCACTCCAGCCTGGGTGACAGAGTAGGACTCCACTGCAGAGAGAAAAAAAAAAGAAAAAAGCTCCTTCAGATGGATGGGTTGTATTGTTTTATAGAAAAACAATGACCTGAGACCTTATTCAGGTGCTTTGACCCATAGTTAAGAATTTAGGCTAATTTCAGTGTTGCCAAAGATTAGCAGTTCTTTCCAAATTTACATTTAATGTGGGATAGTAATTGAACTATTCCTTCTTAACTCTTGGAAATCTCTGGATTAAGCATTTGTTTTCAGGTAAAAGTAGACATTTAATTAATAGCCAGTTTACTTGTTGTTGTATTTCATATTTTAGGGTGCTCACCACAAGGTGTCAATGTTATTCCTTAACTAGCATTTGAAATTTTATTTATTTTACAATTTTGGGTTGAGAAAAGTACGGGACTAAAATGGAATATAAAGCAATGTTGTAAATTATAAATAAGCATTCAGTTTTAGGAGTTAACTAAAAAAATCTCTTAGTATGATTCCTTCTAGGTTAAGGAATACAGGCTTAGTAGATAGCTTTCTAATAGGCTTATTAGGTACCTTTCTCCTTTTGGTTCTGTTTTTTTAAAGTCCTATTGATAGGGAATTATTGAAAGATTATAAAGAGAGGAGGAGTAAATGACATAGTCAGGTTTGCAATTTAGAATTCTAACCATGGTGTCAGTGTGGAGTGGACCTGAGGGATGAGCCTGGAAGCAATGATTTCTGTCTAATCATTTCTTAATGTGTCTAATCATATCTAATCTGTTCTCTGACTGAGAGATTATTTTTAGTGTTAACTCATTTTTTGGTTGTTTTTTCTTTTATACTTTTTCAAAGAGATAACTCTGTTATAGTAAGAAAAGTAATAATTCTGGTTTTTTTCTAGTATAGTTTTCATTGTTTTTTTCCCCTTCTTCTTCAGAAATATCCTGCTTTTGCCAGTTTAATAAGTGGAAGTATGGTGGAAAATAAAGGGCTTTGGTCCTTCACCTAAATTCCAGTCCTAAAACTGCCATGTGTAGGTAGACTGGATGCAAGACTTTGAGCAAGTAACGTCAACTTTTTGTATACCTTAGTCTGCTTTTGTAAAATGGGGCTAATATTTGTCTCTTCTATTAGGAATATTGTTAGAATTAAATAAGATAAAATATTTGAAAGATCTTAGGATAGTTACTGGCATATAGTAGACATTTAATAAATGTTAGTTTTCTTCTTCCTCTTTACTTACCTGGTCTTGGATATAGCTTTCTCCTCTAAGCCAGTATTCCTTTTCCTTGTTACCACTAGCTTTTCTACTTTTCAGCATATTTTCCCTTTCTCTCCCCAGCATTCTAGTGTTTTCCATATCTGCTTTTATAACTGCATGATGGATTCTTCTTGCTCACTGCCCAGAAAAGTCAATGCATTGAGAACAGGTTTTGCAGCAAAGAAAGAGTTTAATTATTACAGGGCCAGCCAAATGGAAGGATGGGAGATAATTCTCAGATCCGCTTCCTCAGAATTCACAGGCTAGAGTGTTTCAAGGATAGTTTGGTAGGCAGAGGTCTAGGAAATGGGGAAACCTGATTAGTTGGGTTGGGGCTAAAATCATAGGGGGTCTAAGCTGTCTTCTTGTGCCAAGTTAGTTCCTGTGTGGGGGTCATAAGACCAATTAAGCCAGTTTCTTGATATGGGCTACTTATTTGATACCAGCTGGTCCATCAGAATTCAGAGTCTGAAAAATACCTCAAGCACCAGTCTTAGATTTTATGATAGTGATGTTATCTATAGGAGCAATTGGGAATGTTACAAACCTTGTGACCTCTGGGTGCATGACTCCTGAACCATAATTTTACAAAGGTGTTTTCAGTCCCTGAGTAATAAGGAGGAGGTTACTTTCAGGAAGGGACTGTTATCATCTTTATTTTAAAGTTAAGCTATAAACTAAATTCCTCCCGTAGTTAGCTTGGCCTATGCCCAGGAATGTACAAAGACAGCTTGTGAGGCTAGAAGCAAGATGGAGTCAGCTACATGTTGATTGATTTCTGTCACTCATAATTTTTGCAAAGGTGGTTTTACTTTCAAAGTTGCTTTTGTTAATTCTAAACAGTCATAATAAAAAATATTTAACATGTGTGTGTCTTTTCTCCTTAATGACATTGAAATCTTCTTGAAGGAAAGGATTATTTCTTATGGCTATATTTCTCCTGTCCTTCTATCTTACCAATACTTCTTGGTTAATTGTTGGAGTTCCTTTGGCTTGTGAGCTTACTAGGACTCTTCTGTATTACTCTTTTTCCCTAGGTACTCTCTTGTGTTACTAAAGCTACAACCAACACATCTACATGTTAATACCTCTTCAATCTATATCTCTAGCTCTACCTCTCTTTTGGATTTCCAGTCTGCATTTTCCAACCACCATGGATATTTGAACTTTTTTGTCCTTGAGGAACCTCAACCCCAAAGTGTCTGGAGCCACACTCATCGCGTTAATACTCCTCTTCCTTTTCTTTTCCCTGGTTTGTCTAATGGTATTATCACCATCCTAGTCTCCCAAGCTAGTAATCTTAGTCATTTTTGGTTTCTCTAATTTTTCTTCCCTTGGTGATAGATATAGTTGATGATAAACCATATTGATTCTTTGGCAAGATGTCTCATCTGTCGACCCTTCTTTGTTTTTAATCTGTATTTTCCTAGACTATTTCCTTATCTCCTAGATGAAGAAATTAAGGCACAAAGCAGTTAAGTAACTTCACCAAGGTCACACAAACTAGTGTTAGAATTTGTATTCAAACCCAGGCAGTCTAGCTCCAGAGGCTATCATATAAACCAGTGTATCTTAAATCCTTACAATCTTTTACACTGCTGCTGGAGTGATCTTTTAAAAGATACGTGGGCTGGGTGTGGTGGCTCACGCCTGTAATCCCAGCACTTTGGGAGGCCGAGACGGGCAGATCATGAGGTCAGGAGATCGAGACCATCCTGGCTAACACAGTGAAACCCCTTCTCTACTAAAAATACAAAAAAAAAAAAAAAAAAAATAGCCAGGCATGGTAGCGGGCGCCTGTAGTCCCAGCTACTCCAGAGGCTAAGGCAGGAGAATGGCGTGAACCCAGGAGCAGAGCTTGCAGTGAGCCGAGATCGCGCCGCTGCTCTCCAGTCTGAGCAACAGAGCGAGACTCCGTCTCAGAAAAAAAAAAAAAAAAGATACATGAATTTTCTTACTCGCTGGGCTTAGAAAGCTTTGATATATCATGTACAGGAGAAAGTTCACACTTCTTAGTGTGATATTCAAGGGACATTTAGCAATACATGCCCTTAGGGACCAAGGTCTTTATTTCAAAGTCCTCCCACTCCCTACTTGTATAATCAATAACTATCATTTATGGAGTGCTTACTGTGTTATAAATAGTTCTTCATTGTCTGATTTTCCCTCCACTCATCTCAACACCCCCAAACTGAGAGCACCTTTAGGCAAGAATCCTTGTTTTATTAGTCTTTGTATTAGCCCTATCGCAGTGTGTATCATATATATGTTAAACAGATAATAAATGCCATTTCTATTGATCAAATTGAACTATTGTTCAGGTTACTAGAGGACTAAAGTTTTGTTTTTCCTAATGGTTTCCATCTGGTAAAATGAGAGTTGCAAAAAATTTCTAGGCTAATATTTAAAAGGTGATGAAAATGCAATCAGGTCTGTGAGCCTTCAGCTGTTGCTTTCTTTCAGCCCCTGCTCTCCACACAACATGTGGTGAGATTTTCAGGATTTTGTGACTTTCAATCCAACTCTTTCTATAAGTGTTTTGGGAAGACCTTTATTTGGCTCTCTAGAAGCAAATTCCCCTCCCCGCACTTTGCTAGAAAGTACTGTCAACTATAAAATTCCAATTTTAACAGGAAAATGCTCACAACCAATAAATTATCAATAGCATAGTGTTTAGAGAAGAGATGGGATGAGAAGTATAAGGTATAACTTTGTTTATCATCTTTAAACTATGGATGTGATAACCAACTTTTAGGCTGCAGGAAGAGATTTTTTTTTTTCCTCCCTGCCTAATGGACTCTAAGTGGTAATTGCAGTTATACAGAATACAGCTAAGAACCCAACTGTAAGCAGACTTTACAAAGTTTATGTGCTAAAACTCGTGTACTTTCTTTTCTTAATAGAGACTAGGCTCTTACCCAGTTTCTGTATGCTTATTTTAAGTAAGTTAGGGGAGGAATTAAGAGGATTACTGTTAAAATAGACACACTGACAGCAAGAAGCGAAAGCTGATAGTTTGCTCTGTTATACTCTTTGATTCTGGAATATAGCTGAGTGATAAATCATATTAGCTACTGTCCTACCTTTGTAGTCACTGTTTGGATTCTTAAACAGCCCTGTCTCACTACTTCATGTAAAAAGAGAGAGGAGGAGAAACAGTTCACTGTAAGGAGAGGCCAACTAAAGAAAAAAACATAGCTAGCCAACTTGGCCAAAGCACATGTCTGTATTGCATTTCATAACTCAAGTTACTCACGAGAATTATGAGTGCACTGTCTTAGTTTTTAATAATGCTGTCTCCATTTAACAGATGAGGAAGCAGTCTTAAAATGGTGAGATGATTTGCCTGGGCCACAGGCTGGTTAAGTGTGGAAGCAGGTCTGAAGAAAGGTCTGCCAGGCTCCAGTGCACGTGCTGTTTTCTATTATGCCATGTTGGTGCCAAATCATCAGTAAAATAGAAAAGTGTAATTATGAGAGCCTTCATAAGAAAGCAGGCACATAGAAGATTTAGGAAGGTTTTCAATCAAAATTTAAAATAAAATAATTTTGGTTTTTTTTTTTTTTTTTTTTTTTTTTTTTTTTTTTGGGACGAAGTCTCGCTCTGTTGCCCAGCCTGGAGTGCAATGGTGTGATTTTGGCTCGCTGCAACCTCCGCCTCTCCAGTTCAAGCGATTCTTCTGCCTCAGCCTCCCAAGTAGCTGGGACTACAGGCACGTGCCACCACGCCTGGCTAATTTTTTGTGTTTTTAGTAGAGACGGGGTTTCACCATGTTAGCCAGGATGATCTCAATTTCCTGACCTCGTGATCCACCTGCCCCGGCCTCCCAAAGTGCTGGGATTACAGGTGTGAGCCACCACGCCTGGCTAATTTTGGTATTTAATGTGAGTTTTGGTGGAGCAAAATTTGTATTTATGTGCAGCAGCACATTTTATTCTTCTTTATTCATCCGTCTCTACATATACTATAAATATATCTATGTATGTATACATACACATAAAGACACACATATACACACACACACAGTTTTACAAAAATAGGATTTAAGCAAAATACGGGAGTAATTATAGGGTGAAGTCTTCTCCTTCCCCTTTCCTTGTACTTTTTGGCTCATCTTCTTCTTTAAGCCCTTTTCCCCCATTCCGCTGCCAGCAAACCACCCAAACACAGAACATAGGTCCGCATGACCCCTAGTCACCCTTCACCCATGTTAACAATCTGATATGTATCCATCTGTATTTTTTCCCATAGTCTCTCTATATGTCATAGATATGATTTATAGATACATTTATATATGTTTTCTATATAATTTATGGTTTATGTATATGGTTTGAATTAATTTATAAAATTAAAATTGTTTTATAAAATTGGAGTTGATACACATACTTGGGTTTCTTGTTCAATATTCTATGCATACATTCCTCTAATTCACTTTTTAAATGGCTTAATAATAGTCAGTGGTGAGGCTATATCATATTTATTCAGCCACTACCCTATTGATAGGCATTTAATATAATATTTACTCTGGCTCTGGTTTTTAATGCGTGTTTGTTTTGACAGTATGCACATTACTGAAGGAAATATTTATACACATATATAACCTTGTTTTTATGATGATTTTGTTTCCATGGATTACATTCCCAGCAGTGGGATTTCTGAGTCAAAGGGTATGTATTGTTTCAATTGTTAGAGATAATCAGGTTGTTTTCCCAAAGGGCACAAAATAAATGGCATTACTCCTTACCCTGATTCTGTGCTGGCAATGGCCATCATCAATTTTTATGATTTTTACTAATTTGATGAGTGTAAATGATACCTCAGTATTACTTCAATTTTTGTCAGCCTGGTGCAAGTACTTAGTTTGAGCTACAAGTGAAATTTAACATGTTTTCTTAAGCTTATTAGCTATTTAGGGTATTCTTCTGTGAATTTGCCTATTCATTTACTTTACCTAGTTTTTAAAAATTGAGTTGCTTGCATTTTTCTCATAAGTTCCTAAGAGTACTTGGTATTTTTTTCCCAAATCTGACAATTACATCTTGACTTATGATACCTTATACAAAAAGTTCATATTTGTTGTATCGTGTAATTCTGTTTTCTGTTTTATATTTTCTGGGCACTCTTGAGTTGAAGAGGACTCTCCTATACCTTGCTTCTATAGATATTTTTTGCTAACTTTGAGATTTATATTATTTTACTTTTTAAATTAAATATTTAATACAAATTGCAATTTATTTTTTTTTTCTTTTAATCCACCCATCTGCACACTGATATCTAGTATAGATAGTCCATATCTTGTAAGGTAGAAATTATTTCTTCATAGATGAATTCATTGTGCCAGCACCTTTCTTTTCCCACTGAATTTAAATAATACTTTTGTAATATATTAAAAGTGCATATATACTGGGATCTATTTCTGGATTCGCTCTTTTTTTGTTTATCTTATCCTTTTGTGTATTTTGTAACTTTCAGATTGATTTAACTACAGGGGATTTTTTTGTGTGGTCTAAAATCAAGTAAGGCACGTCCTGTTGCTACTCTTCTTTTTGATACTATTTTTGGCTATTCTCAGAACTTTATTCTTTTATGTGAACTTTAAGCTTATTTTATCCTACTTTAAAAGACCAATCTTATTGGAATTTTAATCGAAATTTTTATATCAGTTGAAGTTTTACAATTATTTTGGGAAAGATGTCATTTTATATTAGTATACCCATCCAAGAACATGGTGTCTTTTCATTTGTTTATATTTTATTTTATTCCTTCAACAAGATTGTAGTTCTCTTTATATGGTCATTTGGCTTTCTGTTACATTTGTTCTTAAGTATGTTATAGTTTTTACAGTATTTTGTATAAAATAGGTGTTCCATTCCATTCTTGTGTGCTTACTGCTATTATAAGGAAAAGCTATACTTCTAGGAAAATCTTATTTATATTTAGTAATATATCTAATTGTTTTTATTGCTATTGTTTTTTTAAGGAAAGCTCTCCTTTTTTGGCATACACATTATCATCAGTAAAAGGATAGGCTTTTCTTCTCTAATGTTTATACTGATTTTCTAGACTTACTGCATTTGCTAAACCTTCTGGAACTTTCAGAATAATGTTGAAAAGTAATAGGCATTGTGACCATCCCAGTTCCTTGTTCTAATTGAAAAAGTTCAGTAGTTTGCTGTTCAGAATATTTTCTGTTAATTTTGAAAACTATTGGCCGGGCGTGGTGGCTCATGCCTGTAATCCCAGCACTTTGGAAGGCCTAGGCAGGTGGATCACCTGAGGTCAGGAGTTCAAGACCAGCCTGGCCAACATGGCGAAACCCCGTCTCTACTAAAAATACAAAAATTAGCTGGGCGTGGTGGCACGCACCTGTAATTCCTGAGGCAGGAGAATCACTTGAACCCAGGCAGCGGAGGTTGTGATGAGCCGAGATTGCACCACTGCACCCCAGTCTGGGCGACAAGAGCGAAACTACATCTGAAAGGAAAAAAAAAAAAAGAAAAACGAACATATATATATAAGAAAAAAATATATATACATATATTTTTTCATATATATATATATATATATGTTCGTTTTTCTTTTTCTTTTTCTTTTTGAGACGGAGTTTTGCTCTTGTTGCCCGTGCTGGAGTGCAATGGCTCGATCTTGACTCACTGCAACCTCCGCCTCAAAAAGGAAAATATTTTAAATAATTCTTTTTATTCACTTAATGCTTTTGTTAGGATTGGTTGCTGAATTTTTTGAAATGCCTTTCCACATTTATTAATATTATATATTTTCTTCCTTTATAATTGTAATAAGGTATGTGGATTTCCCAGTGTTGTATTACTGACTAGTTATAGGTTATTCTTTTGATCATTACTTATAAGCAAGATTAGTTTTTAGCAGTTGTGTTGTTGTTATGGGGGGAGGTATAAATTACCGTCTCTCCCAAAATCATAAAATTGAGTTGTGAATGAATTGTGAAGCTTTCCATCTTATTCTATGATCCTAATCTGTAAAATGATGATGATAATAGCATTTGTCTCTGGATCGCTGGGAAGATGAAAGGTATTAATGTGAACTGCTTAGTACAGTGCCTGAATTGTATGTGTCAGCTATCATTATCATCATTACCATCTGAAACAGATTAAATAATTTTGAAAGTTTTTAGTTCTTTGAAGGTTAGGACTTAGCTAGTAAATCATCCAGTTCAGGTGCATTTTATAAGGGTAAATCTTCTTTCAATCCCTTTAGTACTCATCGCTCTGTCCATTTTTTCCTGCTTCTCCTTGGTTTATTTTGGAATTTGTTTTTTGGTAGGAAACCACCTATTTCCTCTAGATTTCCAACATTATTGCTGAAATAATGCACATAGTTTTATTTTATAATTCTTTTAATAATTTCAATAATTTACAGCACATTTTCTAATTAAGACCAGAAACTACTCTAATGTTGTAGTTAGAAATGTTGTTACATTATGACCTCTTCTTGGACAGGATGCTCTCTGATGTTGAAATTGTAATAACTTTTTTCATGTAAACTAAAACAAAATATTTCAGATACTTTTGCCTTAAAGTGTTTCTCAGAATGAGAATGGAGAATGTGGACTATATACGTTCAGGGAATTTATATCTCAGTTTACAATGTTGTTCCTAGCATATAGCACCAAGCTGGCTCAGAGCGAATGCTCAGCAAATATTTGTTAAATGAATGAATGAAGAAATGGGTGAAATATAATCCTGTTGGATAATAACTGAACCAGGTAGATTTTTTGAGGAATTTTTTAAATGGTAGATTTTTAATTACCTTTCCAAAGATGATTAGTACTAACCTTGGATATGTTTTGCCACAGTTATAGTATATTTTATATATAAAATAATTTAATATTTCATTTTGGATACAGTGCATGCTAATGAAAAATTCATGTTGAAAGCATTGTGTTTTTTTTTGTTTTTGTTTTTTTTTGTGACGGAGTCTCGCTCTGTCACCCAGGCTAGAGTGCAGTGGCATGATCTTGGCTCACTGCAAGCTCTGTCTCCCAGGTTCATGCCATTCTCCTGCCTCAGCCTCCCAAGTAGCTGGGACTTACAGGCGCCCACCACCATGCCCAGCTATTTTTTTTTGTATTTTTAGTAGAGAAGGGGTTTCACCGTGTTAGCCAGGATGGTCTTGATCTCCTGACCTCGTGATCCACCCGCCTCGGCCTCCCAAAGTGCTGGGATTACAGGCGGGAGCCACCGTGCCTGGCCTGAAAGCATTGTTTTTAAATTAACTGCAGTTTACTAAATGAGTAAACCAGTAGTCAGGACTTACTGATAGATCTCATAGTCTTTAACTAGGACCTCTTATAGGCAATTATGCTACTAAGTTCATTTTCTCTAGTTTACTGAATGTTTAATAGAGAATGGAAATGTAATGGGTAAGTTAAATGAGCCCTTCCCAAAACATGTTCAGAACTTTTGGCTTAGAGCAAAAGTCAGCTTTCAAATGTTGAAAAGGTGAATGAAGAATAAAATAGGAAGAATAAAATCAGCGTAAAGAAGTAAAGCATTCTTTGAGGGCAGTTAAGTATATGTAGTCTTCTGCCCAAGAGATGTTCTCTGTCTCTGCCCCTGTCCTTTAATTTTGGCTTGAATTCACAGAGTTACTGGACTAAGACTGCTTTGTTTGAGATGTCACTGCGAATTAAGGCTTCACTGTCACATCTCTCATAGCTGCCTTGTAACTTCTACATTCCCGCTGGTGCCAGGCATGTTCCAAGGCAGCATTCCAAGGTTTAGTGATTTCACCCTGATGTCTCTGCCAATAAAAATAACCAGTTACCATTAAAACCTACCCCACCCATAACTTGATTTTTACATGCCGTTTTATTAAGAAAACTTATTGATGATTTTAGGAGAATTAATACATTAAGTTTATCAGGATATCAACTGGCCCTTGGAGTAACTTTTGTTCTAAAAGTGGATGTTTCACCTTGGAAGAGAATCTGAGACTCAGCATGTTTATCTATTGAGAGTGGACTTTGTAATAACCTTATTCCTACAGTTGATTCTTTATGACTGGAAATACTCTGTTAAAATGAGAAGCCAGATTATTACCTTAGGGATTTATATTCTAGTAGGACAGATAACAGATACAGCAAACAAAGGGTCTTTCATTCGTTGAGAAACTAATAATAATTTCTAAATATGTTGTGTTCTAAGAATGAGTCAGAATCCGTTCCTTTTCTACAAAGGGCCTACACAGGGGGTGGAGAAGGAAAATAAGATTTGAATATTAAAAATTTTCACTTAAATACATTAATGCTATTAAGTAAAATAGCATTTCAGTTAAATGCTAAAAGTTAGCATACATCTTTTTATTGTGTTCACAATAGCCACACTACTATTGCAATTCCAATACTATTACAAGCTCAGACTGAAGCTTGCAAAAGTTGAGTAGTGTGGTTCCCAGGTGTTCAGCTAGTAAGTCATGCAGAGTCTGAGTTTAGTGGTAAAGGCCTTTCCATTATATTTCTCCATCTCATGTGGAGGAATTCCCCGTGACATTCTTTTCTCTTGTTGAGACTTCCTTATAGCACCCTTAGTCTTCCCAGTAAAAGTTTTTTTTTTTTGATGATACACCAACATAAAATGAGCCAGGAATTACTTAGAGTCTTGTGGCACCCACACAATGGAGACTTTCCTAATAGGCTTTCCTGGAGCCCTCCAGAGTGTGCTTAATATACTCCTCACCTTGTGCCTCCCCGTGGAGGAGGTCTTAATGGTTTACTATTGAGGAGTGTCTCTGACTCTATGACCACATAGGTCTTTTTACTTCTTTTCTCCCAATATGTCAAGTGTGAAGTGATTGGACCCAATGATTCTTTCTTAGTTGGCATCCCTGACTGTTCTTAGGCTTCTGTTCCTTAAATTCAGACTCTGCAAGAAGTAAACTAATGTCATAGAGGAAAATGACTTTTCCACAGTAGCACTGATTTTTCTGTTCCCGAGATTCTTTGATTCTAATGACAGAGTTAAATTTGAACATGGGAGGAAAACTGACTTTAAACAGTTTATGGGGAGAACATCTGGAGATTTAAACTCATGAAAAATTCAGTGTAAGCCAAGAAATTGACTCAGCAGCATTAAAAAAGGAGCTAAGATGATCTTATATTGCATTAATTAAAATATATTGTCCAGATCAAGAGAAGTAATAGTCTTCCTGGACTTTGTGTTCATTAGATCATATTTGGAGTATTCTGTTTAATTTGGGTCCCAGTTTACTTTGATGGGAAAGAGCCGGGGAGATGGCCAGGAAGATAAATGATTTTAAAGCAGTCATGTAAAGACTAGTTGGGAATAGAGGATATTTAGAGAATATAAATATCCTAGAGAAGAGAGGACTTTGGGGATATAGTTGCCGTCTTTAAACAGTTATGTAGTTAATTTGGCAAACAATTTTAGGGTAATAAGAGTAAAAGACACATTTATTGGATATGTACTATCTGCCAGTTAAGTTTTTCACATGCTTTATCTCATTTAATCCTTAAAGCAAGTGTATGGATTGCTGCTAGTCATTGTTACCGCTGTTTTACTCATGAGATCCAGAAAGGGGAATTGATTTGCCTAAGGTTGCATTATGGCAAAGGCATTTTTTTTTTTTTTTTTGAGATGAAGTCTCGCTCTGTTGCCCAGGCTGCAGTGCAGTGGCGCAATCTCGGGTCACTGCAACCTCCGCCTCCCAGGTTCAAGCAATTCTCCTGCCTCAGCCTCCCGAGTAGCTGGGACTGCAGGTGTGTGCCACTACGCCCGTCTAATTTTTATATTTTTAGTAGAGCTGGAGTTTTGCGATGTTGGCCAGACTGCTGTCTTAACTTCTGACCTGGTGATCCGTCTGCCTTGGCCTCCCAAAGTGCTGGGATTACAGGTGTGAGCCACTGCACCTGGCCAGGGATGTAATTTGGAAGTGAAAAAGTATATAGGTTGTTGTTATTCCTGAGAGTAGAATATAATGATAGCTATGTTTATTGAGTGTTGTTATGTTCTAGGCTCTTGTTATATACTGAAAAAGAAAGAAAAAGTCCTATCTTCATGGAGCGTACATTTTAATAGGAAATTCAGAAGTAGATAAATTAGTTATAAATTTGTTGCTAGTGGTAAGTTCTATGAAGAAAAATAAAGTAGTAGGAGGAGAATAGAGGTTGGTAGATACTGAGGATGGTAGGATGATCAGGGAAGACCTCACTGAGAAGAAAATATTTGAACAAAGACTTGAAAAAAATTAGACAGCAAAGTTGGATGGGCATTTGGAGAAAGAACATTCCAGAGAGAAGAGATAGCAGGTAGGAATGAGTTTGGTTTGTTACAAGAATAGCTAGGTGGTCAGTCTAGTTTGGGCATAGTGAGCAAAGTTGGCAAGGCCAGAATCATGTAGAGTTTTATTTTTTTTCCAAGCATGATAAGAAGTTGTTGGAGGGCTTTGAGCAAGGGAGTGATGTGATCTGATTTCTAGTTTTTAAAAAAATACCTCTGATTAGCCAGGCTTGGTGGCACATGCCTGTAGTCCCAGCTACTTGGGAGGATGAGGCTGGAGGATCCCTTGAGCCCAGGAATTTGAGGCTGTAGTGAGCTCTCATTGTGCCACTACACTCTAGTCTGGCCAACAAAGCTGAGACCCCATCTCTAAAAAGAAAAAAAAAATGCCTTTGGTGTGGAGAATAGACTGGGCTTCGGGGTCAACCCACCACAGCTGTGATCCAGCAATCAGAAAACTGCTGCTGGTGAAATAGCCATCCCACACTTACCAGACACCTAAATAAGGAAACTGTCTACTGCAAAACCTCACTCCTGAAAGAGCTTGTCACTGCTGCAGGAAGAATGGCGTCTATCCCTTCTACCTTCCAGATTTTGCTCAAGGCATTCCAACATTTAAGAAGAGGATGATAGAACAGAGGAGAAGGACGGCTAATGAGGTTGTGGAAAATCTAGGACAAAGAGGTGTCCCAGAGGTCAAAGTAAATTAAATATTTCTAAGAGAGTGATTAATTGAATCAAATATTGATGGCTGGGACATGGTGGCTCACGCCTGTAATCCCAGAAATTTGGGAGGCTGAAGGGGGAGGATTGCTTGAGCCTAGGGGTTTGAGACCAGCCTAGGTAACATAGTGAGACCCTGCCTCAGAAAAAAAAAAAGGTTGCTGATTGGTTGAGTAATGTGAGGGTTAAGAATCGAAAGCTGGGCCGGGTGCGGTGGCTCACGCTTGTAATCCCAGCACTTTGGGAGGCCCAGGTGGGCGGATCACGAGGTCAGGAGATTGAGACTATCCTGGCTAACATGGTGAAACCCCGTCTTTACTAAAAATACAAAAAAAAATTTGCCGGGCATGGTGGTGGGCGCCCGTAGTCCCAGCTACTTGGGAGGCTGAGGCAGGAGAATGACGTGAACCCGGGAAGCAGAGCTTGCAGTGAGCTGAGATCATGCCACTGCACTCCAGCCTGGGCGACAGAGCGAGACTGTCTCAAAAAAAAAAAAAAAAAAAAAAAAAGAATTGAAAGCTGAATTTAGCAACTTGGAGCTCACTGGTGACATATATAAGAGCAGTTTTGATGTGTGGTGAAAGTGGTACAAAGAAGAATGGAAGTGTTTTCCAACATTTTAAATGATTGAACAATTATAATTATGTGACTGTGAGAATGTGTATAAAAATAGTAACAATAAAGAATTTTACCATATAGTATCCATATGAATCGTGGAGATTGCTGTGTGATAAACTTTGCAGTTGAGAATTTTATGACAAATTAGGTGCAGAGTTTAGTGATCCAGTAATCAAGAAAAAGAATGCTTGTTAATTATTTGAAATAAAATGTCATTAGTGAGAAATCTTTATTGAGAATCTGTTGTTAGTAGACCTTGTGTTACTCTGTCAGTCACCCCCCTCCATTCTGTCAGTTTGAATGGGGAGCTATGCACAGAATAAACAGTAGCGGAATGAAAATCAGAGAGTTGTTTTATGAGTAGGTGCCCAAAGGAAGGGTGCAGTCGCTGAAACTCCCTGGAAAAGGACTGGGTTAAAATAGGGGGATTTAGGCCCAAGGGAACCTCCTACATTACCCCTAAATCTAAATCTTGGCCTCAGCGTGCTCAGTCATATTTTTATTTTGGGGTGTATGTTGGTGAGGGAGAGAAATGAAGCCCGTTGTCATCTTCTATTATAAAATTTTACATGGCGATATAATTCTGTGTTTAATTATTCTGTATCCCTCCATAGATTTGTGGGGGACAGGGACTCTAGTTTATCTTGCTCACGGTAACAGCCACTGGTGCTTAGCTTGTTCCCTGTCATGGGGCAGGTGTTAAATTTATAAGGAATAATTGAGAGTTTATCAGGCAGTATAAGGAACAGAAGATAACACCTGGGTACCAGCATGTGGAAAGGTGGGGAATGCTTGCCTGACACGTTAAATACATTCTTAGAGATGTAGATCACATTCCTCTGCTTTAGGAAGCATTGTTGGATCTCACTTCGTTCCTGTACCCATATTGCACATAGAAAGTATTCTGTGCCCTGGATACTTTGCGTTATTCACCTTACATTATCATATAGATACCTCCTTATCTCCTCAATACTAGTCACAACTTTTTTTGATTGCCTGTCATTTGCAAATATTGTGCTAGGTGTTGTATATATTTTATCATTCTATTTAATTCTTTCAGCAACCAGGGACATTAGGCAAATGAATAAATTGAGGCTCAGGAAAGTTTAACAACTTGTCTAAGATTGTACACTACTTTCTTAGCACCTTCCAAAAGCTTGAGGCTTCTTCTGTTCCATGGTGTTTTTTAACAGGATACATACTTCAGTAGAATTTGTATGCTTAATGAAAGTCTTTTATACTTTTTTTAAGATCTTACCACAATTCCTTTCTTTTTTGTTGATTATTTGATCAAAGGGCCATGTAATTCTAACACTTCTTGAAACATTGGAGCTGAAAAGTAAGACTGGTGAAATAGCTGACTTTAAATATTGCGTTTTCAAGGCTAAAAATGAGTGTCTAACTTACTGATTCATTGTATGATAAACTAATATTATAGAACTGTTTTTATATAGAGCAGACAGAAAAAGTTTTATAATTGCTCTGAGAAAAAAATATACTTACTCAAAATGTGTTAAGCATTCCAATTTTGATGCTTCAACACGGAGCTGTCCCCTGTAGCCTTGGAGACCATAACTTCACAGTGCTTGTTTTTAAAGTAAGGTTTTCTTTTGAATGTAAGCAGATTTTGATGGTAGAAAGAAGTTGTCGTGTGGAATTATTCTGTGGAGCCATTTGAATAGACTTGAAACATTGTTTATGCATAAATAAATTCACCACTCTGAAAAGTATTCTGACAAGGCACGGCATGTGTTGGCATCTGCAAGTCAGCCTGTACTGAGTTTTCACTACCCACAAGAGGTGGTGAAAACGATCTCTGGTATAAAGCAAATGGAAAAGGTAAAGTGTCGGGATTTTCTTTCTTTCTTTCTTTCTTTCTTTCTTTCTTTCTTTCTTTCTTTCTTTCTTTCTTTCCATTTTTAATTTCTTTTAACCTTTCCTGGGTATTCATCAAAAGTTTCTTTTCAAAATTAATTTTTTGGTGAGATACAGTTAGCATGACAGAACTATAAATGTTGATGTTCATTTTATGTTTTTTTGGGAGTTTGTTTCTCTCTTCTTTTCCTTTTTTTAATGCTGTTTTGCAAATAATTTGTGTGATCATTTTTTTCACTATGGACCATCATTCATGTGTTGTTTTCATTCAGCAGATACTTATTGCTCTTCTAGTTATTATACTGTTATGTGCTGGAGATACAAATGTCACGTTATGACACCAGCCTTCCAGGAGATTTTAGTCTAGTGTGTTAGTCATACAACTATGCACACAGACACAGTACAGTATATTAAATGCTTGGATAGTGTCTCATGCTTGCCTGTTGGGAACACAGGGAAAAGAGACCCCAAGGTAGTCATGGGAAACTTCCTGGAGAAAGTGATACCATCTTTCCTTTTGTTCCCCAAACAAACTTAGCCCCCAATTGCACCTGGCATATTTTAAAAAATTAAAGTGAAATCTGCATACAATTTTTAAAAAATCAAATTCTAAAATGAAAAGTAAAAGTTCTCGTTCAACCCTCCCAACCTTGACCCAGTCACAGCCCTTAGTAATAACCACCTTTCACACTTTCTATTTTCCCTTATGATGGTTATCATTAAAACATGAAACAATGTATTTGTTTCTGTTATTTAATACAAAAACATTAAATAGTGATTTGGCTTTGGACAATGAAAGATGAGGAATTTACCACATTTATAATACCTGCCACCTTCTCTCTCTCACTCTACCTCTGTGTTTTTGTTAGCTATCTCATTTTTACATTATCAAGTTTAAAAAAACTTTACATGTTATGTTGTTATAATCAGCTCCTGTGCTTTGTCTATAGGGTGACTTTAGGAGTTGAGCCACAGACAAATACCCTTCATAATATTATTATAGGCAGAAGTAGTGAAATGTGCTAACACTGGAAGAATTTCCCAAGAATCAAGGTCCAGTGGTCCAATGGATGGTTTGTCTTTTTTTTCTTTTTACCACAAAGACCTGACTTTTTTCTCATTGGATATGTGAATTCCAACCTTCTTTTTGAATGACATTTAGTATGGTGCTTGAAAATTCAAACAGAATAATGCCTCATTTATTTGGCAATATCAATTTATAACAGCCAAACAGTAATCCAAAGTTAGCATTAAAAATCCGCTAAGCAAATTGGAAAGGAAGAACTCAAATTATCTTTGTTTGCAGATTATATGATCTTTATTTATTTATTTATTTATTTATTTATTTATTTATTGAGATGGAGTCTCACTCTGTCATCAGGCTGGAGTGCAGTGGTGCGATCTTGGCTCACTGCAACCTCTGCCTCCCGAGTTCAAGTGATTCTCCTGCCTCAGCCTCCCGAATAGCTGGGACTACAGGCGTGCATCACCATGCCCAGCTAATTTTTTGTATTTTTAGCAGGGATGGGGTTACACCATGTTGGCAAGGATGGTCTCGATCTCCTGAGCTCATGATCTGCCCGCCTCGGCCTCCCAAAGTGCTGGGATTACAGGCGTGAACCACTGTGCCTGGCCCAGATGATATGATCTTATGTTTGGAAAAATCCTCAAGACTCAACCAAAAAACTGTTAGAACTGATAAACACATTCATTAAAGTTGCAGGATACAAAATAAACATATACCAAAATCAGTTTCTATATGCCAACATGAACAATCTGAAAAAGAAATCAAGAAAGTAATCCCATTCACAATAGCTACAAATAAAGTTAAATATCTAGGAATTAACTAAAGACATGAAAGCTCTGCAGTGAAAACTACAAGACATTAATACAAGAAATTGAAGCAGACACACAAAAATGGAAAGATATTCCATGTTCATAGATTTAGAAGAATTAATATTGTTGAAATGTCTGTTCTACCCAAGGCAACCTGCAAGTTTAATGCAATTTCTATCAAAATATCAATGACATTCTTCACAGAAATAGAAAAAAGAAAACTCCTAAAATTTATATGGAACCACAAAACACCCAGAATAGCCAAAGCTATCCTGAGCAAAAATAACAAAACTTCAGGAATCACATTACCTGACTTTAAATTATACTACAGATCTGTAGTAAACAAAACAGTATGGTACTGGCCTAAAAGCAGACACATAGACCAGTGGAACAGAATAAAGAACGCAGAAATAAATCCATACATCTACAGTTAACTCATTTTTGACAAAGGTGTTAAGAACATACATTGGAGAAAGATCAGTCTCATCAATAAATGATGCTGGGAAAACTAGATATCCAAATGCAGAAGAAGGAAACTAGACCACTGTCTCTTGCCATATAAAAAATTAAATCAAAGTGGGTTAAAGACATGAATCTAAGACCTAAAACTATGAAACTATTAAAAGAAAATATTGGGGAACTCTCCAGAACATTGGAGTGGGCAACAGTTTTTTGAGCAATATCCCACAAGCACAGGCAACCAAAGCAAAAATGGGCAAATGGGATCACATCAAATTAAGAAGCTTCTGCACAGCAAACAATCAATAAAGTGAAGGCACAACCTAGAGAATGGGAGAAAACATTTGCAAACTACCCATCTGACAAGGGATTAATAACCAGAATGTATAAGGAGCTCAAACAACTCTGGGAATAAAATCTAATAATCCGATTTAAAAAGAGCATAAGATCTGAATAGACATTTCTCAAAGGAAGACATATACATGGCAGACAGGCCTATGAAAAGGTGCTCAACATCACTGATCATCAGAGAAATGCAGATCAAAACTACAATGAGATATTATCTCACGCTAGTTAAACTGGCTTTTATCCAAAAGATAGGCAATAACAAATACTGGTGAGGAGGTGGAGAAAAGGGAACCCTTGTACACTGTTAGTGGAAATGTAAATTAGTACAACCACTATGGAGAATAGTTTGGAGGTTCCTCAAAAAAACTAAAAACTGAGCTATTACATGATGTAGCAATCCCACTGCTGGGCATATAGCCAAAAGAAAGGAAATCAGTTTATCAAAGAGATACCTGTACTCCCATGTTTATCACAATAGCCAAGATTTGGGAGCAACCTAAGTGTCCATTAGCAGATGAATGGATAAAGAAAATGTGATACATATACACAATGGAATACTATTCCGCCATTAAAAAAATGAGATCCTGTCATCTATAACAACATGGATGGAACTGGAGGTCATAATGTTATGTGAAATAAGTCAAGCACAGCAAGACAAACATCACATGTTCTCACTTATTTGTGGGAGCTAAAAATTAAAACAATTGAAGTCATGGAGATAGAGAGCAAGAAGTATGGTTACCAGAGGCTGGGAAGGGTAGTAAAATAGGAGGTGGTGGGGAGGAAGTGAGGATGGTTAATGGGTACCAAAAAATAGTAGAAAGAAAGAATAATACCTAATACTTGCTAGTAAAAACAAGATGACTATAGTAAAAAAAATTTAATTCTACATTTAAAAATAACTAAAAGTATAATTGGATTGTTTATAACACAAAGGATAAATACTTGAGGTGATGGATACCCCATTTACCCTGTAATTATTATTACTTATTGTATGCCTGTATCCAAATTTATCATGTAGTCTGCAAACATATACACTTACTGTGTGCCCACTAAAATTAAGAATAAAAAATTTAAACAAATAATAACTCCCTAGTTACAAAAAAATCCACTGAGCAGCAAAAACATCTCATACCTAAAATGTTCTACATTTTATGCCTAGTAAGAATCCATAGGCCTCATTCAGAAGCTGTTTACTCTTATTTTGTGTGTCATTCTACAAATCATGATCTAGTCTCCAAGTCTGTAACAGATTAAATGTTATAATTTAGTGATGCTACAGGCAGGCACATTGAAAGCCCTAAGAAATGTCATATGGGAATCTCATAGAGAAGAAAGGCAGTCTGTGCATATCATCCTGAATGTGCCTGATGTTGTCTGATCTCAGAGGCTAAGCAGGGTTGGGCCTGGCTAGTACTTAGATGGGAGAGGAAAGGCAGACAAAATATTAAATGCTGACTATACAATTTAAAAGGTATTATGATGTAGGGCTGTATGATACTGGGCATAATGATGCTCTAGTGATCATCAACCTTTACAAAAAGAATCACTATTTTCATTGTACAGTGTCAGAAGACAGGGAAGTAAGTAGTCATTGAGGATATATTCCTATCCAAAATGGTTAAATTTTGAAATATTGTTCATACAATTAAAAAAGATAAGCGTATGATACAGTTATCTGGAAAGTTAATTTGTGTGGGAGCTCTTCTCCAAGGTCAGTGGAATTGTATATTTATTATCACATTTGTGACATGAATGGGAATTGCTTTATTAGTTATTAAAAACTCAACAAATTAGCTATTGTGTGAATTATTACTGGGAGGCAGCTGTTGACTTTGTTGTGAAATATGTCAGCTAGGAAAAAAGGCAATCTGTCTCTCTTTCTCTCTCTCTCTCTCTCTGCTATATCAGTGGATTGACCATTATTTCCATGGATTAAAAGATTGGACAGGCTGCCACTGGGGATAAAGGGAATATGCTTCCTTGTGGAAGAGTCTTGGTTTGGGATACTGCTACCTTAATACTCCCTGCCTTTATTTCTTGAGTATTTTATGTCTTTTTCCTTGGAAATATTTCCAAACTTGAAGAAACATTACAGAAATAGTATAAAGAGCTTTCCCCCTGCTAACCATTTGAAAGTAAATTAGAAAGATGATCCCTCAGTACTCCCAAAATAAATCATGGATATTTGCTACAAATACGAACATCCTTCTAGATAACCATAGTATGCCCATGAAAACCAGGACATTAACCTTAACATGTTACTGGCATCTCATTCATCCATCCATTCAAGTTTCTTCAGCTGTCTCAGTGTCCTTTATAACTAAAGGATTCCATCTAAGACCACAAATTACATTTACTTGTCATGTATCTTTACTCTCTGTCAATCTGAAATAATTTCTCAGTCTTTCCTTAAGATTTTTGAAGAGTTTTAGGCCAGTTAATTTGTAATGTTTATCAATTTTGGTTTGTCTGATGTTTCCTGGTGAAGAGATTCAAGTTATGCATCTTTGGAAGAAGTAATGCGGAAGCAATATTGTATTGTTTTTGCATCCTGTCAGAGGGGACACATTTTGATTTGTCCTATTGCTAGTGATATAAACTTTGAAGCCTTAATTAGTGTCTACCATGTTTCTTCTCTGTGAAGTTAACCTTTTAGACTTTGCAATCAGTAAGTATTTGTGGGGAGATACATTTTTAGATGATAAATGTCTCATTTTTTAATCAAATCTCTGTCCACTAGTTTTAGCACATATTGATGTTTCTTGGCTAAATTAATTTTTTTAAATGATAGTTGCCAAATGGAATGGTTAATTCAGTTCTCCTACATTTATTAGTGTGACATTCCATTTAAGGAAAAGCTTTCAGCTTTTTCTGTTTAATTGTATCAATGTAGACACATGGATTCCTGTTTTATCCGGTGAATTATTATCTGGTAGTATAAGTATTTATTTTGATACTCAAATCACTCCAGATTTGGCCATGGGAATCTCTTCAATCTGGCTTCTGTGTTCTTAAGACATATTTCCATCACTCTTTGAGTATGTCCTTACTTTCTGGCATAATATATTACAGGCTCATATTCCCTTTGCCCCTGGATTAGAATTAGTCATTTCTCTAAGGAGTTTTGTTTTGTTTTAGTACAGAATAATAATAATAAAAAAACCCACTGTTGATTGACTTAAACATTTCTGTTTTTTAGAGACAAGGTCTTGCTGTGTCTCCCAGGCTGGCGTGCAATGGCCTGATCACAGCTCCTCAAACTCAAGGGATTCTCTCATCTCAGCCTCTTGAGTAGCTGGGACTACAGGCTTAGGCCACCATACCTGGCTGATTTAAAATTTTTTAGAGATGGGGTCTTGCTATGTTGCCCAGGCTGGTCTTAAAGTCCTGGTCTCAAGTGATCTTCTGTTCTCAGCCTCCTGAGTAGCTGACAGGCCACCAAGCTCCAGTTAATTAACTTTTAAAGCAATTTAAATAATAAGAAAAGTTTTTAGGCTGGGCGCGGTGGCTCACGCCTGTAATCCCAGCACTTTGGAAGGCCAAGGTGGGCGGATCCTGAGGTCAGGAGTTTGAGACCAGCCTGGCCAACATGGTGAAACCCTGTCTCTACTAAAAATACAAAAATTAACTGGGCATGGTGGCGGGCGCTTGTAATCCCAGATGAACCTGAGAGGCAGAGGTTGCAGTGAGCCAAGATCACGCCACTGCACTCCAGCCTCAGCGACAGAGTGAGACTCTGCCAATATATTTACCATTTCTGGTGCTCTTCATTTCATTTATTTTCGTCTGGTATCATTTTCCTTATGTCTGAAGTATTTCCTTTTGCATTTCTCATGGTGCCTTTCTACTGGTAATTGAACTCTTTCAGTATGTCTGAAAACATCTCTATATCATCTTAGTTTTTGGAAGATGCTTTCATTGGGCTTGGAAATCTAGGTTACGGGTTTTTTATGTCTTTTAATTCTTTAAAGATGTTGCTCCACTGTTTTCTAGCTTGTATTGTTTCCAGTGAGAAATCTGTCATTCTAGTATCCTCTCCTTTATGTAGTGTGTCTTTTTTTCCTTGGGCTGCTTTGTCACTGTTGCAAGGCAATTTGATTCTGTGTACCTTGGCATAGTTTTCTTTGTGTTTTTCATACCTGGTATTTGTTGGTATTCTTGCATCTGTGGGTTTGTAATATTCATCACATTTGGATATTTTGCAACCATTAATTATTCAAGTATTATTTTTTCTGTCTCCTCCTTCATTATTTTCCCCTTCATGAACTCCATCTAAATGTATATTGGGCCTCAGAAGTTGTGCTATCACACACTGATGCCTTTTATTTTGTTTTTGTTTTAGTCTTCCTCTGTTTTTCATTTTAAATAGTTTCTACCCAAATGTTCACTGACATTTAGTATATCATCAGGTTTACTGTTTTTCTTGTAATAACTAATTTGTTCATCCATCCTTTAAAAATATGTGTGTGTATATATATGTATATGTATATACACACACACACACATATATATATTTTTCTCATTTCAGACATCATGATTTCCTTTTTTTTTTGCAGTCAGCTTTCTCAGATTAAACAGACATTGTGATTTTCATCTCTGAAAGTTCAATTTGGGTTTTTCAAAAATTTTCAATGTCACTATATGTTCAGTCTATTTTCTGGCTTTTAAACATATAAATTATAGTTGTAATAACTGTTTTAATGGCCCTATCTACTGATTCTGTCATCTCTAGCAATTTTGGATCAGTTCTGATTGATTTTGCTGCTCATTTTGGATTGTATTTTCCTACTTCTCTGCATATACAGTCATTTTTAATTGGATGTCAGGCATTGTCAATTTTACCTTATTGTTTGTTGGATATTTTTGTGTTCCTATAAATATTCTGGAAACACAGTTATGTTATTTGGAAAAATTTTCTTCCTTTCAGTTCTTGCTTTTACGCTTCCTCAGCCTGTACTAGAGCAGCATCAAGTCCAGGATTAATTTTACCTACCCCTGAAGCAAACCTCTTCTGAGTACTTTATTGCGTGGCCCGTCAGTTATGGGCCATACTCTGGCTGTCAGGAATAGGCCCTGTTCCTGGTCCTGTGAAATCTCTGCTTTTTGTTTCCTCTGTCTAATCCTTTTAGATTGTCCTTTTCCTGGCCTTGGATCATTTCCTCAGATGATTCACTGATCAGTACTCAGCTGAATATTTGAGTGTGACCCTCTGCAGATCTCTGGAGTTCTCTGTGTGCAGTTCTGTCTTCTTCAGTACTGTGCCCTGAGAACTCTCGCACTCATGGCTTCCCTGGACTCCTAAATCTTTCTTCTACACTCAGGTAGACCACCTTATTCTGTTGGGATCCCCATCCCTACTCTGAAGCCTGGAAACTTTCTCTAAGCATTAAGCCGGGGCAATTGTAGAACTCTCCTCATGTGTTTCTCTACTCTCAGATGTTACTACAAGTTGTCTGGTGGCCAGTCTTGAAATCTATCCTCTCATGTTTTCCTAGGGTTTTTTTTTTTAAGTTATTTCAGGTGGGATTAAATGCAGTCTCTGTCACTCTATTTTGGCCAGATGCGGAATAAATTTTGCTGGTTCTTAACATTTTGATGTCCTAAAGATCATTTTAGTATCTTCAGGGTAAAAAATGAATTTTCTCTACACTGTAGTGTAAGGTGTGGACCATACCTTGCTACCTCTGTATCATTTTCTTTGTCCTCTTTGTTCTTGTTGAAACTTGAACCAATCTTATGGGAAGCTGACTATGGGCCAGGCAGAGTAGAATGGGAGTTAGATTCATATGATCTGATTCCTTCCCATAGAGAACTCAGAGCTTAGAGTTACATAATATCCTCTAAATCATAGCTCTTAAATTGGTAGAACTGAGTTTTGAACCATATATTTTGGCCTTCCCGTTGAATGTCTTTTTCACTATAGCAGTGTTCTTGAATAACCCCCATACATATACATACATAGACTCACACATATGCATACATACACACACACATACACACCCTTTGTAACTCAGGAAGCCTCATGAGCATATGGTCTAAAGTGTTCACCCCCTTCAGATTGCTTTTTGCTTATCAGTGATTAAAAGGCTTGGGAGGCATTTGAGAATGTGTGAGGCTGGTAATGAACTGGAGGTCCAACGGGATGAAAAGGGAGGAAAAAGGAGAGTGTGGTGTCTTATTTTTTGGAACAGACTTCAATAATTATAATTACTAGTATGCTGGTATAAACTTGCCTTTGGAGACACTGTGGTAATTTTGATTTATGTCCAGTTAAAACTGCAACAAAACTGCCAATACAGAAGGAATTCTGTGTTTACTCATTTTCTTCAGATAGTAGGCCAAATGGAGAAATTCGTTAAGCCAATCCTGAAACACTATACCAAAAACTTAAATGAGCAAAATTAATCACATGTATTGGCAATAGGGGATTCCATGAAAATGTTTCAACTTCTGGCAGCAACTTTTAAACTTTCTAATTTCAGTAATAAGGCTATTTGCATAACTCTAAATGTAGCAGGCAAATGGTACAAAGAAGAAAGAAGACAGTGTGGTGTAGAGAAAGAAGGGAACTGGAAATTAAGAAACTTGGCCTTTCTAAACTGGCATAGCTTTGAGACATTGGACAAGTCATTGAATCTTAACTGTGGTTTCATTTTCATATTTAAAACGAGAGCATTGAATTAAAAGACTTCTAAAATAACTCCTAGTACTAACATTATCATGGTCCTTTGACTATAAAGGTGACCTTAATTGACTTAAGAGTCAGTTTTCTAGTTATTTCTAAAACTAATAACATTTTAAAAAAATGATTTACTATACTATCACATTTTCTATTCTACTTAAAAGGTCATTGTCCAGTTTGATTGCCTTGTAATTCACAAAAATTTAGCCCAGATTAATTTTAATGATTCCTAAAATACCAAGTCCTCTAGCAAAGGTGGAGATTTGCCATTATAGAGGATATCCAGTGATGGTACCACAAGTTTTGTGGAGAACTCCCCAAGTGCTTTGGACAGTGGCATTCTTGCTGGAATAAATATGTAGGTTGTAAGGGGATAGTAATAATTAGAGTCACTGCTAATATTTGAGTACTTATCAAGTGATAAAACTGTAGATGCTTTTGAAGTATTTAGTTATCAGAATAAACCTTTGAAAAAATGTATGATTTTTATCCCCATTTTGCAGATGAAGCACGGGACTTTTGGTTAATGGTTAATAAGCCACTGAGCTGGGATTTGAACCATCACTGGCACCACAGCCTACCTTCCTAACCACTACACTATGCTAACTACTATATTTATAAAAGTCAAATGTATCAAATTGCCTGATGTATTTCCACAAGTAGACATCATTAATTGTGAAAATTCTGCCTTCAAAAAAAGTCCTTTGACATTACTACTAAATTATCTGTCATTCTGAACTGTTTGTTACCATTCTGCAAAAAAAAAAATGAGGCAGTTTTGCCAAAATGTTTTCAGCAATATCCTTAATAAGCACATTGTTGAGTTCAGCTGACATTTTGTAAGCAAGATTTTCTCAGTGAAGGAAGTAGTCATTCATTGACTTACACTCAAGAGCAAACTGCATAAAAATGCCCTTCTCACTTTGCTTTTATGAGCTACCCAAAGTCTGTGTAAACCCAAGAATATAGATGAAACCAACTGTTTCTGTTCAGATTTTTGTTGTTGTCTCTACTTCTCCATATCTTTATTATTAATTTCCCTGGAAATTAGAACTTTTCTAAAACTGTAAGATATTTAAAAATCTTAAAATGTGTTTTCCTTTCTAAAAAGCCTTCTTTAAAGTTACTCATTACTACAGGTTGAGCATCCCTTAGCCAAAATGCTTGGGACTAGAAGTTTCTCAGGTTTTTTTGTTTGTTTCTTTTTGGAATATTTGCATTATACTTACTGGTTGAGCGTCTGAAATCCCAAATGCTCCAGTGAGCATTTCCTTTGAAGGAAATGTTGATCCACTTGTTTATGCTCAAAAAGTTTTGAATTTTGGAGCATTTTTGAATTTTGGATTTTCAGGCTAGGGATGGTCAACCTGTATCACCATATCTGACATTCCCCCCTGCAACCTGATATTATTTCCTTTGGTGCAGAGTTTCAGAATCAAATTAAGGAAATGTCATGTTTCCACAGATGAGTTCTCTGAAAAACTTCCTCTTACAGTGAAAGTCATAGTCCAGGAGAACTTTAGATGTGGAACTTCAGGGCCAGGTGGAAGGCCATTATGAACTCTTGCATTGGCTCTCTTATGATCATAAGCCTGAAAGTACAGAATCCTGGAAAAGGAGGCCTCTCTCTGCACCCATGTAATTTTTAAAAAGGAGAGAAAGATATGAAGGGTGCTAAAGCTTGATCCTAAAAGATCAGGGCAATGAAAACAAATGATAATGAATAACTAGTACTAGAATTAAAAATGTAAGGCATTTTAAAGAGATGGGGTGCCAGTTATAATTCAGTTTTGAATACTACATTGCAAAAGAACTATTTTTGAAAATAGTTAAGGGAAAAAATATCTGAATTGTTGAATAAGTTCCCCCTATTTATTCCTGGTAAACTTCAATCCCATCTTACTGCTTCATTCTAAGTTCTTGTGGAGTGTGAATATCAGCAATTTTCTGACCTTCAAAGAGGAACTTGAATAATTTCATTGGAACTCTGTGCGTTTTTTGATAGTATGATTCTTTGAGTTTCTTGGGATGTGTTGTCATTTTTACCTTGCAGTGAACCTCACTATTGTCCTGTCTAATGACTTTGAATAAAATATATATTTTTTCTTTCTTGTCCCTGAAGTCCATGGTGGAAGCTTTTGCCTCTTGTTTAGACATGATGGTGGTGGCTTTTCTTTCGGATCTCCACAAACAGCAGATTCACAGCGGGAGAGTCTTTCTCTCTGAGACTTACAAATCCATGTTTTTTCTTCACAGCTCAACACCACTGCTTTCTGTTAAGATGTAAACAAGTCTAATAATTTCTTTTTCAAATGCCGTTCTGATGAAAACCTGAGTAGTTAAAAAATACTATTTAAATTACAATTTAAAAATTGTACAATTATTAAGTGTACATTAAACACTTGCTAAGTGTACAGCTGTTTATCAGACACAATACAGGAGGGGATACAAAGGAAGAAGACAAGAAGCGAATTGTCTAGTTGAATAAGATTTAGCTTGTGGAAGAATTAGTGTCAAGATAAATGTATTCAAGTGCTGAACTTCATGGTACATATGCTTACTGAATAAAGCAGCATGAAAGGTCCTTTGTATCCTTAGTTTATGAGCCTTAAAACAGATTTAGAAAAAGGAAAAGCCAACTAGACACAGTGGTGTGCACCTATAGTCCCAGCTACTCGGGAGGCTGAGACAGGAGGCTCACTTGAGCCCAGGAGTTTGAGGTTACAGTGAGCTATGATCATACCACTGCACTCCAATCTGGGTGACAGAGCGAGATCCTGTCTCTAAAAAATAAAATAAAAAAAGTCCCACCTCCCAATACTATGGCAATTAATTTCAACATGAGTTTGGGAGGGTACAAATATTTATACTATAGCACCTATAAAATCATCATGGCCTACACCCTCCCACCCCCACTTTGGTAGCGTTTTTAGTTTCTTTGTAGTTATCGATCTATTCAGGTTTTCAACCTCTTATTGAGACAATTTGGTAATTTATAGTTTGATAGAAAATCATTCACTTTTCCTGTTTTTTTTTTTTTTTAAATTTATTGGCCTAAAGTTGTATATAATATTCCTTTTAAATTGTAAAAATCTTGTCCATATCTGTAGTTTGTTTTGTTTATTGTTTCTAATTCTGAAGTGCTTTTCTGTATACTTCCTCAAGTGTGTTTATTGTGTAATGAATACATTTTAAATTAAACTTACTAAAATGCACATGGATAGTATTATGAAAAAATTTGGAATGATTTAGCTTGCTTTTATGCCAAATGTGGTTCTTCTTGCCTGAAATGAGTTAGTTGAGATGTAAATTGGAAATGCGAAGAGTTGATTATTGTTCTATAACTGTCGCTTCATCAGTGTTGTTAGTTTTTGAGGGTATGCATATCCTGGTTAGACTTGATGCACTAATTATCACATGCTTTCACACCACCTACCATCTCCTCAATAGAACTTTCCCACCCACGATGCTATTTACTTTTCCATGAAAGTAGGTTAATTTTATAAGTATTTATAAGCAATAGTATTGTCTTATTTGATGCCATTACCATGAGATTGTGTTCTTCCCAACTATGTGCATGGTCTAGACAGAGGAATGTAGAAGCAGGCTTTTGGGTAGACTCCTGGTCTTTTGGGAAACTATCATATTTAATAAATCCATCAACGAGTATTTGAGTGATTCCCATGTGCCTTAGACTGCTGTAGGTGCTGTAGAGGTGCAGAGAATTTATTAGGCATTTAAAGTCTATAGCACTGTAGCTCTGATCAACCTTTCCAGCCTGCCTCTCATGATATTGCTCTTGTGCCCTCTTTGTTTTATAGCACACAACCCACTTTCTGTTCTGAACGTGTAATGCACTCTGCTTCCTTAATGACTTTGAAAAGCTATTCCCAATACCCTAAACAGCAGTTCCCTTGCATACAGCTGTCAGAGTCTTAGCTACCCTTCCTTCATATTGGAGCTTAAATGCTGTCTCCTTTAATGAGCCTTTCCCAAGAACAAGTTATCTTAGACTAATGTATCCATTTTGCAAGGGTACTTAGATTTGTAGATACAGATAACTTCAATAATGTGTTTGATAAGGTATGTCAGGATAGCTTTGGGAGCAAGATGAAGAGGTGTAAGCTAAATGACAGAAAAGATAGGTCGACTGGTAACTACTTGATGACTTGCTATCTAGAGGGAAATTTTTAAATGCATGGCATAGGGCTCTGCTATTGACCTAGTCTTTTTCAACATGTCCATTCATTTGATTACTTACCTGCCAAATGTTTATTCAGTACTGCATGCTGGAAACTATGCAATATGCTGGGTATACAGTGGTGATCAAGGGAGACATGGTTTTTCCTCTTGAGAATACCACAATCTAAGCCTTTGAACAAAGATATAGAAAATTGACTAAGTTAATGCAGTGGTAACGTGGAACTTATAGAGACAGTGATTATTGCGTAACGGAATTAGTAAATAAGATCTCTGGGGACTGGAAAGATAGAATTATATTCAGCTCATCTTAAATTTTAAGATAGAGTTTAATTGTGAAAAGAATATAGTCTTATACTTGAGTCCTAAAACCAACTGTATCAGAAGAGGGAGGCTTGGCATATGGGCAACAGTCTGAGTAAAAAAAGATACAGAACCTTTAGTCAGTAGTCAAGTCAATATCAATAATCAGTGAGATATTACTGCCAGAAAATGTTGGGTTATTAAATTGATAGACATGTAGTGTCTACAATGAGAAATGATCAGTCTTTTCTGGTTTACAAACATTAAACAATGTTCTCAAGGCAGTTTCCCAGGAGTTTTTCTACGCTTGATATACATCTAAAAAAATAAATTAATTATCACTGAATAAATATTGCATAGCATCTGAGAAAAATAGAATCAGAGAAATCTTAAAATAATCATTTTTAATTCCGTGGGTGTCTGTTGTGCTTTGGGGGGTTAAGAGAAGGGTGAGATGTGCCCCTCTGTATTTCTGAGGAAGGAAAGGGAGTAATCTTTATTACAGTCTGTTACTGAAGGCCTCTATATACAAAGTACTACGGGGAAGCTCAGGAGCACAGACACTACCAAGTTATAGGCCTAGGTTTTCAAGGAGTGTGGAATCCACTGCTGGAGAAAGCCGGAAAACAAATGATTATAGATGATATGAAGTCTAGATGGAGCATGCTCCCAGTGCTGTTGAGGGAGACCACAACCCTTACCAAATATTGACTATTCCTGGGCTCCTACTTGAGTTCTTCCTCTTCCAAAATGAATTTGTGGGTCTGTTTTGTACCTACAGGTGCCTGGTCTTTTTGCATTGCAGCCTACATACATGACATCTCGTGGTCAGGCCTCCAAATGACTTATTTATTTGCCTTGAGAGTAAAGCTCCTTATCCTAATATACCAGGTTTTCATAATCTGACCTCTGCCTGCCTTTTTACCTCATCTCTTGCCATCCTCTCCCATATGACCCTGTGCTCCAGCCTTGCTAAGCTGCTTACAGTTCCTGAAAATGTTAGGGTACCTTTTTTTTGTTTTTGTACTTGTTTTTGCTTTTGTCTGGAATATCTTTCTCCCTTTTTATCTAGCTAATTCCTACTTTTCCTTCAAATGTTGGCTCAGTGTTTACCCCCTCCAAGAAGACTTTTGCTTCCACTTGACCCCGTCCCTAGAATAGATGCTCCTTTTTTATGTTCAGCCCTTACCCGATGCATGCCTGTGTTGTAGCCTGTATAATGCTGTTATGATTGTTTACAAACCAAGTTGTCTACAAAGTTTGAGCATTATGAAGATAATGCTCTGATCTCTGTATTTTTATTACTTAACAGAGGGCATGGTGAACATTTAGGCCTTCAATAAATGTTTATTGCATGAATATGTAAATAAATGGTATATTTTTAGAGAGCACAGACTGTCTGCAATGTTTTTTCTCTTAACACTAGACTCAGTATTAGCAACATAGAAAGTGCTCAATGTGAAGACAGGATGAATGAATAAATTTAAAGATACGTTAACATGATCAGATAAGGAATTAGGCTAAAGATTTATAATGTGCAGGTGTTATTTTGACTAATGTGATAATGTGCTCAGTAAATGGAATCATGAAGAGATGGCTGTGAAAGAAGGATAATTAATATTTGGATTGAAAGAATGTATTAGTTTTTGATTGCTGGATAATAAATTACCACAAATTTAGTGGCTTAAAATAATACCTGTTTTATTGTTTCTCGGTTTCTTCTTTAGGCCGGAAATTTGGGAACAGCTGACTTGGTTCTCTGCTTATGGTCTCATGAGGCTGAAATCAGTGTCAGCTGCGCTGTGTTCTTTTCTGGAGCTCAGGGTCCTTGTTTAAGCTCCCATGGTTTTTGGCAGAGTTCACTTCCTTGTGGTTTATAGGACTCAGCCTCTTGTTCTCTTGCTGATAGTGGTCTGAGGGCTGCTGTCAGCCCCATTGAGGCCACCTGCAGTTTCTTGCCATGTGGCCCACTTTATAGGCCCTCTCATGCTTCAAATCTCTTCTTTCAGGAAGGGCCAGTCCCTTTTAAGGGCTTACCTGGTTAGAGCAGACCTACCGTCTGTATTAGTCAGCTTAGACTGCCATAACAAAATACCAGTCTGGGTGGTTTTAACAACAGACATTTATTTTCTCAGAGATCTGAAGGCTGGAACTCTGAGATCAAGGTGCCAGCATGGTTCAGTTTCTGGCGAGGCTCTCTCCCTAGCATACAGATGGCCACCTGCCTGTTGTGACTTCACATAGCCTTTCCTTCTTGCATGCGTGTGGAGAGGGAGAGATCTTTTTCTCTTCCTGTTCTTTTGAGGCCACCCTATGACCTCATCAACTTTAATTACCTCCTGAAAGTCTTGTTTCCAAATATAGTCACATTAAGGGTTAGGATACTTCAACATGAATTTGGGGCGGGGGATGAAGGGATACAGTTCAGCCTATAGCACCCAGCTAATCTCCCTTTTGGTTAACTCAAAGTGAACTGATACGTGACCTTAATTATAGCCCCTCAATTCCTTCACCTTGTA
Source organism: Homo sapiens (assembly GCF_000001405.40). Taxonomy (NCBI): domain Eukaryota; kingdom Metazoa; phylum Chordata; class Mammalia; order Primates; family Hominidae; genus Homo; species Homo sapiens. Next base: position 75,947,299 of record NC_000011.10, read on the forward strand.
AAGTAACATTTCTGGGAGTAATATCCTATGGTGTTTATAAGTCCTGCTAATAACCAAGAGAAGGGGATTATGCAGAGAATGGGAATCTTGGGGTGACATTTTAGAATTCTGCCTACCCCAAAGATAGTGGGATAAAATGCAGCAGCAGATTTAGTTGAGATACGAGTTATATTATGAATAGAATCGTAGAATAATGGAAGAGAAAAGCACACAGCAACCTGATATATAAGGGGAGGAATACTGAGCTTGGACACATATATTTGGAAGGTTTAACCTAAATAATGTGTCTGTGAAAAAGCACTTTGGAAACTAAAATTATTTAACATGTAAGGTGTTACTGATGCCAAGGTTTGTGGGGAGATGATGACAAGATTAGCTTAGGAACGATGGGTTTGTGGGTGGGAAATAAGCAGTGAAGACCACGGGCTTTGGAGTTAAACAAACCTGGGTTTAAATAGTGATTCTGCCACTTACCAGCTTCAGTTTTCTCACAGGTAGAACGGGAATGATTACGTCTATGGATTTTTGTGAGAATTAAATGAAATATCCATTTCAAGTTTTTAGCTTAGTGCCTGGCACATAGCCAGCACTAAATAAATATGTATTCATTCACCAACGAATTATTAAATAAATATATTCTATGTGCCAGGCACTGTATTAGGCCTCAGGTTTCTGGTAAATATTAATACTATTGTGCCTGAGCTAGATTTCATTGGACTTTGAATTGCCAGGCTAAAACAACAGAGTTTAAATGTTTATTTAAATCGCCCTGAGCTGTTTTCAAGCAAAGAATAACATCTAATATTAGCTTTTTAGAATTTGTGATTATTTGGTGCTAGTACATGGTGGTTTTTTTCTTTTGTATAAAGAGCTCAAATTTGCCTGTAGTCATTCTAATTATTGATACACTAAGACTTAAAAGATCTCCATACCTCTTACATCATTGTTTTGATTTTTTGAAGGACGCTATTGAAATCTGTGTTTTAGGAGAGCATTCTCATGGCAGTGTTCCAAATGGATTGAAAAGGGCAGAGATTAAAAAGGAAGGCCTTTTATTAACGCAGAACCAGGGTGCTTACAGTGGGAATGATGAAAAGGAAATTATGCGGATAAGAGCATTGGGAAAGAAGAATCAATAGGTTTAGGTGATTGAACACAGGAAGTATGAGTGAGGGAAAAGGCAGCACTAATATAATGTGATGTCAGTTCTGGAGCACTGCAGTGATTCATGACTATCATGGAGCGGATTTATTTGATAAAATTTATTTGAATAGGTGGATTTATTTGAATAGAATTCTTTAAAAAATGGAAAATTCATTTAGTGTAGAAAAATGTAGATCACGCCTTTTTAGACACCAGAAAAATCCTTTTATCATCGATGGAAGATGTTATCAACATGACTAGAAGTACATATATGTTAATTACCCATAGATACATAATGAAAGGAACTGTGTAGGCAACCACACACTAGCTATTAGAGGGCCTAGAGTATCTAAAAGGTTAGTGTCCATCAGAGAAGAAGAAAGATAAAGTGGTGAGGTACTAGATGCATTAGCACGAATCTTTGAAATTGTAAGTTTATGGATTGTGATATTTCTAGTTGTCTCTAAGGAAATATAATTTTAGATGTGTATAAGGCAGGCGTTCTGGATGCTGTTGGGGAAGATAAACTACAATTAGTAACCGAGCAAATGAAGAACAGGGATTCTTTGGTACTAAGAACAGAATAGAATTGAGAAGAATAAGAGTTGAAGCTAAGAAACCAGTTAGGGGCTATTGGCTAGGTGGCAGTCTATCTGGGGTGAGGTGAACGGATTTGAAATGGCTTTAATTAAGTCGTTGCTGCTAAATATGTAGAAACTGTCTAGGCCTTAGGTTGCTTGATTTTTGTGACAGTGGTCATTCCTCCCTTGATGGGCTGTTCCTTTAACTGCTGTCATACCAGCTCTCCCAGCTGTCCTTCTGCTTCTCCCTGGATATTCTGGTTCACAATTTTTTGCAGGACTTTTTTCCCCCCTAATTTCTTAAGTATTGATATTCCTCTGGATTCTGTTCTAGGTTCTGTTTACTCTCATTCTCGCAGTCTTCAGGGTGATCTCATTCACTTTCATAGCGTTCATAACCATCTGTGTGCTAATGACTGCCACATTTTTATCTCTGGCCAAGATCTGTCTCCTGAGCAACAGATCTTTATATTCAACTCATATTCAACACATCCTCTTGGATGTTACACAGGCACCTCCAACTGAAAATAGAACTTTCTTCTCAAACTGTTGCTGCCGTGTTCTACATCGCAGTAAATAGCATCACCATTTTTTCTGGTTCCCCAAGCCATATACCAGCAAACATTCTTTTCTTTTTCTTTGGCAGTGTAATTTATATACAATAAAATACATATATATATATATATATATATACACACACACACACACATATACACATATATATATACACACATATGTATACATATATACACATATATATACACACACACACATATACACACAGTTTGATGAATTTTAATAAATATACACACCTGTATTGCCATTGTTAAATCAAGGTATAGAGTATTTTCATTATCCAGAATGTTCCCTCATTTGCCAGAGTTCTGACACCCTCATTCCCATCCCTGGGACACTTTTCTTACTGCCTTATCATTTATTAGCTTTCCCTGTTTTTGAACTTCTTATAAGTGGAGTCATACGGGGCACTCTTTTGGTTTCTGGCTTCTTTTGTTTAACATACAATTTTTGGAATTTATCCATGTTCTTGTATAGATTAGCAGTGTATTCCTTTTTACTGGTGAAGCAGTATTTCCTTCTATGAATATATTACAGTTTGCTTATTCATTATTCTGTTGATGGATATTTGGATTGTTTCTACTTTTTGGCTATTATAAATAAAGCCGATAGGAACACCTTACACAAGTTTTTTGTGGTCATGTGCTTTCTCCTATTTATTTATTTATTTGATATTTTAGAGACAGGGACTCATTCTGTCACCAGGCTCGGAGTGCAGTAGTGCAGTCATAGCTCACTGTAACCTCAAGCTCCTGAACTCAAGGGATTCTCCCTTCAGCCTCCCACGTAGCTGGGAATGGGTGCGCACTACCATGCTTGGCTAATTTAATTTTTTTAGCGACAGCGTCTTGCTGTGTTGCTGGGGGCTGATCTCAAACTCCTGATGTCAAGTGATTTCTCCCATCTCAGCTTCCCAAAGTGTTGGGATTACAGGCATGAGCCACCGCACCCAGCCCACATTATACCTGAGAGTGAAACTGTTGGCTTATACGAGAGGTGTATATTTAACTTATTAGGTATTGCCACACAGGTTTCCAAAGTAGTTATACATTTTTACAGTCCCTCCAGCAATGTTTGAAAAGTTCCAGTTGCTCTACCTCTTGCCATCATTTGGTATTGCCAGTTTTGTAAGTTCTAGCCATTATAATAGGCTTGTAGTAGTGTATCATTTTGATTTTGATTTTTACTTTTATAATGACTAAAGTTATGAGCACCATTTCATGTGCTAATAGCTCATTCTTGTATCTTATTTTTTGAAGTGTTTGTTCAAATATTTTGCCTATTCTCAATTATTGGGTTGTTTATATTTTTATTTTTATGTAGGAATTCTTTGTGTATTTTGGATAGAAGTCCTTTGTCAGGTGTACACACACACACACACACACACACACACACACACACACACATATCCCAAGTGTTTTTTTCTCAGTCATGACTTGATTTTTTTTCATTTCCTCAATAATGCCCTTAGGACTAATTTTTGCCTAGTCAGAGTTTTTGCATATATTTTCCTATGTGTTATTCCAGAGGCACTGTAGTCTTAGCTTTTACATTTAGGTCCCTAATCCATCTCAAATTAATCTGTGTGTATGAGGTGAGGTACAGGTTAAGGTTCATTTATTTCCTATATACGTATTAAGTTATTTCACTGCCATTTGTTGACAAAGTTTTTCTTTTCCTTATTAAAAAATTGAGTATGTATGAATGATTCTTTCTATAATCTGAAATGTGTGTGTGTGTGTGTGTGTGTGTGTGTGTGTGTATATATTTTTTGTTTGTTTGTTTGTTTGTTTGTTTTTTTGAGATGGAGTTTCGCTCTTGTTGCCTAGGCTGGAGTACAATGGTGCGATCTCAGCTCACCACAACCTCTGCCTCCCAGGTTCAAGCAATTCTTCTGCCTCAGCCTCCCAAGTAGCTGGGATTACAGGCATGTGCCATCACGCCTGGCTAATTTTGTATTTTTAGTAGACACAGTGTTTCTCAATGTTAGTCAGGCTGGTCTCGAACTCCCAGCCTCAGGTGATCTGCCCACCTCGGCCTCTCAAAGTTCTGGGATTACAGGCGTGAACCACCGCACCCAGCCCTAAATTATATTTCATTGATCTGTTTGTTTAGTTCTGTGTAACTACTGCTGCCTTACTTACTGTAGCTTTATGATAGGTCATAAAATCTAGTAGTGTAAGCCCTCCAGCTATTTCCCGCCCCCAACATTTTCTTGGTGTTCTAGGTCTTTTGTATTTGCATATCAATTTTAAAAGCAGTTTGCCAATTTCTATTAAACAAAAATCTTTTGGGTTTTTGATTGGGATTGCTTTGGCTCTAGATCAATTTAGGGAGACTTGACTGCTTAATAATATCGTATCTTCCAATCCATGAAATGATATATGTCTCCATTTATTTAAATATTCTTTAATATCTCAGCGGTGTTTTATGGTTTTCAGTGTACAGGTCTTTCACATCTTTCTTTAGATTTATTCCTAGTTATTTATTGATATTAAATAGAAACACTGATTGATTTTTAATATATTAATTTAAACTCTTGCAATTTGCCGAATTTACTCATTAGTTCTAGTAGTTGGATTGTAGATTTCTTTGGATTTTTCTACATACACAATCATAGCACCTTTAAGTAGATTTGCTTCTTCCTTTCCTATACCTATGGCTTTTATTTACTTTTAAAATGCATTATTACAATGGTTTGGACCTTGAGTATATGTGGAATAGAGTGATGAAAGTGGGTATCTTTGCCTTGTTTTTGATTGTAAGTATAGGATTAGCTGTAGATTTTTTTCTATAAACCTTTTATCAGATTGAGGAAGCTCCCCTTTCCTCCTAGTTTGTTGAGGGTTTTTTTTTTATTTTTAACCATTAACAGGTATTAAATTTTATCAAATGCTTCTTTTTTTGAATCTTTTAAGATAATTATGATCTTTTTTCTTCATTCTGTCATTGATTGATTTTCAAATATTATACCAACCTTGTATAGTATTTGAAAATCAGTCAGTTTAACAGAATGGTATAACCTACTCAGATAAACCCACTTGATCCAGTTGCTTTATCCTTTTCATATATTACTAGAGTTGATTTGCTAACATTTTATTAATGGTTTTTGCATTTATGTTCATGTATAATAATTGGTCTATAATTTTTTTTTCCTATAGTGTTCGTGTCATGTTTTGGTATCAGGGTCATGTTGACCTCATGAAACAAACTGAAAGCATCCCTTCTTCTTCTTGGAAAGATTTTTGATGCTACTGGCATTTTACCGGTGAAGCTATCTGAGCCTAGAGTTTCCTATGTGAGAAAATTTTTAATTGCAAATATAATTTATTTAACAGATGGTGGTTCTTTAGATTTTCTGTTTCTTTTGTTTGTTTTGGAAATTTGTGGATTTTAAACAATTTGACTATTTCATTTAAGTTGAATTTATTGGCATACAGTTGCTCATAATTTCTCCTTAATTCCTTTTAACTATGTGAAGGATCTGTAGTGATGTCTTCTCTTTCATTTTTATGCTGGTAATTTGTTTTCAAGCATCATTCTTTATCTCTCTTCTCTCTCACTTTTCACATTTACACCATCTTTCCTGTCACTATTTTAATTTAGGACAGAGCCATTTGTTACTTGGACTGTTGGAATAACCTCACACTAACCTTCCTGTTTGCAGTCTCTTTTCTCTGTGTGCCATTCACCTATTACAAGAAGAAATATCTTTCTAAAGTGCAAATGTAATTAAATCTTTCCCAGCTTAAAACTTTTTAATGGTTTTCTGATGCCTTCAGAATAAAAATCTAAGCACCTTCATATGAAATACAAAACCATTAATTATAAGGTATTGATTTGTTTCATAGACATCTGTCTTTCCTGTATTTCTTCTCCCTTTTTATCTCTCTCTGCAAGCCGTAGGGAACTATACTTCACTGCCTTTGTAGGTATTCTAATTTGTCATTCTTTGTCTTAAACTTGAATGCAGGGTTTCTGATGTCATATGATCAATATTATCTTCTAACTTCTCCTTCAGTGAGATTATTTTTAATATCTCATTGGCTTCATCTCAGTTAATCTTTATTAATAATTTACTTGACATAATTTTTTTTATTCAATGTATCTTTACGTTCACAGAAATATATAGCCTCAAAGCACTTTAGTCCAGTTTCAGTTTATCTCAAATCATGTTAAAAAATAGGAATGCATCTCTTTCCTATCACCAGAATACCTATCGGATAGCTATTTGATCTCTCCTTCCCAACACCAGTGACGATAAGTTTTATTTCAGCTTGAGGATGTTAGTGTTGATATTGACCACTCACCCATATTACTACATGATATATATTTCTTTCTTTATAGATTCTTTTGATAGTTTGCAAAATCAAGAAACATTACTCTGAAATTGGCCAACCAGTTTGGAGGTAAAGCAGTTGTTTCTTTTTTAGTTAGTCCTTCACCTCTTTATCCCCAGGGGAATCAGGATGTCCCATGTTATTTTTCAAAGTCTAAATACTTCAAACTTTTATTCTCCTGTTGGGTTTGAAAGGGGGGTGTTATTAGCTCTGTCTTGATGCAGCAGGGGCTCTGAAAGTCTATTTGGATAACACTGAAGATTGGAGGAAATGTGACTCTGTCTGTGTGTTTTAAGCCCCTAAGGTAAGATCAGAAAGCGTCTGGGGCAGTGAGAGCCAAATAGTTGAAGTCATACATTAATTATGGTCATGAATCATTTTTATTTTTAAAGTCTTTACCATTTGACAAGGTTGTTTGCATAGTACCAGTGAAGTTTTAGGCGGCCCTTTCCTACTTTTAAAGTAACAGGCTATTTTGTTGATTTCTTCTCTGGGTTGATGATGCCTATCATTTTTAGAATTCTGATAACATTTTTAGTAAAAATTGCTGTTTCCTCACTTGAATGAGTGGTCTCTATGTGATTTTTATTTTGATACACTATTTTGAAGTTACAAATCTAGGAAACTACCACACTGATCTTCCAATTAATCTCCCACTGATGTCAAAAATGTCAAATTTTGGGACTGTGCTTTTATGTTCAGACATTAGGCATTAAGCCAGCAAATACATTTTGAGTCCCTCCTTTGTGCCACATTCTGTGCTTAGCATTTGGAATACACCTTAGAAGATGAAATTTATTTTTCCCCCAGAAAGATCTGGTGAAATAGGCAAAGAAATAAACAGTTGCTGTAAAATAGGGTCATGTAATATTTTTGTGGTGCCATACACATGAAGTAGCAGATTTCCAGAGGAAGGAGCACCTCTACCTGTCCGTAATAGTCAGGAAAGGCTTTTGAAGAAGAGGTTGCTTGAGCTGCCTCTTGATGGATTAGGAGTTTATTTATCTGTTAAGGGATGGGAAGAACTTGTAGGCACATAGAACAACTCACACAGGGGTACAGAAGGAATAAATTATAAGGATATGTTTGGAGAGTTGCCAGTAGTTTAGTATTGCTAGAGAAGATGGTGCAAGGTAAAAAATAATCAGGAATGAGACTGGATGTGTCAGCAGGGTCTACATCACAAAGGGCCTTACCTTGATGTAAAATTACTTTAGAGCTGTCTTTTTAAGAGAGTATTACTGTCAATGTAGATTAAACACACAAACACACCCAGACCAAGAGGCAACAGGATGGAGTATAATCTCCTCTATTGGATTCCTTAGGAGCCCTGAGGGATTTGTTGAATTACTGGTCCCATGAACAAAATAGCTGTATTGAGAGTTGGTCCTTTTTATGTGACCTAAGAAATCATCAATAAATATCAGGCAATTTCTAAAAGTAAAGAATATATCATGAATATTTTCAGGGTTTAGGGTAATAATAATAATGTTGGCAGAGGTAGTGATATCATCAAATGCCTAAGAAAATGAACCTCTCATATATATGATGACTTTCAGGTTAGGATTGATGACCACCTTTTAAAAACCGAGGTAAAATTCACACACAGTGAAATGCACAGATCTTAAGTGTAAAATCTGTGAGTTTTGGTGTACTCCTTACCCTAATCAAGACATCAAAGCCAGGTGCAGTGGCTCACTCTTGTAATCCCAACACTGTGGGAGGCTGAGGCGGAAGGATGGCTTGAGGCCAGGAGTTTGAGATAAGCCTGGGCATAGCGAGACTCTGTCTCTACAAAAAATTAGTCGGACCCAGTTGCACGCTCCTGTAGTCCAGCTACTCAGAAGGCTGAGGCAGGAAGATCCCTTAAGTCCAGGAATTTGAGGGGGCAGTGAGTTATGGTCATGCCAGTGCACTCCAACCTAGGTGACAAAGTGAGACCACCATCTAGAAAAATAAAGACTTAGAACATTTCCATCACCTCAGATAGTTCCTTTGTTCCCTCTTCTCCCTATGTTAGTCCCCACCACTCTTTTGATTTGTCACCATAGGTTGGTTTTACCTGTTCTTGAACTTTGTAAAAAGGGAATCATACAATATGGACTTTTCTGTTTCTGGCTTTTTTCACTCAACATATTGTTTTTGAGATCCATTCATATTGTTGTATGTACCAGTGGTGTGTTCCTTTTTATTGCTAAGTAGATTTTCATTATATGAATATACCTCAATCTGTTGATTCTTCTATTTGATAGACATTTGGGTTGTTTTCTATGAACATTCTTATACAAAGCTTCTTGTAGACATACGTTTTTTATTTTTCTTGGGTAAATACCTAGGAGTAGAATTGCTGGGTCATAGGTTAAATATATGTTTAACTTAATAACTAATAATTTCTAAAAAATGGCACTATTATTTATTAGGCTGGTGCAAAAGTAATTGCAATTCTTGCCTTTTTTTTTTTTTTTTGAGATGGAATCTTGCTCTGTCGCCAGGCTGGAGTGCAATGGCACGATCTCAGCTCACTGCAACTTCTGCTTCCCGGGTTCAAGCGATTCCCTTGCCTCAGCCTCCCAAGTAGCTGGGACTACGGGCGTATGCCACCATGCCTGGCTAACTTTTTGTATTTTAGTAGAGACGGGGTTTCACCATGTTGGCCAGGATGGTCTTGATCTCCTGATCTCGTGGGTTCTTGCAATTTAAATTTAAATTTAAAATAATTGCAAGAACTGTAGTTACTTTTGCACCAGCCTGATATATTTTTGCCAGCAATGCATGCAAGTTTTAGCTGTTCCACATCCTTGCCAGCATTTAGTGTTGTCATTTTAATTTTATTTATTCTAACAGGTGTGAAATGGCACCTCATTATGATTTTAATATGCGTTTCCCTGATGACTAAGACTTTGAGTGACTTTTCCTGTGCTTATTGGCCATTCTTATATCTTCTTTTGTGAAGTGTTCATTTCATTCTGTTGTCCATTTTTAATTGGCTGTCTTGATTACTGATTTATAAGACTTCTTTATAGTCAGATAGGTGCTTTGCAAATATTTCCTCCCAGTCTATGGACTGTTTTTTTTTTTAAATTTTCCTAATGGGAGCTTTGTTAAGATTAACAGGTATTTCTCATTTTTTTAAAGTCTAATTTATTCCTTTTTAATTTTATGATTAATTCTTTTTATGTCTTCTCTAGTGAATATTTGTCTACCCCAAGTTTGCAGGAGATAGTCCTACATTTTTGGTCATAAGTGTTATGATTTCAGCTTTTTATATTTACTGTGATCCTCTTTAAATTAATTTTTGTGTGTATGAAGTAGGGGATGAGATTGATTTTTTTTCTATGCTTATTCAGTGTTCCATAGCACCTTTGTTTAAAAAACTTTGTTTTCTGCACTGATTTGCCTTCATTCCTTTGTCAAAAATTAATTTGCTATATATGTGTAGGATTATTATGATACACTTTCTTCTGTTCCATTGATCTTTGTTTTTTTTTTTATCTCCATGACCACACCATATTGTCTTAATTATGTAACTTAATAGAAACTCTTGAAATCTGGCATATTTCAAGATTGGTTTGTCCCTTCTAGATTCTTTGCTTTTCTCTATAAATTACAGTATCATCTTACTAATTTCTGTCAAAAAAAAATCCTTTGGGACCGTGATTAGGAGTCTCAAGCTATTTACCCATTTGGGAAAAGCTGACAACTTAACAATATAGAATCTTCCAGTCCATGTACATGTATTTTTTACTTACTAGTTCTTCTTTATTGTAGCAGTGTTTTGTGACTTCAGGGTTGAGTCTTGCACATCTTTTGTTTATTTCATCCCTAAGTATTTTATGTTTTTTGATGCTGTCATTAAAGTATTATTTAAAAATTTCATAACTCAATTGTTTGGGGCTAATACAGGAATACCTTGGAGATACTGAGGATTTGGTTCCAGGCTACCCCAATAAAGCAAATATTGCAATAAAGCAGTAAATCAAATATTTCAATAAAGCGAGTCACATGAACTTTTTGGTTTCCCAGTGCGTATAAAAGTTATGTTTACACTATGCTGTAGTCTATTAAGTGTGAAATAGCATTATGTCTAAAAACAATGTACATACCTTAATTAAAACATACTTCATTGCTAAAAAATGCTAACGATCATCTGAACCTTCAGCAAGCCATATCTTTTTGCTGGTGGAGGGTCTTGCCTCCATGTCAGTGGCTGCTGACTGATCAGATTGGTGGTTACTGCAGGTTGGAGTGATTGTGACAATTTCTTAAAATAAGACAACATGAAGTTTGACATATCAGTTGACTCTTCTTTCGTGAATGATTCTCTGTATCATGCGATGCTGTTTGATAGCATTTTACCCAGAGTAGAACTTCTTTCAAAATTGGAGTCCGTCCTTCCCCTCAAACCCTGCCACTGTTTTATCAACTAAGTTTATGATGGCGTAAATTTTTTGTTGTCATTTCAACAGTGTTTATAGCTTCTTCACCAGGAGTAGATTCTATCTCAAAAAACCACTTTTCTTGATTAACTGTAAAAAGTAACTCCTCATCCAGTCAAGTTTGATCATGAGATCACAGCAATTCAGTCACATCTTCAGGCTCCTCTTATAATTCTAATTCTCTTGCTATTAAAACCATGTCTGCAGTTACTTCCTCCACTGAAGTCTCGAACCCCTCAAAGTCATCCATGAGGGTTGGAATCAGCTTCTTCCAAAGTCCTGTTAATGTTGATATTTTTATCTACTCCCATGAATCATGAATGTTCTGAATGGCATTCAGAATGGCGAATCCTTTCCAGAATGTTTTCCATTGATTTTGCCCAGATCCACCAGAAGAATCAATTATCTGTGGCAACTCTAGGCTTATGAAATGTATTTCTTAAATAATAAAACTTGAAAGTTGAAATGCCTCCTTCATCCATGGGCTACAGAATGGATAATGTGTTAGCAGACATGAAAACATTAATCTCCTTGTACATGCCCATCAGCACTCTTGGGTGACCAGGTTCATTGCCAATGAACAATAATATTTTGAAAGAAATCTTTTTTCTAAGCAGTAGGTCTCAAGAGTCCTAAAATATTCATAAAACCATGCTGTAAACAGATACATTGTCATCCAGGCTTTGATGTACCATTTATAGAACACAGGCAGAGTAGATTTAGCATAATTCTTAAGGGCCCCAGGGTCTTCAGAGTTGCAAATGAGCATTAGCTTCAACTTAAAATCAGCAGCTGCATTAACCCCTAGTAAAAGAGTCAGTCTGTCCTTTGAAGCTTTGAAGCCAGGCATTGACTTCTCCTCTCTAGCTATGAAAGTCCTAGGTGGCATCTTATTTCAACAGAAGGCTGTTTCATCTATGTTGAAAATCTGTTGTTTAGTATAACCACCTTCATTGATGATCTTAGCTAGAGCTACTGAGTAACTTATTGCAGCTTCTCCATTAGCACTTCCTGCTTCACCTTGCATGTCTATGTTCTAGAGGTGGCTTCTTTCCTTAAACCTCATAAACCAATCTCTGCTGTCTTCCAACTTTTCTTCTGCAGCTTCCTTACCTCTCTCAGCCTTCAAAGATTTGAAGAGAGTTAGGTCCTTACTCTGGATTAGGCTTTGGGTTAAGAGAAGGTTGTGGCTGGTTTGATCTTGCATCCAGACCAGTAAAACTCTTTCCGCATCAGCAATAAGGCTGTTTTACTTTCTTATCATTCGTGTGTTCACTGGAGTAGCACTTTTAATTTCCTTCAAGAACTTTTCCTTTGCATTCACAACTTGGCTGACTGTTTCATGCAAGAGGCCTAGTTTTTGGCTTATCTTGGCTTTTCACCTGCCTTCCTCAGTAAGCTTTGTCATTTCTAGCTTTTGATTTAAAGTGAGAGACATAGGACTATTCTTTTCACTTGAACACCTAGAGGTTACTGTAAGGCTTGGCCTAATTTCATTATTGTTGTGTCTCAGGGAATATGGAGGCCCAAGGAGAGGAAGAGAGACTGGGAATGGCCAGTCAGTAGAGCAGTCAGAACACAAAACATTTATCGATAAAGTTCACTATCTTATACGGGTACAGCTCGTGGTGCTCCAAAATAACTATAATAGCAACACCAAAGATCTCTGATCACAGGTCACCATAACAGATATAATAATAATGATAAAGTTTGAGATATTGTGAGAATTACCAAAATGTGACAGAGAGACATGAAGTGACCACATGCTGGTGGAAAAATGGCTCCAGTAGACTTGATTGACTCAGGGTTGCCACAAACCTTCAATTTGTTTTTTTTTTTTTGTTTCTTTTTTTTAAATATCTATGAAGCACAATAAAGCAAAATGCAGTAAAGTGAGGTATGCCTACATACAGAAATATAATTGATTTTTTTGTGTATATTGACCTTATATCCCATGACCTTGCTAAATTAACTTATTAATTTTAGTATTTGTTTTGTAGATTTCTGATCATTTTCCACATGACAATTATGTCATCTGCAAATAAAGACAGTTTGACCATTTGGTATGGAAATGTATAAGAAATACATGAGCTATATTTAAAGATAAAGAGGCCAGGTGCAGTGGCATAGGGCTGTAATCCTAGTACTTTGAGAGGCCGAGGCGGGCACATTGCTTGAACACAGGAGTTTGAGACCAGTCTGGGCAACATGGTGAAACCTCGTCTCTGCAAAAAATACAAAAATTAGCCAGGCATGGTGGTGCATGCCTGTAGTCCCAGCTATTTGGGGGCCTGAGGTAGGAGAATCACTTGAGCCCGGGAGGTCAAGGCTGCAGTGAGCCGTGATTGCACCACTGTACTCCAGCCTGGGCGACAGAGTGACATCCTGTCTCAAAATAAAATTAAATTAAAGATAAGGAGACCAAGAAGCAAAAACACAAAGAAAACCATAATTTAAAAATAAAAATAGCTCTTAATTTTTTCATTGTTCCTTGAAAGAGACCTTACTGAGAATGTAGTTGGCTAGTTTGAACCTGGCCGAGTATTTAATTCCTCCTATTACTTTGTCTTTTCTATCATCTTTTGGTTTTTTCTTATATCTTTGAGAGTGCTGTCTGCTTTGATTCAACCTTCTCAACTTGGATTACTGTGAATTCTTTTTTTCCTTTATGGATACCTAGAAGTAATTGTCACCTTTGAGAGTGGTGATACTCTCTCGGTGACTTTAGCAATCCATTTAATTTCACTGGGCGTCAGTTTCCACATCTATAAATGATAGGATTTTACTATATTACTTTCTCAGGGCTCTTCCCAACTCCTTTGAGTTCTTCATCTTACCTCACAGTACATCAGAGGCAGGCAGGCAAGTACAAAAAGGGTGTTTTAGAGCTTTACTGTTATAGGATTTATTGTATTCCCTGTTATTTCATTGCGAATATGCTAGATAATTAAAAATCAATTGAGTTCATTATTAATTCTATGTATCCTCCAGGTTTGTCATTTATATCTGAGGCTCTTTGTTGAGTTTACTGTTAACTCATTTACATTTTTCTATAACTTATATTTCTAGGCTTCATAGAGCCCAGTGTGCAATTAAACAGACTCAGGTAACTGTTCAGAAAATTGGAAAGGAAATTGAAGAAAAACTAAGACTCACATCTACAAGCAATGAACTGGTAGGTTTTTATGTATTTACCTGTTTACACTTCTTGTTTTCTAAAGGAGAGTATCATATTCTTCTAGGGTTAATTTTAAAAAACGCTTTAGATCGTTTTTATCTTCTTAATTGTCCACAGAGAGTTCTATTGGCATTTAAATGTTGGAAATAAACTTTCCCATCTGCTAATAATGTAACGCATGAAGTGCCTGCTTTATTCTGCTAGATGAAACTTTATATTACATAAAATTACTTAGAAGATAATTAACAGGCAGTTTTATTAATGTGAACTCTAAACATGAACTATATAGCGAATGAAAAATAGCCGCCAGGAGGAAAAAAAAAATGGGAGCTAATCTACTTTTGAAAGACGAATTTAAAAAGTATTTGGATTGAGCAAAACAGGCTGGTTTGTGGACAGTGATCTCTTTTGGGAAATACTCTTATTAAGGAGGCATTTCCAAAGAAATAGAAATCCTAACCCAAATGGGCAGATTTAAGATATTAGTATAATTTTGAGTTGTTTTTCCTAGTGGAGTGGAAAAATGTCTATTTTGTAATGAATATTGTGTTTTTCTAAGCACAATAGTGGGTATGGCTAATAAATTGAGCTTTTTTTTTTAAAAGCCACTTGGGTATGAATAGCTTTTGAGGAACTTTGTGCTGTGGATTGGACTTAAAATAAAATTCAGATCTTCAAATTAAGTTCTAGATAAAATTATTTAAATATTTGTTCGTGTGAACTCATTATCACAGATAGGCAGCATCTTCCTATTGTCATTTACACCCTTCTCAACTTAGCAGAGGGCCTTTATATCCCCAAATGAAAGCTTTTTGTTGCCTTGAAGATTTGCCCAAGATAATCATATAGTAGAAGTATAGAAAAGCAGCAATGCACTTAACCTTACAGAAACTTCTCTCTCATGGAATTTGAAATTAATATATTAGTTCAAACTGTATACAGTTGCTGATTTTCTAGCTAGTGCTATAGCTGGCAGGTAGCAAACATACAAAATAGGATAACTGCAATAGGTATAGTAGTAATTCTTATTATTCACTTGACTTTCCTTGTCTATAAAAACATCTTCCGTTTCAAAGGTGCTGTTAAACCACCTCTTGTTGTAACTTAGCCCCAGCAAGACTAAATTTCAGACTATAAATATATTGAAGGGGGAGGAAAAATCACTAATTTTAATTCTTTCTGTAGTGTATAAAAATGCTGGATTTTTAGAACCCTTGGGGAAAATTGCTGGGTTTTATTTTTGTTTTCCTCTCCCAAGGAAAGACTGGGAAATTAATTGTTGCATTAAATGACAGCATATGCTTTATCTCAGTGTGGAAAAATGTATTTTTAATCCTGTTTTTAAAGGAATATAAGTGGTGACATACAGAGCAAGGTAACAGAATGTGTGAGTTTAAAGAGGTCAAGTTCAGAGGTTCATTGTGTGTTTTTATGCTGCCTAGTCAACACAGAAGAAAAATCATTGGATTTTTGAACTGAACGTGAACCTAGAAATCATCTGGTTCCCTAATAACCCCATTCAAAACTATAGCCCCCTCAGTACATTCTATCCCTTTTCCTGCTTTATTCTGTATAATATTCATTACCATTTACCATGATACATATTTTGCATATTTTTCTCTCTCTCTAAGCTCTATAAGGCGAGGGGTTTTTGTCTCTCTCTCTTTTTTTACATTGGTGTATTTCCAGCATCTAGAAAAGTGTTTGCCACACAGTAGGTGCTCAATAAGTATTTGTTGAATTTAAGAATGAATCTAGCATAATGTCCTTTTATAATAGGACAGGAAAATGAAGCTTAAAGAAGGGAAACAGCTTTCCCACAATCATTTGACAATAGAGATGGATAATTTGGTTTACTTGTTTCCTTTTAGAGAATAATGCCATCTACATGTTAATTAGTCAGTCACTTTGAGGTTTACCTATAGCATATTAGAAAACTTTACTATTTGTCTTTTTGCTCATTTACTTTTCAAATTGGCCCATGGCCATTGTATTCCAACCCATCCATTTCCGATATTTAAGAAATCATTTTCATTTTAACCTACGTAAAAATGCAGCAAAGAAGGCATATTTGATGTTGAAAGAAATCAGATTACCTTCCAAGACCATATATGATTAACTGTGTTATAAGAAATTGGGTTCATAGTTGGTGACTTTCAAAAATTTGGCATCTTCTCACATTACATCAATGCCTAATGTTTTTTGGCATTTAATTTTATTTCTTATGAAATTTCTGCTGTTATCATTTTGAATTTTTACTTATGTTTTATAAGTTTTTTGTTTGTTTGTTTTGAGGTGAGATCTCACTATGTTGTCTGGGCTGCTCTTGAACTCCTGGCCTCAAGTGGTCCTCTCACCTGAGCCTCCCGAGTAGCTGGGATTATAGACGTGTACCAGCATGCACAGTTTGTGTTTCAGATTTTGTCAGATTCCTTTCCTGTATCTGTTTAGATAAATGTATGTTTTTTCTCTTCTGGTATTAAGGTGAAATACATTGGTTGATTTTTTAATATTAAGCCAACTTTGCATTCCTAGGGAAAGCCCTCTTGGTCATGGTGAATTACTTTTTAATGCTCATTACTGGATTTAATTTGTTAAAAAATTTTAAAGAAATTGTGCATATGTATTTATAAAGAATATTGGTCTGTAGTTTGTTTCCTTGTAATCTCTTTGTCTCATTTTGTTGTCAGGGTGACGTTGGCCGCAACTCACTTTTGGGAAGTGTTTTCTCCCTTTTTGTTTTCAGGAAAAATATGTGTAGAATGGGAATTATTTCTTAAATGTTAAGTAGAATTTGCATTGAAGCCATCTGGGCCTGGAGGTTTTTTTGTGGGAAGGTTTTTGAACTGGAAATTCAATTTCTTTAATAATTTACCTTTTGCATTAACTTTTGTAGCTTGTGTCTTTCAAGGATTTGTCCATTTCATTTAGGAGGTCAGTCTTTTTACATTTAGCTATTCTAGCAGTTATGTAGTATTTTCTCTTTTTGTTCTAAATTGTATTTCCATGATGAGCATTTTTCATATCCTATTGGATATGCATGCATCTTTTAATAAGTATCAGTTTAGGGCTGGGCGTGGTGGCCCACGCCTGTAATCCCAGCAATTTGGGAGGCCAAGGCAGGTGGATCACGAGGTCAGGAGTTCGAGACCAGCCTGGCCAGTATGGTGAAACCCCGTTTCTACTGAAAGTACAAAAAATTAGCTGGGTGTGGTTCTATAGTTCATTGTTTTGTATCACGTACGTAAGGGTAATTTTTTCCCCCTGCATGGATATCCGGTTGATTTAGCATCATTTATTGAATAGTCTTTTCATTCCCCATTTAATTGCCTTGACATGTTTGTTCAAAATCAATT
Organism: Homo sapiens; assembly: GCF_000001405.40. Lineage (NCBI taxonomy): Eukaryota > Metazoa > Chordata > Mammalia > Primates > Hominidae > Homo > Homo sapiens. The sequence goes on from NC_000011.10 coordinate 75,964,909, forward strand.
GATCATGTATATGTGCATCTATTTCTGGATTTTCTTTTCTGTTCCATTGATCTATATGTCTGTATTTCCCCAATACCAAACTCACTTATTATCATAGATTTGTCATCTTAAAATTTGACAGGGTAAGTCTTCCAACTTTGTTAAAACTTCTGTGGTTTTTCTGGGTTCTTTATATTTCCAACTGAATTTGGGAATCAGTTTGTCAATTTCTACACACACAAAAAAAAGGTCTGATGGAATTTTGATAAGAAGCTGTAGATAAAATTGTGGAGAATTGCTATCTTAACAATAGTGGGTCCTTCAATCCGTGAACATGGTGTATATCTCTTTTACTTAGATTTCTCTCTAATTCTCTTTATAATGTTGTAGCTTTCACTGTAGAGATTTTGGACATCTTTTATTTATTTATTTATTTAATTTTGAGACGGAGTCTCGCTCTGTCGCCCAGGCTAGAGTGCAGTGGCGCGATCTCGGCTCACTGCACCCTCCGACTTCCGGGTTCACACCATTCTCCTGCCTCAGCCTCCCGAGTAGCTGGGACTACAGGCGTCCACCACCACGCCCAGTTAATTTTTTAAAAATATTTTTAGTAGAGACGGGGGTTCACCGTGTTAGCCTGGATGGTCTCCATCTCCTGACCTCGTGGTCTGCCCGCCTTGGCCTCCCAAAGTGCTGGGATTACAGGCATGAGCCACCGCGCCCGGCAGATGTTGGACATCTTTTGTTAGAGTTATTCTGAAGTGTTTTATGGGAGTTTTTTGGCAGGGGAGGCATTATTGCAAGTGGAATTGTTTTTAAATTTTTATTTCTCATTCGTTTGCTGCTAGTATGTAATAATACAATTAATTTTAACTTATTAATCTTCTGTCTTGCAATCTTGTTATATTAACTTATTCATTATGCTAGTTATTTATAGTTTTTTGGGATTTTCTTTGTAAAGAATCATAACAGGAAAGTTTGCACAGTTTTATGCCCTTTATTTGATTTTCATCCAGTACAATGTTGGACAAAAAAAATAGTAAGAACAGGAATCCTCACCTTGTTCCTGGTTTTGAGGAGAAACAACTCATCATTTCTCTGTTAAATATAGTGCTAAGAATGCCCTTCATTAATTTTAGGAAGTTCCTCTTATTCCTAGTTTCTGAGAGTTTTTATCACGAATAGAAGATGAATTTTGTCAGATGGTTTTTCTATATCCATTGCAATGATCATATGGTTTTTTCTTTATTCTCTTAATGTGATTAACTTTTTGGTTTATTTTCAAATGTTTAACATTGCATTTCTGGAATAAACCTAAATTGATTATAATATATAATTATTTTTGTATTTTGTTGGATTTATTCTTATAAATTTTTTTCCTTCGTATTGTCTTGGATTTGCTTTGGTAATAATTTAAGGAATTTTGCACTTGTATTTATCAGGGATGTTGTGATACAATGTTTTGAATTGCGTTTTCAGATTTTGGTAGTAGGATTATGGTAGCCTGGTAAAATTAGTTGGGCAGTGTTCTTTTTTTCCTATTCCATCTTGCCCAGGAGCAGAAATCTGGACCTTTTAAATATTTTCTAGTTCTCTGCTGATATTTCATATCCTTTTATTCACTATAAGAATATTTCAATTTTTGTCGACATATATGTATGAGTGGCTTTAAAGTTTTTGTAATTCTAACATCTGGATCATCTTGGGGTTGGCATATGTTGGTTTTCTCCTCCCTAGAGAGTGAGTCACATTTTCCTGACTCTTCATATATTGGGTAATACTGCATAGTATTCTGGACATTGTGAATGTAATTTGGTGGAATCTCTGGATTTTGTTACTTTGTTCCAAAAAATGTTGATGTTTTTATTTTAGCAGGTAGTTAACTTGGTTAGGCTCAAACTGTCATGCCTGCAATGAACATTGGCTCAGATTACAGTGTAGTTCTTTTACTCTTAGGCACAAGCTTCTTTCTGTTTGTCTCATGCATGTGTAGTATAGGATTCAGTCAGAGACTTAGGTTGAATTTAAACAGAATTTGGGGTGCCCATTCTCTGCCTTCCTCTATTCTGGTATACTTGATTGCCTGACCATTTTTCCCTGGTTCCTCTGGTCAGAAAGGAAGTTGACTTTCTGTTGGAGTTTGCAGCCACCCTCAGGGAAAAGCCACAGAAAAGGGGAATTTCATTTTATTGGTTGTTTATGCCAAGTTCTGACTCACCTCCAAAATATGCCTGCCATTGATCAGTCTCAAGAACCCTCAAGTAGCAATTTTTGTATTTTATCCATAGTCTATATTTGTTATCCATAGTCTATATCTTCTATGAGAGGACCAGTTTGTTGCATACTTATTCTTTTACACCAGAAGCAGAGCTCCTGTACATTTTATTATTATATATTTTTGCTGTATCCTCCTGGCTAAATCCGGGTTCTAAGCCTGTTACTGCTAAGTCTGTGAAATTAATGGATAGGAAATATTTTCTGCGGAAATCTTTTCCTTTTCTTAGTGGTTGACTAGGTGTAGGTCCAGTAGAAACAACCTGTAAATGACATTTAAAAGCAGATGTGTTAACTTTTGGGACAGCTGCCACAATTTTAAAACCTTTTTTCTGATTGTTATTTATTTTCAATTTGGGGGGAAGAATTACTACAGGTGAAGATAAAATATACCCTAAGCTGTCAATTCTCAAAGTTATTGGTCTCAAGACCTCTTTGTACCCTTAAAAATCTCAAAGAATTCAGTAATACATTTTTATGAAAAATAAGCATATTTTTCTGAACAAAAGGTTTAATTAGCATTACATTGCTTAAATATTTTGTGAATTTAACTGCTATTAAGCTAATGTCTAGCCTAATAAAAGACACCTGGATTTTCACATCTGCTTCTGCAGTGAATCTGTTGCAATATCGTAAGTCTCGCAGACTCTGGTAAACTCCATCATACACTTATGAGAAAATGAGAGTGGAAAAGAGGCATACAGCTTAGTAATATGCGAATATGTTTTATCTTACAAGACTCTGTAAAGATGTCAGGAACCCTCACAATTCCCAGGAACATGCTTGAGGAACTTTTGACCTAAGGCAAAAAGCTTTAGCTCCAATATGATCAATGTGAAGACACTTGTTCCATTACTGGTTGAACATCTCAAATCAAAAATCCAAAATCCAAAACACTCCAATGAGCATTTTCCTTGAGCATCATATTGGTGCTCAGAAAGTTTCAGATTTTGTAGCATTTTGGACTTCAGATTTTAGGATTTGGCATATTCAACCTATAATATGTTATTTATACGTTAGTCATCTTTCTGAAATGAATGTTTAACATTTCCCATTTTTTTGGCAGAGACTCATAAATAGGAATGTGTGTATCTGTGATTTTCAGTTCACATATAGTGTTGTATAAAAACACTAAAATCTAATTAAATGTAATCTATTGGCGAAATATATGTGACATTACACTTGGAGTAAACAGATAAATAGAACACTGAAACTCATTAGAAGATTATGGAACATTAAGATCTTTGAGCAGTTCATCTTTGATGCATTAGAAAGGAAGTAGAACTAGATCCCACATGGGTTTGTTTACTCATCAGAAATTGGAGCCAACAATTCTGGTTTTGAATGACTTGATATATTTCTGTAAATGAGCCAGTTTCTGAACATGGACCATAACACAAACACTATACATATGCCTTCCCATATTAATGTAGTATTTAGATTAACTTGTAACCTTAGTTCTTTAAATCTAGAAAACATATCTCAGTATGTACCCTGGAATAGAGCAGGTTATCCTCCTAGCCAGGCATATCCCTGTGTTCTCTGAATATTTGCTTTTCTTTTTCTGTATTTTCTTTCTCTGCCCAGGTAGAATTCAATTTACATATTTTGTGGAAAAATTCAAGTTAAGAAAGTTGAACACCTCACTCTTTGTGGGAAAAGATTGCTTCCTAAAGATTTTACCTATCTTTTTCCTCAGTGATGTAAGAACACCTTAGGCTTCTTGATTATACTATTGCATTGCTAAAGAAAACTCAGATTGTTTCTTCGTTCCTTTTTCTTTCATAATAAACAGCCTCATTGACTTTTTTTCCAATTATTTTTGTGGTAAAATACATATAAGATTTATGATCTCATTTCATTTTTAAATGTACAGCCCAGTGGTATTAAATACCTTCAGAATGTCATGCAACCATTATCACCATCCATCTCCAGAAGTCTTTTAAACTGAAACTGTACGCATTAAACACTAACTCCTCGCCTCCCTCTACTCCCAGCCCCTGGCAACTACCATTCTACTTTTTGTCTCCGTGACTTTGACTGTACTCTGAGTAACTCATATAAGTGAAATCATGCAGTGTATACCTTTTTATGGCTGGCTGTTTCACTTAGTGTAATGTCCTCAAGCTTCATCCATGGTGTAGCATATTGCAGAAATTTCCTTCCTGATTAAAGCTGAATAATACTGCATTGTATGTATATACCATATTTTGCTTATCCATTCATTTATTGATAGACACTGGGTTGCTTCTGCGTCTTAGAACCTTGTGGACTTTTGGTTTCTGTTTTTACAGTGGGGTGGCAGGGCAAAATGGCTTTTATCTCCAGTAGACCTAAATTCATAGAAAGTAGAGACCATTTCTCATTCATCTAGAAGCATGCAGTAGGGCCTTTATTGATGTTTGGTTTGTTCAGGAAAATTGTTTAGGAATATTCTATGAAAGGCATATTTCATAGACCTTTCAAGCTAAATATAATAATGATTGGAAATAAGTTTTTCTGCTGTTTTCTCAGCTTGAATGTCTTTAACAGATGATCATACCATCTGTTTAGAATCAGTGTGTCAGGGATGAGTAAGAAAGCATCTTGGGTGAGAAATGATGCTGTAAGTACTTTTAATACATTGCCAAAAATCGTTGTCCATGCCCGTTGCTTCAACGAGGCCATACCATGATGCATCTCACTGAGTTCCCACGCTTCCTCATTGTGAGTCAAATCAAGATACTAACCTTTTCCTTTTAAAGTTTTCTATCAGCTTATCCTGGATCCTGGTAACCTATTTATTTAATGGATGAGTTTTGTAGTTACAATTTTAATTGTTTACTTTATACCTTAGGAAGGAGATAAAAATTTACTAGCTATAACCAAATTGCTGTTTGCTTAAGATTTATGTCATAAAAAATGATGAAAAGTGTATTAGTGACACTGATAAAGACTAGGAGAGAAGACACATTCATAGTGCAGTAATTATGTGTGTGCACACATATGCAGGCACAGACATATTCATTTTGGGGACAGAATTTCAGATTTGTATCTGGAGGTAAATTCAGGCAAGGCTTTTGGAGAAAAAAAGAGGCTGAGTAAAGTTTAAGCAATGGTTTGATGTAGTATTTATATGGAAACGTAAGTTAACAAACAACAAGTTTAATTGTATCTCTGGCTGGTAGAATGGGTCAGGAATTTCATTTTATTAAATGTGTATTCAGTAAAATTGATTTTTAATGTAACTTAAAAAGTAAACTTTCTTTTTCAAGGTAGTTTTAGATTCATAGAAAAATTAGGCAGAAAGGGCCGGGCATGATGGCTCATGCCTGTAATCCCAGCACTTTGGGAGGCCGAGGCAGGCGGATCATGAGGTTGGGAGATCAAGACCATCCTGGCTAACATGGTGAAACCCTGTCTCTACTAAAAATACAAAAAAATTAGCCGGGCGTGGTCGCGGGCGCCTGTAGTCCCAGTTACTTGTGAGGCTGAGGCAGGAGAATGGTGTGAACCCGGGAGGCAGAGCTTGCAGTGAGCTGAGATTGTGCCACTGCACTCCAGCCTGGGCAACAGAGCGAGACTCCATCTCAAAAAAAAAAAAAAAAAAAATTAGGCAGAAAGTACAGAGTTCCCATATAACCCACCCCATCCCCAATTTCTTCTGTTAAAACATCTTGTACTCGTGTGGTACAATTGTTATATTGATTAATTAATATTAATACATTATTATTAACTGAAGTACATAGTTTACATTAGGGTTTACTCTTTATGTTATACAGTTCTATGAGTTTTGACAAATGTATTATGTATCCATCATTACAGCATCAAACAGAATAGTTGCATTGCCCTAAAAATATCCTATCCTCCACGTGTTCATCCTTTTCTCCCTCCTCTGGCAACTGATCTTTTTACTGTCTCTATAATTTTACCTTTTCCATGATTTCATATAGTAGGAATCACACAGTATGTAGCTTTTTCAGACTGGCTTCTTTCATTTAGCAATATGCATGTACAATTTCTCTTTTGATGGGTTGATAGCTCATTTTGTTTCATCACTGAATAGTACTCCATTGTATATATACCACAGTTTATCTGTTGACCTATTGAAGTATATCTTGGTTGCTTCCAAGTTTTGGCAATTATGAATAAAGTTGTTGTAGACATTTGTGTGTAGGTTTTTGTGTAAACGTAAGTTTTCAGTATCCAGGTTAATATATAAGAGTATGATTGCTAGATTGTATAGTAAGACTATTTTAGCTTTGTGAGAAACTGCCAGACTCTGCCAAAGTGGCTGTACCATTTTGCATCCCCACCTTCAATGAATGACAGTTCGTGTTGTTCCATATCTTTGCCAGCATTTGGTGGTGTGAGAGTTTTGGATTTTATTCTAATGGGTATGTAGTCGTATCACATTGTTGTTTTAACTTGCAATGCCCTAATGACTTACGATGTTAAACATCTTTTCATATGCTTGCCATCTATATATCTTCTTTGATGAGATACCTGTTCAGTTCTTTGTTGCATTTTTAAATTGAGTTGTTCATTTTCTTTTTTTTTTTGGAGATAGAGTCTCGCTCTTTCACTCAGGCTGGAGTGCTGTAGCACGATCCTGGTTCACTGAAACCTCTACCTCCCAGGTTCAAGCGATTTTCCTCCCTCAGCCTCCCAAGTAGCTGGGATTACAGGTGTACACCACCATGCCCGGCTAGATGTTTTTTTGTATTTTTGGTAAAGACAGGGTTTTGCCATGTTGGCCAGGCTGGTCTCGAACTCCTGACCTCAGCTAATCTGCCAGCCTTGGCCTCCCAATGTGCTGGTATTACAGGCATGAGCCACCGTGCCCAGCCAGGGTTGTTTGTTTTCTTAATGTTGAATTTTAAGAGCTCTTTGAGGCCAGGCCCAAGTGGTAGATCACACTTGGGTAACATAGTGAGACCCCGTCTGTATTTTTTTTTTTTATGAGAGTTCTTTGTATATTTTGGAGACCAGTTCTTTATCAGATATGTTTTTTTGCATAGTTTTTCTCCCAGTCTGTGGCTTGTCTTTACTCTTAACACAGTATCTTTTGCAGATTTTAAAGATTTCCAAGATACCAATTTCTTTTTTCATGGATCTTGCTTTTGGTGTTATGTCTAAAAAGTTATCTCCAAACCCAGAGTCTTCTGTATTTTCTCCTGTGTTATCTTCTAGAAGTATAATTTTTAATTTCATGTTTAGATCTGTGATCTGGTTTGAGTTAATTTTTTATGAACGGTATAAGACCTGTATCTAGATTGATTAGTCCCTCTCGCACTCACTCTGTTTCTTCCTTCTTTCCTTTCTTTTTTTGCATGTGGCGGTCCAGTGGTTTCATCATTTGGTGAAAAGACTGTCCTTTCTGCATTGAGTTGCTTTTGTTTCTTTGTCAAATATTCTTTGACTGTATTTGTTTGGGTATATTTCTAGGCTCTCTGTTCCATTTGATTGATCTGTTTGTCTGTTCTTTTACCCATACCACCCTGTCTTGATTACTATAGCTTATGGTAATTCTAGACATTGGCTACTGTCAGTCTTCCAACTTTGTTCTTCTCCTTCAATATTCTGTTGTATATTCTGGGTCTTTTGCCTTTATATAAACTTTAGAATCAGTTTTGATATTAACAAAATAATTTGATGGATAATTGGATAATTTGATTCCACTTGTTCATTGCTGTTACACAGGAAGACATCTAACTTTTTATACTTATTAATTCTATATTCTGCAATCTTGCTATAATTGCTTTTTCTAGGAGGGTGTTTTTTTGTTTTGTTTGTCAATTCTTTTGGATTTTCTATATGGAAACAATAATATTATCTGCAGCCAAAGACAGTTTTATTTCTTCTTTCCCAACACGTGTAGCTTTTCTTTCTTTTTCTTGTCTTATTTCATTAGCTAGGACTTCAGGTATAACTATGGTGAATAGGAGCGAAAGGGGATATCCTTGTCATGTTCTCAAACTTAGGGGATAAGCATCTAGTTTCTTACTATTAAGTATGATGTTAGCTGTAGGTTATTTGGTAGATGTTCTTTACCAGTTAAGGAAGTTCCCCTCTTTTCCTAGTTAGCTGAAAGTTTTTATCATGAATCGTAGTTGGATTTTGTCACATGCTTTTTCTGCATCTATCAATATGTATGATCATACCATTTTTTCTTCCTTAGCCTGTTGATGTGATGAATTACATTAACTGCTCTTTGAATGTTGAACCAACCTTGCCTACCCGGGATAAATTACATGTTGCCATGTTGTGTAATTATTCTTATACATTGTTGGATTTGATTTGCTAATATTTTGTAGTGTCTTTGGTTTTTGTGTTAGGGTGATGCTGGCTTCATAGAATGAATTAGCAAGTGTTCATCAACTTCTAATTTCTGGAAGAGATTCTGAAGAACTGGAATTGTTTCTTTTTTTTTATACTTTAAGTTCTAGGGTACATGTGCACAATGTGCAGTTTTGTTACATATGTATACATGTGCCATGTTGGTGTGCTGCACCCATTAACTCGTCATTTACATTAGGTATATCTCCTAATGCTATCCCTCCTCCATCCCCCCAACCCACGACAGGCCCTGGTGTGTGGTGTTCCCCACCCTGTGCCCAAGTGTTCTCATTGTTCAATTCCTGCCTGTGAGTGAGAATGAGGTGTTTGGTTTTCTGTCCTTGCGATAGTTTGCTCAGAATGATGGTTTCCAGCTTCATCCATGTCACTGCAAAGGACATGAACTCATCCTTTTTTATGGCTGCATAGTATTCCATGGTGTATATGTGCCACATTTTCTTAATCCAGTCTATCATTGATGGACATTTGGGTTGATTCCAAGTCTTTGCTATTGTGAATAGTGCCGCAATAAACATATGTGTGCATGTGTCTTTATAGCAGCATGATTATAATCCTTTGGGTATATACCCAGTAACAGGATGGCTGGGCCAAATGGTATTTCTAGTTCTAGATCCTTGAGGAATTGCCACCTGTCTTCCACAATGGTTGAACTAGTTTACAGTCCCACCAACAGTGTAAAAGCGTTCCTATTTCTCCACGTCCTCTCCAGCACCTCTTGTTTCCTGACTTTTTAATGATCTCTATTCTAACTGGTGTGAGATGGTATCTCATTGTGGTTTTGATTTGCATTTCTCTGATGGCCAGTGATGATGAGCATTTTTAATGTGTCTGTTGGCTGCATAAATGTCTTCTTTTTTTTTTTTTTTTTTTTTTTTTTGAGACGGAGTCTCGCTCTGTCGCCCAGGCCGGACTGCGGACTGCAGTGGCGCAATCTCGGCTCACTGCAAGCTCCGCTTCCCGGGTTCACGCCATTCTCCTGCCTCAGCCTCCCGAGTAGCTGGGACTACAGGCACCCGCCACCGCGCCCGGCTAATTTTTTGTATTTTTAGTAGAGATGGGGTTTCACCTTGTTAGCCAGGATGGTCTCGATCTCCTGACCTCACGATCCACCCGCCTCGGCCTCCCAAAGTGCTGGGATTACAGGCGTGAGCCACCGCGCCCGGCCAAATGTCTTCTTTTGAGAAGTGTCTGTTCATACTCTTTGCCCACTTTTTGATGGGGTTGTTTGATTTTTTCTTGTAAATTTGTTTAAGATCTTTGTAGATTCTGGATATTAGCCCTTTGTCAGATGAGTAGATTGCAAAAATTTTCTCCCATTCTGTAGGTTGCCTGTTCACTCTGATGGTAGTTTCTTTTGCTGCGTAGAAGCTCTTTAGTTTAATTAGATCCCATTTGTCAATTTTGGCTTTTGTTGCTGTTGCTTTTGGTGTTTTAGACATGAAGTCCTTGCCCATGCCTTTGTCCTGAATGGTATTGCCTAGGTTTTCTCCTAGGGGTTTTTATGGTTTTAGGTCTGATGTTTAAGTCTTTAATCCGTCTTGAATTAATTTTTGTATAAGGTGTAAGGAAGGGATCCAGTTTCAGCTTTTGACATATGGCTAGCCAGTTTTCCCAGCACCATTTATTAAATAGGATTTCTTGTTTTTGTCAGGTTTGTCAAAGATCAGATGGTTGTAGATGTGTGGTATTATTTCTGAGGGCTCTGTTCTGTTCCATTGATCTATATCTCTGTTTTGGTACCAGTACCATGCTGTTTTGGTTACTGTAGCCTTGTAGTATAGTTTGAAGTCAGGTATTGTGATGCCTCTAGTTTTGTTCTTTTGGCTTAGGATTGTCTTGGCAATGCGGGCTCTTTTTTGGTTCCATATGAACTTTAAAGTAGTTTTTTCCAATTCTGTGAAGAAAGTCATTGGTAGCTTGATGGGGATGGCACTGAATCTATAAATTACCTTGGGCAGTGTGGCCATTTTCACGATATTGATTCTTCCTATCCATGAGCATGGAATGTTCTTCCATTTGTTTGTGTCCTCTTTTATTTTGTTGAGCAGTGGTTTGTAATTCTCCTTAAAGAGGTCCTTCACATCCCTTGTAAGTTGGATTCCTAGGTATTTTATTCTCTTTGAAGCAGTTGTGAATGGGAGTTCACTCATGATTTGGCTCTCTGTTTTTCTGTTATTGGTGTATAGGAATGCTTGTGATATTTGCACATTGATTTTGTATCCTGAGACTTTGCTGCAGTTGCTTATCAGCTTAAGGAGATTTTGGGCTGAGATGATGGGGTTTTCTAAATATACAATCATGTCATCTGCAAACAGGGACAATTTGACTTCCTCTTTTCCTAATTGAATACCCTTTGTTTCTTTCTCCTGCCTAATTGCCCTGGCCAGAACTTCCAACACTGTGTTGAATAGGAGTGGTGAAAGAGGGCATCCCTGTCTTGTGCCAGTTTTCAAAGGGAATGGTTCCAGTTTTTGTCCATTCAGTATGATATTGGCTGTGGGTTTGTCATAAATAGCTCTTATTATTTTGAGATATGTCCCATCAATACCTAATTTATTGAGAGTTTTTAGCATGAAGGGCTGTTGAATTTTGTCAAAGGCTTTTTCTGCATCTATTGAGATAATCATGTGGTTTTTGTCTTTGGTTCTGTTTATATGCTGGATTACGTTTATTGATTTGCATATGTTGAACCAGCCTTGCATCCCAGGGATGAAGCCCACTTGATCATGGTGGATAAGCTCTTTGATGTGCTGCTGGATTCAGTTTGCCAGTGTTTTACTGAGGATTTTTACATCAATGTTCATCAGGGATATTGATCTAAAATTCTCTTTTTTCATTGTGTCTCTGCCAGGCTTTGGTATCAGGATGATGCTGGCCTCATAAAATGAGTTAGGGAGGATTCCCTCTTTTTCTTTTGATTGGAGTAGTTTCATAAGGAATGGTACCAGCTCCTCTTTGTGCCTCTGGTAGAATTTGGCTGTGAATCTGTCTGGTCCTGGACTTTTTTTGGTTGGTAGGCTCTTAATTATTGCCTCAATTTCAGAGCCTGTTATTGCTCTATTCAGCGATTCAGCTTCTTCCTGGTTTAGTCTTGGGATGGTGTATGTGTCCAGGAATGTATCTATTTCTTCTAGATTTTCTAGTTTATTTACATAGAGGTGTTTATAGTATTATCTGATGGTAGTTTGTATCTCTGTGGGATCGGTGGTGATATCCCCTTTATCATTTGTTATTGCGTCTATTTGATTCTTCCTTCTTTTCTTCTTTATTAGTCTTGCTAGCGGTCTGTCAATTTTGTTGATCTTTTCAAAAAACCAGCTCCTGGATTCATTGATTTTTTTGAAGGTTTTTTTGTGTCTCTATTTCCTTCAGTTCTGCTCTCATCTTAGTTATTTCTTGCCTTCTGCTAGCTTTTGAATGTGTTTGCTCTTGCTTCTCCAGTTCTTTTAATTGTGATGTTAGGGTGTCAATTTTAGATCTTTCCTGCTTTCTCTTGTGGGCATTTAGTGCTATAAATTCCCCTCTAAACAGTGCTTTAAATGTGTCCCAGAGATTCTGGTATGTTGTGTCTTTGTTCTCATTGGTTTCAAAGAACATCTTTATTTCTGCCTTCATTTCATTATGTACCCAGTAGTCATTCAGGAGCAGGTTGTTCAGTTTCCATGTAGTTGAGCGGTTTTGAGTGAGTTTCTTAATCCTGAGTTCTAGTTTGATTGCACTGTGGTCTGAGAGACAGTTTGTTATAATTTCTGTTCTTTTACATTTGCCGAGGAGGGCTTTACTTCCAACTATGTGGTCAATTTTGGAGTAAGTGCGATGTGGTGCTGAGAAGGGTGTATATTCTGTTGATTTGGGGTGGAGAGTTCTGTAGATGTCTATTAGGTCTGCTTGGTGCAGAGAGCTGAGTTCAATTCCTGGATATCCTTGTTAACTTTCTGTCTCGTTGATCTGTCTAATGTTGACAGTGGGGTGTTAAAGTCTCCCATTATTATTGTGTGGGACTCTAAGTCTCTTTGTAGGTCTCTAAGGACTTGCTTTATTAATCTGGGTGCTCCTGTATTGGGTGCATATATATTTAGGATAGTTAGCTCTTCTAGTTGAATTGATCTCTTTACCATTATGTAATGGCCTTCTTTGTCTCTTCTGATCTTTGTTGGTTTAAAGTCTGTTTTATCAGAGACTAGGATTGCAACCCCTGCTTTTTTGTGTTTTCCATTTGCTTGGTAGATGTTCCTCCATCCCTTTATTTTGAGCCTATGTGTGTCTCTGCACGTGAGATGGGTTTCCTGAATACAGCACACTTATGGGTCTTGACTCCATCCTATTTGCCAGTCTGTGTCTTTTAATTGGAGCATTTAGCCCATTTACACTTAAGGTTAATATTGTTACGTGTGAATTTGATCCTGTCATTATGATGTTAGCTGATTATTTTGCTCGTTAGTTGATGCAGTTTCTTCCTAGCATCGATGATCTTTACAATTTGGCATGTTTTTGCAGTGGCTGGTACCGGTTGTTCTTTCCATGTTTAGCGCTTCCTTCAGGAGCTCTTGTAGGGCAGGCCTGGTGGTGACAAAATCTCTCAGCATTTGCTTGTCTGTAAAGGATTTTATTTCTCCTTCACTTATGAAGCTTAGTTTGGCTGGATATGAAATTCCGGGTCGAAAATTCTTTTCTTTCAGAATGTTGAATATTGCCTCCACTCTTTTGTGGCTTGTAGAGTTTCTGCCAAGAGATCCGCTGTTAGTCTGATGGGCTTCCCTTTGTGGGTAACCTGACCTTTCTCTCTGGCTGCCCTTAACATTTTTTCCTTCATTTCAACTTTGGTGAATCTGACAATTATGTGTCTTGGAGTTGCTCTTCTCGAGGAGTATCTTTGTGGTGTTCTCTGTATTTCCTGAATTTGAATGCTGGCCTGCCTTGCTAGGTTAGGGAAGTTCTCCTGGATAATATCCTGCAGAGTGTTTTCCAACTTGGTTCCATCCTCCCCATCACTTTCAGGTACACCAATCAGACATAGATTTGGTCTTTTCACATAGTCCCATATTTGTTGGAGGCTTTGTTCATTTCTTTTTACTCTTTTTTCTCTAAACTTCTCTTCTAGCTTCATTTCATTCATTTGATCTTCTATCACTGATACCCTTTCTTCCAGTTGATCGAATCGGCTACTGAAGCTTGTGCATGCATCACATAGTTCTTATGTCATGGTTTACAGCTCCATCAGGTCATTTAAGGTCTTCTCTACGCTGTTTATTCTAGTTAGCCATTCATCCAATATTTTTCAAAGTTTTTAGCTTCTTTGAGATGGGTTCGAACATCCTCCTTTAGCTTGGAGAATTTTGTTATTACCGATCTTCTGAATCCTTCTTCTCTCTGCTCGTCAAAGTCTTTCTCCGTCTAGCTTTGTTTAGTTGCTGGCAAGGAGCTGCATTCCTTTGGAGGAGAAGAGGTGCTCTGATTTTTAGAATTTTCAGCTTTTCTGCTCTGGTTTCTCCCCATCTTTGTGGTTTTATCTACCTTTGGTCTTCGATGATGGTGACGTACAGATGGGGTTTTGGTGTGGATATCCTTTCTGTTTGTTAGTTTTCCTTCTAACACTCAGGACCCTCAGCTGCAGGTCTGTTGGAGTTTGCTGGAGGTCCACTCCAGGCCCCGTTTGCCTGGGTATCACCAGTGGAGGCTGCAGAACTGCAAATATTGCAGAACGGCAAATGTTGCTGCCTGATCATTCCTCTGGAAGCTTCGTGTCAGAGGGGCACCTGGCCGTATGAGGTGTCAGTCGGCCCCTGCTGGGAGGTGCCTCCCAGTTAGGCTACTTGGGGGTCAGGGACCCACTTGAGGAGGCAGTCTGTCCGTTCCCATATCTCAAACTCTGTGCTGGGAGAACCACTACTCTCTTCAAAGCTGACAGACAGGGATGTTTAAGTCTGCAGAAGTTTTCTGCTGCCTTTTGTTCAGCTATGCCCTGCCCCCAGAGGTGGAGTCTACAGAGGCAGGCAGGCCTCCTTGAGCTGCGGTGGGCTCCACCCAGTTCGAGCTTCTGGGCAGCTTTGTTTACCTGCTCAAGCCTCAGCATTGGTGGGCGCCCCTCCCCCAGCCTCGCTGCCGCCTTGCAGTTTGATCTCAGACTGCTGTGCTAGCAGTGAGCAAGGCTCCGTGGGCGTGGGACCCTCTGAGCCAGGCGCGGGATATAATCTTCTGGTATGCTGTTTGCTAAGACCTTTGGAAAAGCACAGTATTAGGGTGGGAGTGACCTGATTTTCCGGGTGCGATTTTCCAGGTGCCGTCTGTCGTGGCTTCCCTTGGCTGGGAAAGGGAGTTCCCCGACCCCTTGTGCTTCCCTGGTGAGGCGATGCCTTGCCCTGCTTTGGCTCACGGTCCGTGGGCTGCACCCACTGTCCTACAAGCCCCAGTGAGATGAACCCGGCACCTCAATTGGAAATGCAGAAATCATCCATCTTCTGCGTCGCTCACGCTGGAAGCTGTAGACTGGAGCTATTCCTATTCGGCCATCTTGGAACCTCCCTGCCTCTTTTTTCTGGTATTGTTTCTTACTTAAACATTTAGTAGAATTCACTGTGAAACCAACTAGACCTTTTTTTTTTCTCCCCTGTTTCTGAAGGTTAGTAATTGTTAATTTAATTTCTCTCTCTCTCTCTGTTTTGTTTGTTTGTTTGTTTTTTGAGACAGGGTCTTGCTCTGTTGCCTAGACTGAGTATAGTGGCAGGATCATGGCTCGCTCTAGCCTTGAACTCCTGATCTCAAGTGATCCTTTCACCTCAGCCTTCTGAGTAGCTAGGACTATAGGTGCATGCCACCGCATCCAGCCAATTTTGTTATTTTTTATTTTTATGGATGGGGTTTCACTGTATTGCCTAGGCTAGTCTCCAACTTCTGGGCTCAAGCAATCCTCCCACCTGGGCTTCCTAAAGTGCTGAGATTACAGCCATGTGCCAATGTCCAGCCTAATTGCTTTATTATCTCTTTTTCCTACTGTGAGTTTTGGTAGATTGTCTTTCAAAGAATTGGTTTATATTAGCTAAATTACCAAACTTCTGGGCATAGAGTTGTTTATAGTGTTTTTTTATTCTTCTGATGTTTGTGAGATCAATTGTGATAACCCCTCTTTCTTCATATTAGTAAATTTTGCCTTTTCTCTTTTTTCCTTGAAGAGTCTGGCTAGAATTTTTTTTTTTTTTTTGAGATGGAGTTTCACTCTCGTTGCCCAGGCTGGAGTGTAATGGCGTGACCTCGACTAACTGCAACCTCCACCTCCCAGGTTCAAGCAATTCTCCTGCCTCAGCCTCTCAAGTATCTGGGATTACAGGTGCCTGCCACCATGCCCAGCTAATTTTGTATTTTTAGTAGAGATGAGGTTTTGCCATGTTGACTAGGCTGGTCTCAAACTCCTGACTTCAGGTGATCCACGTGCCTCAGTCTCCCAAAGTGCTGGGATTACAGACCTGGCCCTGGCTAGAGTTTTATCAATTTTATTTACCTTTTCAAAGAACCAGTTGTTGGTTTCATTGATTTTTCTGTATTGGATTTATTCTATTTGGATTTAACTGGCTTCTTGAATATGTAGATTTCTTTCTTCTGCCTAATTTGGTAAGTTTTTAAATTTAAAATTTTTAGACAGAGTCTTGCCCTGTCGCCCAGACTGGAGTGTAGTGGCATGATCTTGGCTCACGGCAACCTCCACCTCCCAGGTTCAAGCGATTTTTCCGCCTCAGCCTCCCGAATAGCTGGGATTACAGGTGCCCACTACCGTGCCCGGCTAATTTTTATATTTTTAGTAGAGATGGGGTTTCACTATGTTGGCCAGGCTGGTCTCAAACTCCTGGCCCCAAGTGATCTGCCCACCTCAGCCTCCCAAAATGCTGGAATTACAGGTGTGAGCCACTGTGCCTGCCCCTAATTTGGCAAGTTTTTAGCCACTATTTCTTTTCTTTTCGTTTTTTTTTTGTGTGTGTGACAGGGTCTTGCTCTGATACTTAGGCTGAAGTACAATGGCATCATCATAGCTTACCGCAGCCTCAAACTCCTAGGCTTGAATAATCCTCCTGCCTCAGCCACTGAGTCGTTGGGATTACAGGCATGAGCCATCTTGCCTGGCTCCATTATTTTTTCAAATACTTTTTCAGTCCTTCTCTGTTTCTCTTTTCTTTCTAGTATTCTGATGACACAAAAGTTAGCTCTTTTGGTATAGTTACACAGGTCCCTGATGTTTTGTTCATTTTTTTTCAAGGCTATTTTCTCTCTTGCTAAAATTGGTAGTTTCAGTATTCTGTTCACAGACTTTTCCCTGCTTCCTCTGTGCTGCCATTGAGCCCATTCACTGAGTTTTTGTTATTTTTTGTTCTAAAATTTCCATTTGGTTCTTTATATCTTCTGTTTCTTTGCTGAGACTTTCTAGTTTTTTTTTTCCTACTTTTTCATTTGTTTCAAGCATGTTCTTAATTGCTATTGAAGCATTTTTATGTTGGCTACTTTCAGGTATTTATCAGAAAATTGTAACACGTCTATCATGTCAGTATTGGCATCTGTTGTTTGTCCTTTTTCATTTTGTTTGGCATTTTCCTGGTTCTTGGTGTGGTGAGTGGTTTTTGATTGAAACTTGGACATTTTGGGCATTAAGTTTTAAGTCTCTGGATCTTATTTAAGCCCTCTGTTTTAGCTGGCTTCCTCTGAGACCTCTCTGGTAGGGGAAAGAAGAGGTGCCATTTCATTACTGCCAGATGAGTATAGAAGTCCAGATTCCCTATGCAGCTTCCATTGGCTAAGTGGCAGGGGAGAAAGCTCCCCTTGCCTTAATTAATACTGGCCAGGAGTGGCTCCCCACTAGGCCTCCAATGATAAATTCTTAGCTGGGAGGAGGAGAGATGCCTTGTTACTTCTCCCCACATATCTTCCACTGATATCACAGAAAGGAGGGTGGCCTCATTAGCACTGGGTAGAGTGAAAGTGACTCTCAACTAGGCCTTCTCTAATACCACTGCATTGGGGGTGGGAGAGGGTTATCTTATTACAGACAGGTGGGTGGTAAAAGTCCAGGATCCCCATGTGGTGTCAGTAGTTACCACATGGGACTCGTTTGGTTACTGCCTAGCAGGGATGAAAACCTCAGGCCTCTGCTTGGCCTTCTTTGAAACGGGCAGGGGGGTTAGAGCACCTCGGTTTGGTTTGGCAAACGTGGAAATCTACTTTTTGTTTCTATGGATTTGCCTATTCTGGACATTTCATATAAATGGAGCCGTATAGTGTGTGGCCTTTTAAAACTGGATTCTTTAACATAGCATAATGTTTTTAAGGTTGATCCATGTTGTAGCATTTGTCATTACTTAATTTCTTTTTATTACAAAATAATATTTGATTGTATGGATAGGCCACATTTTATTTATCCTTTCATCAGTTGGTGGACATTTGGGTTTTTTATGTCGTTCGGCTATTATGAGTAATGCTGCTATGAACATTAGTATTCAGGTTTTTGTGTGGACATGTGTTCAGTTCTCTTGGTATATACCTAGAAGTGGAATTTCTGGGTCTTATGGTACCTCTGTATTTAACTTTTTGAGAACTTACTTATTATTAAGTTTTAAAAATCTTATTGTATTGTATTGTGGTATCAGGGAAGGTACCTGAGATATTTTGTGTAGTGTCTGTTGGGTCCCCAGACTTAAGATTTACTTTTACTCTTATTCTTTGCTTATTTCTATATGATTTTCATTAAAAGGATGGTGCTGGTAATTAAGTTACTCAAGAGTTCCATAAGTTTGATGAGTATTAAAATGTTTTAAGCCATTATTTATTTTTAAACATTGTGAGTATGTAATTATTCATAGTCATGACATTTATATTCATAAATATACCTGTGATTTTATTTATTTAGAAAAAAAAAAGTGAATGCCTGCAGTTAAAAATTTTGGTGCTTCAGAATGAACTGGAACGGCAGAAGAAAGCTTTGGGACGGGAGGTGGCATTACTGCATAAGCAACAAATTGCATTACAAGACAAAGGTGAGTGGAAATACCATACAAACAGCCTAACCTCCACATTCAGTAGTTCTCCTTTCTTCTTCTTCACAAGCTCAAATAGTCATTTTTTGTGTAAATACAGTCACACATCACTTAATGACAGGGATATATTCTGGAAATGCATCCTTTGGTGATTTCCTTGCTGAGCTGCCATCATAGAGTATGTTTACACAAGCTCAGATGGTATAAACTACTACTACACACCTAGGCTATATGGCTGTAAACTTGTACAGCATGTTACCATACTGAATACTGTAGGCAACTATAACACAATGGTGAGTATTTATGTATCTAAATATATCTAAGCATAGAATAAAAATACTATGCTATAATCTGTGGGACCGCCATCTTGTATGTGGTTTGTTGTTGATTAAAACATCATCATGCAGTACATGATTGTATGGTGATAGAATTTTCTCAAATTTTTAAAATATTTTTGCAAGTATTTTGAAGTTAGTCCATAGAGACAAGTGTACAGATCTGTATTCAAATCGTCCCGGACTTACAATGGTTTGATTTAATGATGATTTAACGTACGATTTTTCAGTTTTACAATGTGCAAAAGTTATATACATGTGGTAGAAACCATACTATGAATTTTGAATTTTGATCTTTTTCCAGGCTAGCAGTATGTGGTATGATATTTTCTTGCTATGCTAGGCAGTGACAGTGAGCTGCAGCTCTCAGTCAGCCACATGATCATGAGGGTGAACAACCGGTACTCTATAATGTACTCTGTTGCTAGTGTTTTTTGGATATTGTGTTTTATGTTTTCACATCCCATCAAGTCTACAAAGTGCTCATCTGTGTACGGTATTCAATGCTGTGTTATAAAATAAGTTTTGTGTTAGATGATTTTGCCCAACTGTAAGCTAATAAAAGTGTTCTGACACCTTAAAAGTAGGCTAGGCTAAGGTTTCATGATCAGTAGGTTAGGTGTATTAAATACATTTTCAATTTATGATACTTTCAACTTACAATGGGTTTATCAGGATGTATCCCCATGGTAAGTTATGGAGAAGTTGTGTCCACAGAGCTTGAATTTTCACAAAGCAAACATACCCATGTGAGCAGAATCTCAATCAAGAAACAGGACCCCAAAGCCTCCTCACGCTTCCTTCCATTTACCACATCTCCAGCCAGACTAGCCACTGCCAAGACTCAAACCGGATTGGTTTTGCCTAATTTTGAACTTTATAGAAATAGAATCATATATGTACATGTGGTGGCTCTTTTCAACATTATGTTTGTAGAGTCATTCTTACCTTCATGTGGTTGCAGTTTGTTCGTGTTTAATGCCAAATAGTATTCCATTATATAAGTGTGAATTTATTTATCTACTCTTGCTGTTGGTTTCAGTAATTTTCATTTTGGGAACATTAGAGTTAATGTTTCCATGAACCTTCTAGGTTTCTGAGTGAAGAACTTTCATACGTTTCTTAATAAAGATTTTTAGGTATTTCAGTTGAGTAGAAACTGAGGAGTAGAATTACAGTCAAGAGAATGTACGTATCTTCAGCTCTAGTAGATTGTGCCCAATGGTTTTCCAATATGATTGTGCCAGTTTATCTCCCCTCTGTCCAGTGTTGCTCCTTCCTACATCCTTGTCAGGAATTTCTTTTCTTTTTTTTTTTTTTTGTATATTTTGTATTTATCGCATTTGGTAATTTGTATTTTTCGTTTTAGCCTTTCTGTTGGATATGTTGTAATATCCTCTTGCAGTTTTAATTTTTATTTTCCTGAAGACTAATGAAGTTAGTCTTTCATATGTTATAAATTTTATAAACATTTCATATGCTTCTTGCTGACTGAGATACACTCTTTTGTGATATACCTGTTTGAATCTTTTGCCCATTAATAAAAAAAGTTTGGTTTGACTGTCTTTTTGTTTGTAAGATTTCTTTATATATTATGGATATGGGTTCTTTTTTTGGCATATGCTTAAAAATATATTCTCCCATTCTGTGGCTTGCTCGTTCACTCTTTAATGATACCTTTAAATGAACAGAAGTTCCATTTTATCAGTCTTTCATAGATGAGGCTTTTTGTGACTACTTGGAGAAATATTTATCTATTTTAAGATTTTATAGTTGTTTTTCTATGTGTTCTTTAAAATACTTTACTATTTTACTTCTTACATTTATATCTATAATTCATCTGGAATTACTTTTTGTATGTGATGTAAGGTAGGAGTCGAGATTATTTTTTTTCGTATTGATAGTCAGTTGACCCAGCACCATTCACTGAAGATCATCCTTTCACCATTGCGTTGCAGTTTTGCTTTTCTCATAAATCAGATGACCATTTGCTTGTAAGTCTGTTAAGAACCCTCTGTTCTGTTCTATTGATCTATTTTTCTGGTCCTTTGCCATTATCTTGCTGTTTTAATTTTTTTCATGTTATAATAGGTGTTGATATCCATTAAAGTTCTTCAGCTTAATTGTTTTTCTTCAAGATTACCTCAGTTATTTTTGCCCTATGTCATTTTCATGTGAATTTCTACATAGAAAAGAAAACCTTGCTAGGATATTTTTTCTTAATTGTCATACCTCATTGCTGGGATTTGCTAGGATTTTGATGGAACTGCATTGAATATATTTATCAAATGTAATTGGGGATAATAGACATCTTTACAATATTGAGGCTTCCTTCCCAAGAAAATGATATATGCCTTTGTTTATTAGATCTTCTTTACAAAACGTTATCGAAATAAGATAGTGTATGGGTCTTTCCCATGATTCATTGAATTTATTTCTATTTTTTGTTGTTTTATGATACTATTGTACATATCTTTAAATCTTATTTTTACTAGTTTCTGGTATATAGATGTACAATTAATTAGTTTTTTTTAAGTGGTATTAGTATTTATTATGTTTAAAGAAAAATTCACCGGAAGCCTTATAGACAGATTAGTAATTGTTAATGTTACAGTTACAGCCCTGCAGCTGCAGTCTTGCTGTGGTTATTTATTTACATTCTAATTTAGTTGCATTATAATTAAATTTCATTACACTAAAATTAGTAATGATTTTAATTATTTGTTACAAATATAAAAAATTGCAGAAAATTAAAAAATCGGATTATTGAGATATAATTCCCATACCATATAATTTTGCCATTGAAAGTGTATAATTCAGTTTTTCTTAGTTTATTCACAGAGTTGTGCAGTGATCACCACAATCTGATTGTCCTACCTAAAAGAAAACTCATGTGCATTAGCAGTTATTCCACACTTCCCCTCCCCCAGTTCTAAGTAACCACCCCCCTACCTTCTGTCTCTAGATTTGCCTTTTCTGGACATTCTTTTATAAACAGAATCATGCAATATTGTGGTCTTTTATGACCAACTTCATTTGTTTAGCGTAATATTTGTAAGGTTCATCCACACTGTATCATGCATCACTAATTCATTTTTACTCCTGAATAATACATTCAGTTATATGGATATGTCACATTTTAAAAATCCACTCATCAGTTGTTGGACATTTGGGTTGTTTCCGCTTTCTGTCTATCACAGATAAAGCTGCTTATGAGCATTCATATACAACTTTTTGTAGGGATGTTTGATTTCATTCCTGTTACGTACACCTGGAAGTGGAATTGCTGGGTCATATGAGAACTCTATTTTTAACTTTTTGAATGACTGCCAACCATTTTCCACAACAGCTGTTTTACATTCCTACCAACAATATATGAGGGTTCCAATCTCCCCATTTTCTCACCAATATCTGTTATTATCTCTCCTTTTAATTATAGCCATCCTACTGAATATAGCATTGTTTCTCATTGTAGTTTTGATTCAAATTTACCTAATGACTTACATGCTTCTTACACCAGATTTTCGTATGTTAATTTTATATCCAAGGAACTTATTAACTAGTTCTAATAATTGTTAGATTGTTTTGAATTTTCTGTTTTTACAGTCATCTCACCTGCAAATGATGGCATTTTTATTTCTCATTTCCTAATACGTATGCCTTTAAAACTTTTTTCTTACCTGATTGTGTTGTCTGAGACATCCAGTACAATATTAAATAGAAGTAGTATCAGTGGATATCCTTTTCTCATTTCCAGTCTCAGTGAAAGCCTTTAATATTTCATAGAGGGTTTAATAAAACATAGAAGGTTTACTATAAGCATTTTTGTAGTTCTTATTTTGTGGTTTACCGTTTTGCATCCTTTACCCATTTTGTCATTTTTGCATTAACTGTTTTTTTTTTTTGAGATGGAGTTTCGCTCTTGTCTCCCAGACTGGAGTAAAATGGCGTGGTCTCGGCTCACTGCACCCCTCTGCCTGCTAGGTTCAAGCGATTATCCTGCCTCAGCCTCCCAAGTAGCTGGGATTACAGGCACCTGCCACCATGCCTGGCTAATTTTTGTAATTTTAGTGGAGATGGGGTTTTGCCATGTTGGCCAGGCTGGTCTCAAACTCCTGACCTCAGGTGATCTGCCCGCCTTGGCCTCCCAAAGTGCTGCGATTACAGGCATGAGCCACCAGCCCGGCCGCATTAACTGTTCTTTTAATGAATTGATAAGAGCTCAATATGTGAATTTTCATTTCTTTGTTTTTTTTATTTTCTTAAAAATCAGTTTTAATGAGGTATATTTTACAATCAAATTAATCAATTTAAAATACACAGTTTGATGAGTTTAGCTAATGTATTCAGGCAGGTAGCTACCACCACAATCAGTGATAACATTTCTATCATTGTAAACAGCTTTTTGGCCTTGTTGTAGTCAGTTCTTTCCTCCATCGTTTGACCACTAGCAATTACTGATGTGCTTTCTGATACCATTTTCCTTTTCTAGCATTTCATATGAATGGAATCATACAATATGCACTTTTTATATCTGGCTCTTTTTCACTTAGCATAGTAGCTTTGGGATTTATGTGGTTGTATGTGTCAGGAATTCATCTTTTCATTGCTGAGTAGTATTCACTGTATGTACATACAACTTGTTTATACATTTACCTGTTAATGGCCATTGGGTTTGTTTCCAGTTTTGAATTATTGTGGATAAAGCTGCATAGATATTCAAGTATAAGCCCTTGTGTGGGTATATTCTCTTGGTTAAATATTAATAACTAGGTGTGGGATTGCTGGGGTATAGTAAATGTGTGTTTAACTTTTTAAAAACTACTAAGCTGTTATGCATTTTCAACTAGCAATGTATGAGAGTTTCACTTAGTCCACATCTAAACATTAATTTTAGATTTTAGCCATGTTAGTGGGTATGTAGTGGTTTCTCATTGTTTTAATTTGTATTTCCCTGATAACTATTGTGGCTGAGCATCTTTTCTTGTGCTTATCTGTTACCTGTTTCTTTCCTCTGATGAAATGTCTGTTTAGATCTTTCATCTGTTTTTTGGAAAGTGGGGAAGGGGGATGGATGGTAACGTTATTATTAAGTTGTAAGAGTTCTTTTTATATTCTGGATATGTTCTTTATCAAATATACGCTTTATATGTTTTTTCTTCCCTATCTTAACAGTGTATTTTGAGTTTATTCATCATTTTTTTTAAACTTTATTCTTTTCCTTTTTTTTGAGATGGGGTCTCACTCTTTTGCCCAGGTTGGAGTGCACTGGTGTCATCTCAGCCCACTGCAGCTTTCTGGGTTCAAGAGACTCTCCTGCCTCAGCCTCCTCAGTAGCTAGGATTACAGGCGTGTACCACCACGCCTGGGTAATTTTTGAATTTTTAGCAGAGACGTGGTTTCACCATGTTGTCCAGCCCGGTCTTGAACTCCTGACCCCAAGTGATCCGCCTACCTCCCAAAGTGCTAGGATTACAGGTGTGAGCTACCATGCCCGGCCACTTCTGGAACTTTCTTTGTGTTTGTTCACCCTCTGCATTGTGGCCTGGAAACACTCCCCATGTAGTGATTTGGAGCCGTTATAGGGCTCACGTTTCTTGTTTTCCTTCTCTCAGGAATCATTATACTAGGCTGCCTCTTATCTATTGTCTGAAAACTGTTGTTACATATAATTTTGTATGACTTTCTAGTTGTTTACAGTGGGAGGAAAATCTGATGTATGTTATTCCATCAGTCAGAAATAGAAGTCTTTTTTACCTCTATACTTGCTTTTATGAGAACACACTTTACTCATCTCTCCTTGGTTTAGTTCTTTTGGTTCTTCAAAGACATGCTCAAATACTACCTCTCCTTGAGGCTTTTTTCTCCCTCAAATGAAAGTTTCCTGCTCCTTCTTCTGTGTCCCCATAGTGTTTTGATGTCGTCTTATCTTCGCACTTATTTGGTAAGCCCTTTCAGGGCAGGGACTTTGCACTTTTATGGTATCCTTCTCAGTGCCCAACACTGAGGCCCTCAGTGAGTATTACACAGCATGAATCTTTGAGGGGCTTTCATATAGGTAATGTACCATTAAATGTAGTACATGAATTATTTAACCTTATTTTATTTGTTGCATCCTTTTGTGGTTTCCTGTTTAGTTTTTGGTGTATTTCACATAGTTGACATTGGTGGATAAATGAGATATAATAGGAAACAGAAAACCTACTGTGGCAAGAGTGTATTTGGAATGTGAATAAAGTAAGTCATTTTTAGCAGGTTTTAAAGTTTTGACCTATATGAAGTATAGTTTACATTACAAAGAATAATTTTATAAATGTGATTTTTCTTCATTTCAGTAATTTTAGAAAATAAGTTTCTAAAGGAACAGGCTTTGATTCAGAATGCCTTGTTTCACAAGCCTACTTCATTGTTTACCAGCTGTGTAACCTTGTCCAATAACTTAGTGTTATCTCTACAATGGGGTTAATAGTAATACTTAAAACTGTGTCTCACTGAGTTTTAACAGGCTTCCAAGTTCTGCTGATGTTTCTGGTCTGTGAACCACATTTTGTGTAGCAAGAATATGTATAATATGATGATCAGATGAGTTATGAAGATGAAATGGTCTCATAAAAATAGGAGCAAAACACCATCTGTTTTATTCCTATGTCATACTCTCGTGGGTTTCTGTACCTTTAAGATAAAAGTCTCAGCCCAAGATGACTTACAAAGGCCTCCAATGGCTCACCTCAATCTGAATGCTTCAACCACACAGAACTCTTTTAGTTACTTAAGTATGCTTTGTTCTATCTTACCTGCATACAGGCCTTTGCCTAAATGTTGTTTTCACCAGGAAACCATCACTGGCTCCCTTCTCTTTCTCCTCCCACCCCTAGGTTAAATGTACTACTGTGTGTTTCCATAGCACCCTATATTTTTCCATGATAGCACTTTGATTATTAGTCTATCTCCTTCTCTAGACAGATTCTGAGGGCAGGCACTGTTCAAGGACTACATTAAATACTCATATCTTTTAGGCATGGTATAGTACCTGGGATATAGTACACATAGAATAAATATTTGTTGAATGAAAGCATCGTACTTATGCTTATTGGTGTCATGTCATGGGTATCATTGCTAAAGAAAGACTTCTCTAACTTCTAGTTTATCATTCATATGGGAAGACTGATACTCTTATGAGAAAGACTGCAGAAAAAGTGTATGTTGTTTGGCAGTGATAAGTATCTGCATTCCAATACAACTTGCATATTTATAAATGAGAGTCAAAAGGAATAATGCCATTTAAAATCATGAAGCATTATGATAAAGTCCATTTGTCTTTGTTAGAATGGCCCCAAATAAATAGACAGTTGTTTTGTACATACAAGGCCTGCTTCAAAAGATTTCATCTTCTGTGAAAAGACACATTTCTTACAGTGCTTTGGAAGTACCATCAACTTTTACTGTACTTACATTGCCTGCTATCTGTGGCATATATTTCTGCATATCTTACCTTTTTTAAGATCATTAACTTTCAAAATGAAAACACTATAAGGTTGTAAAGGGTTTAGGGACTTTTGACCTTTTCTAGTAAGAGTAATAATAGTAGCAATAATGTATCCAGTACAGTGCTTATTACTATAAATATGTAATATTGTTTAATCACTACAATAACTTTATGAGGTAGATGCTATTATTATTTACCTTTTATAGCTGAGGAAACTATGTCAGGGTCAGAGAGATTAAGTAACTTACTTAAATTCATGTAGCTAATGAGAGGTGATGTTGAGATTAAAATCTACTGATTCCAAAACTGTCAATCACTGAATAATACTACATTTTTATAACTAGCATGATATATAAAACCAAGGGGTATATATTATTCTAGAATATGGTAAAAAGATAGGGAGATATAGTTCTTTAACTGTTTCTGGTTGTATATTTGCCTATTAGGATAGAAAGAGGTCCCAGGATGTCTATCCTTAGATTATAAGCAAATGAACATCTAAACAGTGATATCTATACCATTTACAAGACTGAGGTTTAATAATAATTGCTCATATTTAGAGAATATGAGCTTGTATTTATATTTTATAGAACACAAGCCGGTATTAATTGCTCTTATATATAGAATATTAGTGCCAGGAAATGTCATGTTTTCTATTCTTTATCTAATTTTGTCCTAATAGTCCTATACATTAAAGATACTATTATTATCCTTCTAATAATAAAGATACTACATATTAGTACCCAGTTTGCAGATGAGGATGATTTGTCCAAAATCACATAACAAGTTATGTGCCCAAAGCCACATGCATAGCAAGTTATGGCAGAGCCTGTGTTCAGAGTTACTGCTGCCTAACTGTGCTGCGAAGGGAGATTATAGAATTTTATAGATATCTCTTCTAGTATTTTAATTCTGACAGCCAAGTCAGTTGCACATTCTTGAATCTCTATTTTATCATGGAGAGAAAGAATGGTAATCTTCAAGTTAAATATGTATTTGTCATGGAGGGTCACAATTGTTGATTTTTAACACTGAGTTTGTACTTGAAGTGCCATTTTCTCACTTTTATATATGTTTTTGAGATGAGAATTACTTTGTATTCCCCTGGACTATTAGAATCCTTAGAAGGTTAGGATCTAATGTTGATACTTTGGTTCCTAACATAAGTAGGAGAAAGAGTGCTGCTGTTGGCTTCACTCTTATTCCCATTGCGAATGTTTGTGGGCTGTGGTGATCGGCACTGGGGAGTGGGAAAGAGGGGGATGGCTGGATACAGATAACCACATTTATTTACTAGCATAACCTGGTCTACTTTTTGGGCACCTGTGTTCTTCATAGTGGCTGTGCTAGGTAACCAGATACGTACTTGTTCTTCAATATTCTATTCTAAACATATACTATTATATGCTTGTGTTGAACATTATTCTTGTACATTTACATGAAGGTACTATTTAATGAATCTTGAGCCAAGTTAAAATATTTTGAAAGCACCATAGTCACTGGTATTTGCTCAACGAAGGTGAAAAAGGTATTTTTCTCTTGCATTTGCAGCTTTGATTTAGTTTGTTTGCTAGGGAGTAGTGAAATGATTTGCTGATATGAATATTACTAGTGCGTTCTTACATATTGTGACTGGCACTTGGTGCTTATCTAGGTACTTGGTTCTGAGTCCAGGAGCTCAGTTAGGATATAAAGTCAGTACTATATCATATTTAATTGTGACTTTGCTGCTGATTATTCTGAATGACCACAAAGGAATTATTTACTGTCTGCATCTTTTTACACATCTGTTCAGTAAGGATAGCTGCTAATAATACTGACATAGGAATTAATTTGTGTAAACATTTGGAAGAAACCAGGTGCTTATATTTTTGTTCATGAAAATCCATTGCAGCAGGATGATTTATTGGAAAGTGCCAAAAAGACAATTTTTATCCACGCTGCTGACTTGCTGAGTGGTCACATAACTCCAAAGGGCCTCATTACTTCACACTCATACGTTTTCCCTTCCTATCCCTCAAAGGCAGTGGTTCTCAACTTGTGGTCTATGGCAACTTCCAGCTGGGTCATGAGCTGATCTTTTCAGTATTAATGTTTATTAGTGTATATATTTTCATTTCTGGAAGGTATTAGTAGTTTAACTTAGGATGTTTAATAAAAACCAGATTTCCCCTCAGTAACTCAAGCCAAGTAATCTTCCCATTAATGAATTCTGTGTTGCTTTACCGGGTCTTTTGTCCTGACACAACCCCCAAATCTTTGAAAAGCAACACTCTATCAAAATTAGTTTGCTGGAAACTTAGCTCAAAAAATGGTATGAAATGTTGGTTTTATGGAAGTGTGTTCAGTAGAATGTAGGTTTCTTATTGTATTAGTCCATTTTTGCATCACTATAATGAAATACCTGATGCTGGGTAATTTATATAGAAAAGAAGTTTAATTGGCTTACGGTTCTGCAGGCTGTACAGGAAGCATGATGCCAACATCTGCTCCAGGTGAGAGCCTCAGGAAGCTTTCGGTCATGGTGGAAGGTGAAGCCAGTACAGGCGTATCACATGGTGAAAGTGGAAGTGAGGGGGGTGGGGAGAATTGCCATACTCTTTTAGACAGCCAGGTCTCCTGTGAACTACCAAAGCAAGAACTCACTATCACCAAGGGGATGGCATTAAGCCATTTGTGAGGGATCCATCCCCATGTTCCAGTACTTCCCATTATTCCTCCCCTCCAACATTGAGGATCACATTTCACACAAGATTTGGAGGAGCACACGTCCATACCATATCACTTATAAACAAATGTTGATAAAAACCCAAGAATACTTCAGTGGTGCCTGGGAAGTGGTATTAACTTTATAAAAGGAGAGTTCTCCAAACTTTGTGGGAAGAAGCTACTTTTTAATACAATTACTTTCTTGATAATAAGGATAACCATACAGTTAAAAAGTGCTTATACAGAAGTTCTTATGTTTGATCCTTAAAGCATCTCTGAAAGCTAAGTAGGGCAGATGTTACCCTCATTGTATATGTGAGGTACTGGGAAGTTAAATGACTTGGCCAGGAACACACAGACAATTAGCAGCAAAGTTGAGATGTGGACCCAAATTCAGCACAGATTTCAACTCTAAATTCTGTGCTTTTCTCAGTATTCCATACTACCTAAAACTTTGCAAAACATTCGTTTGAATCCCACATAAATCACATGAAGTAGATAACTTTTATTGAAATCCTGTAACATGCCAGATATTTTAGTTTTGGTATATTATTAATTCTTAAAATAGTCTTAAGATATCTTTTTTACCTTCTTTTCCCAAATGAGGAAAATTAGGGCTCAGAGACACTTCCCTGAGGTCCCAATTAAGTGACAGATCCAAATTCAAACATTGGTTTCTCTTACTCCAAAGCCTGTCTTGTTTCCACTAAACGAAACGTCATTACTGCTTTCTCTAGTATGTGTCCGGGTCAACTCACAGTTTGCTGTTTTTCTATTTGGCCTGTGAGGTGTTAGCTAGAGAACTTTGTTTTGCTTTGTTCCTTTTTATTATAGTATGGCTGAAGTGAATTTTCTCCAAAGATTGCTTTGATTTGGGTCTGCCATTTTCCAACTTTGTCCTTAGACAGGTCTTTCAACTTTTTGAGCTTATTTCCTCTGCATAAACAAAACAAAACAAAAAATTCTGAATTATACAGTCAAGATTTCTTTCAGCTCTATTAAGATTTTGGTTATCTCAGAAAGGTAGGACTGGTGGAAATGATGGTGATCTGTTCACCTTTTTTAATGCCTCTCTTTATTATTGTTATTATTATAAGTTTAATGCTGATGATATATTTTCCAGCATTTTATAAAAGTTTTTTTTTTTTTTAATCTTTGACCCAAGTGTGTCTATGATTGTTGCCTGTTTAATACTGAAAAGCCATTTGGTGGGAATGACCTATTAGAATTCTGTAACTAGCCATACTTTTCTCCTATTTTACTTTGGCAATTAAGAGCAAAAACAAACACATTATTTTGGTGGCAGTGAATAGGAGAGGTCAGATATGTCAGATTTCATTGCTCAGATTTGGGGAAATAAATTACCCTTGGTAATTTCAGTGAATAAAAAGTTGTTGCCAAAATAAATATTTTATGTGAAGTTCCCATCAACTGTAATAGTTTCTTATTGTCATTTTGAAAAAAAAAAAAAAAGAGTAATTAAGGTGACCTACATATGTAGTTTGTTCTATTTAATTAGCTTCTGCTTGGTTAGTAAATTACTGTGTCCTTTTGGTCTGCATCTCAGATAAAAGAAGAATCACACAGTATATTTAAATTGATACTTTAATTTCTATCAAAAGCTCATAGGTTTCTATTTGAAGTTGTAAATACATTATTAAGTCTTGCATAACAATTTTTTCCTTTTCTTAGGTCATACAGTTACTTATGAAAAGTTACTTCTCAGTTTTTAAACTCAAAATATATTTATTTGAAATGATGGCAAAATTTAAATTTTATTAGTTTATATGTGTTCTGATTTTTTAAATAACCATCTGACAGAAATTCTTAAATAGGCATCTTCAAAATTATTAATATCTAACTTTCAAAAAAAAGTCTGGACCTGAGGACAGATTCTCCCTAGGATTTATGCTATTAGCAATAAAAGCCAGACAACTTGTGGCAGGGGTATTTTGGGGGAAGAGGTAGGTAAATATGAGTCCTGAGCAAACTTCTGATTTTATTTCAGTTTCCATGTAAGTATAGTAATTTATTCCAGTAATGTCTTATTTGTTTGTAGGAATGGCAAACTGTCATATTTTAATCTCTGTTTCCCATGGGAGGTATAGATGTGTAGAAATATGCCACCTGACACAATTGTATATTGGTTTGTCATAATTTTTTCTCCACTTACTCTCAAAATGCACTGGAAGTAACATTTACAAAAAAAAAAAATACATTTACATTTAGGTGGTTGAAGATAGAAGTAAAAAGAGAGCATATGACTTGTAAAGGAAGTAGAAGGAGCATTGATTTTTATTTTTCTGCATATATGCCTTTGTCAATTCATTTATTCATAATTTGTGGAACACTTTCAAAGAACCAGACATTGCGATTAGAGTCAACATGGCAGGTGTGATAAATATGTAACCGAAGTATATAGAGGATACTGTAGGAACACAGAATATAAACATGATAATCAGAACAACAGGTACAGGAGGTGACACACTGAGCCTAGAAGAATATATAGTATTGTTCTAACTAGGGGGAGAAGGTGAGACCTTCCAGGTAAAGGGAGCAGTTTATACAGAGGCATGGAGGTAGCTTAGGGAATTGTGAGCAATTCCAGTAAAGCTTACTGGGGGCAGGCACAATAATGCAAATGTTAAGAATGAAATTCTCCCCATTTTACAGATGAGGAACATGAAGTTCAGAGAAGTTGAAACTTGTCTAGAGTCTTGAAAGTAGCATAGGTAGGATTTCAACCTAGATCTTTCTGATTCATAAGTCCATGGGCTTTCTAAATACAGTTCACTGCCTTCCATAGAATCTGCTTATTGTTCTTAAGAACTAATATTAGCTCTGACCTCAGCTGTCAAGCCAATTGTGTAGAGGTATGACAGATATCGTTTGTTTTACATTGCCTGTTAATAAGGAAGCCTATCAGTTCTTTAAGGGGAGAAATAAAAATACTCTCTTAGCACTAAATGCAGAGAATAATTTAGTTTCATATGTGCAATATATTAAATATCATAATGAAATAAAGTCAGTTGTAATTTTGCAAAAGTTACAGCAAGAAATATCTGTTAACCCTTGAGAAAGGCAGCATCATAAATCATAGTATAGAAAAGGCATTTCTGCAGGGAAGGAAGCTAAAGTACTCCAAGTATATTGCTTTTTGGTCATCTGACTTAATGTGGAAAACCCAGAAGAATGACAATTTATTGGTTTTAACTGTAATTTTGACAGGAGCTGGCCATTGGCCAGTCTCAGACCAAACTCTGGTGAGAGAGAACCAAGAGTCTGTGTTTTGTTTTGTTGCTGGAAGCAAGATTCATAGTCTTTAGCTATTATATTTATAGGAGCCAACATTGACATTTTGCTGTTAAAATTATATTGCCTGACTTGTGTTCTTGCTGAACAGAGAGGCTATCTGATTTAACAGAGTAGAACATTGATATATGCCTGGACAGGGTCAAAGCAGTTTTGGAAGATGGTAAACCAAGCTCCGGCATTTTTGTTCCCTCTCTCCCAATGACCTATTGATGTGATAATAAATATACATGTATAAAGAATGAAACCATGGTAATGGTAGAAACAAAAGAGGATGTCATTGGGATAGCAAAGGTTTTGGCACAGTTCTCCAAGATACAAAGTAGATAGGACTGTTTTGATGAATAAACTAAAGTAGAGAAAAACTGCAGCCTAGAACACAAATAGAAACGGCTGCAGGTAGGGTTCCTGATAGAACCATCAGAGGCTTCAAGCTTGGAATTTGCCAGTATTGAGATCAAGAATTAAGTAGAGCAATAATCAGGGTAATTGAGCCTGTTGGCCCATTCTCCTTCTTGTGTGCATTTGGAGCAGCTTTCTATAACATTTGCTGTAGCTGCTTTCTAAACATAATGGATTCCTGACCTGCTTAGGTCCCACGGTATAAGTGTTTGACATGGTAGAAAGTTGCAGTAGAACTTAAAGTGACTGGACTTTTATCGCCAACCCAGAGGAAAACATGAAAGACAACTCTACTCAAGAGTGAAATACCTACCCCAAATAAAATCCCAGTGTGAAGCTCCCTTGACAGTTGCAGTAATTTGAAGTAAAAGTATACCTTCTCCCAGCATATATACCCAGAAGGAAAGCCTAGTTGTCAACAGGACCAGCTCACTTATACTAATGGCACTAAGGGGTGAGGCTTTTTATGGAAATAAATCTCATAGCTCCAGAGGAAACCTATGCCAGTTGTCTATACTAATCAGTCTAATCACTTATTCATGGGTTTGAAAGGAGCACTAAGGATCATCAGATATTTGAGGAAAACAGCATGAATGAGACCTAGTTGAATAAACAGAATAGCTGACCCAAAATAAACAGACAATACAAAGAATGGA
Organism: Homo sapiens; assembly: GCF_000001405.40. Taxonomy (NCBI): domain Eukaryota; kingdom Metazoa; phylum Chordata; class Mammalia; order Primates; family Hominidae; genus Homo; species Homo sapiens. Next base: position 75,998,414 of record NC_000011.10, read on the forward strand.
GAACTTTTAAAAAATCAAATTAATATCCTCAGATTTTCCTTCCAGCCTCTGCCTAAGATGTAGGTGAAAGGAGTTTCACTTCTACCCTGAGAATAAAGAAAAAAAAACACTGGATAATATACAAAGTCATAACTTTTCTTAAATCCATCAGAAAACTAGGATCTCAAGGCAACGAAGTAGCTTGAGTGTAAGGAAAGACAGACAACCTCCAAGGAGAGGTAGGATGTGAGCACTGATTACTAATGGTAGAGCATGGGAAGAAGTTGGGGGCTGCTGTGTAATAAGGTGAAATAATTGAGCTAAAGCTTTTAACAAATCGTTAATGACCAAGTGTAGACTAGTATGTGACTACGGCAGATATAAGGCAGTTTTTACTAGCTTGCAGTTTCTTCTGCATAGACCTCTTTTGGATATTCACAAGAAAGATTGAGGACAGGTTAGGAAATCTTTGTTCTTCTGCAGGTAATGTGTCTTTTTTCTATGGCTGCCTTGGACATTTTCTCTTCATTTCTTGTCTTCAGCAGTTTGAATATGATGGTCTGGGGTGTGGTGGAGCAAGAAGGAGGGAGGAAGGGAATATGTGTGTTTTCAGGTGGATCACCTGAGGTCAGGAGTTCAAGACCAGCCTGGCCAACATGGTGAAACCCCATTTCTACTAAAAATACAAAAATTAGCCAGACATGGTGGCGGGTGCCTGTAATCCCAGCTACTGGGGAGGCTGAGGCAGGAGAATTGCTTGAACCCAGGAGGCAGAGGTTGCAGTGAGCTGAGATAGCACCACTACACTCCAGCCTGGGTGACCGGGCAAGACTCTGCCTCAGAGAAAAAAAAAAAAAAAGTCAACTTTCTAAGGCAAAAATAATGGTGTTTGTGGGCTTATAGCATACATAAAGTAAAATGTATGAAGAATTTAAAAACTGGGAAAAGGAAGAATTGAAAGTATACTTTTTTCAGTTGTTTTTTTGTTTGTTTATTTGTTTGTTTTTTGAGACAGAGTCTCACTCTGTCACCCAGGCTGGAGTGCAGTGGTGCAATCTCGGCTTACTGCAACCTCCACCTCCTGGGTTCAAGTGATTCCTGCCTCAGCCTCCCGAGTAGCTGGGATTACAGGCGCACACCACCACACCCGGCTAATTTTTGTATTTTTAGTAGAGACGGGGTTTCACTATGTTGGTCAGGCTGGTCTCGAACTCCTGACCTTGTGATCTGCCCGCCTTGGCCTCCCAAAGTGCTGGGATTACAGGTGTGAGCCACCGTGCCCAGCCATATTTTTAGTTTTTTTATGCTCTACATGAAGTGGTATAATATTACAAGCTGAATATTTCTAATCAGAAAATCTGAAAGCCAAAATATTCCAAAATTTAAAACGTTTTGGGTGCCAACATGATGCTCAAAGGAAATGCTCTTTGGAGCATTTCAGATTTCAGATTTTAGGGTTTAGGTTGTTGAACCAGTATGTATAATGCAAATATTCCAAAATCTGAAAAAAAATTAAATCTAAAACACTTCCCATCCCAAGCATTTCGGATAAGGTATGCTCAACTTGTTTTTGAAGGTAGACTATGCTTAATTAAAGATACATTTTGTGAACTCCTGGGCAACCAATAAACATTTTTAAAGAGCTTAAAAAATAAGCCAATAGTGAAGAAAAATGAAATACTGAAAAATACTCAATCCAATAGCATTTAAAAAGAGAGAGAAAGGAACAAAGAAGAAATGGAACATACTGAAAACAGCTAGCAAAATGGTAGATTTTAATCATAACAATGTTTATATTAGGTGTAAGTAGTCTGAATATTCTAGTTACAAAAGGGATTGTCCAGATTTGATTTACAACAAAACAAAAAACAAGACCCAAATAAATACTATCTACAAGAAATCCACTTTGAATATAAAGGTAGATATATTCCCAGGTGTGGTGGCTCACATGTGTAGTCCTAGCACTTTGGGAGGCCAAAGCAGGAGGATTGCTTGAAGCCAGGAGTTCGAGACCAGCCTGGGCAACATGGTGAGACTCCATCAACACACACAAAAAAACTTAAAAATTCACCAGGCATGATGGAGTGCACCTGTAGTCCTAGCTACTTGGGAGGCTGAGACAGGAGGATTGCTTGAGTTGAGGAGTTGGAGGCTGCAGTAAGCTGAGATTACACCATTGCACACTGCAGCATAGCCTGGGCAACAGAGTGAGACCCTGTTTCTTAAAAAAAAAAGGAAAAAAAGAAAAAAGTTAGATAGATTAAAAGTTAAAGAATGGAAAAAGATGTACCATGCAAATAACAGTCAAAAGAAAACTGTAGTGTCTATATTAATATCTGGCAAAGTAGACTTCAAAACAAGGATTACTACCTGGAATAAAGAGGGATATTACATTTTGGTGAAGAGGTCAGTTCACCAAAAGACGTAACAATTCTAAATATGTGTGAACATAGCAATATTATTTTAATACAGATAAAGCAAAAATAGATAGAACTGAAAGGAGAAATAAGCAAATGCACAATTATAGTTAGAAACCACAACACTCATCCTCAGTGATAAAGACAAGTAGAGAGAAAATCAGTTAAAAGACATTACTATCAATTTTCTTCACCTAATTGATAGCATACCACTCCACTGAACACTAGCAGAATCTGCATTTCTTTCAAGTATACATGGAACATTCAGTTAGACCACATTTGGTACCATAAGACAAACAAATACAAAATAATTAAAATCATACAAAGTATGTTTTCTCACCAAAACAGAGTAAACTGGAAGTTACTAACAGAAAAATGTCTGGAAAATTCCAAATATTCCACAATTACACAATATATATATCATAAACCACGGGTCAAAGAAGAAATCACAAGAAAATTGGAAAGTATTTTGAAATGAATGAAAATGAAAATACATTTGAAGTTTGAGGTAAATTTATAGCATTTCATGCCAATATTAGAAAAGAAGGTCTCCAGTCAATAATCTAAGCTTGTACCTTAACAAATTAGAAAAGAGGAGCAAATTAACTAAACCCAAGTCAAATCGAAGGAAGGAAATAATAAAGGCCACTAATCAGTGAAACTGGAAACTGAAAGAGTAGAGGATATCAATGAAACCAAAAGGTAGTTCCTTGAAAAGATCACTAAAATTGATAAACCTGTAGCCATATTAACTAAGTAAAAAGAGAGAAAATAAGAATTACCAATATCAGGAATGAGAGGGGACATCACTACAGATCCTACAGAAATTAAGATTATAATGTAGTATTTTAAAAAACATGATGGCAGCATCTCACAAGGACTTTAGAGGCAGGTTGAAGAGAGTCCCACTGGTTGAATCTGGGATCACTTAAGCACCAAATAATTATGTACAGTAATGAGTTATAAATCATTGAAAAATAAAAAGGAGTTAATGATTCTTTACTGATAATGGATAGTTAATAGAGAAGATGGGGGGGCTTCTGCTTAGAGAAGAATGCTGAGTGCTGACTGATGATTATGGAGGAATTACTGAAGTTGGAATATTATTTTTCAGCATGTTTAGTAAAGATTGATTTAAACAGAAACCATTAATCAAGCTCATTCTAGGGAGAAATTTATATGAGAAGCAGGACGTATGCATGCTCTTAAACATGGACATCATTGCTTCCAGATGTGATACCCTTAGAAGGACACAACATCAGTCATGTAGTATTCAGGTTGGTAATATAAAACCTGAACAACCCCTGTAGAGCTTGAGTATACCATTGCATCAGTATTATTACTTATTTTGAAGTGACTTTTAGAATTTAGGTTGAGTTTTCTGGAGTATCTTCAAATACTTAGTTCTTCTCTATCTGAGCCTAAATAACCCAAACTGCTTCAGTTTTATTCCAGAGCCCACTCCTATGGAACCAATAAGCTGTATTACCTTTCATAGAGAAATGAATGTGGTATGTTACATTTTGTTAGCTGATTGGGATATTTTTTTTAATTTCCTTTCTACCACATTGCAAGGAGTTTTCTTGAGGGGAGGTCATGTAATAACACATTCTAGAGTCTTCTGAACTGAGGAAGGGGACACTCATTTGTGTTTTGAAGACCAGATCTGTCTTTGGTCCCTATTTGTGGTCTTGTTAACATTGAGTTGAGGCAGCCTAAATTATCTGGGATGAAGAATGATACTGCACGTTTCTCTAGTGGTAGAAGAATTCATATACTTTCTGATGAAGTATGTGGGGATAGAGGGTGTCAACCTAAATGTCTTAAAAAATCACTAAGGTGAAGATTTGGGAAGGAGTTATATTGTGGGCTAAAAAGTTAAGTTGTGTTCCTTGGTTAAATTCTGTTGGGGTCAGAGTTCCCAACTTACTGGTCTTCATAGTATGTTGAAAGAGAAGAGAAGGGTGCTTAAATATGTTGGGAAGGCCGGGCACTGTAGCTCACACCTGTAGTCCTAGCTCTTTGGGAGGCCACGGCAGGCGGATGGCTTGAGCTCAGGAGTTCAAGATCAGCCTGGACAACATGGTGAAACCCTATCTTTACAAAAAAATACAAAAATTAGTTGGGCATTGTGACATGTGTCTGTTGTCCCAGATACTTAGGAGGCTGAGGCAGGAGGATCACCTCAGCTTGGGGAAGTTGAGGCTACATTTAGCTGTCATCATGCCACTGTATTCCAGCTTGGGTGACAGAAACCCTGTCTAAAAAAAAAGAAAAAAAGAATTGAGGTATGAGGGTATCATTTAAAATGTGAAATATTCCTGTAATTCACATTCATGGAGTTAAATTTTGTACAGCCATAACTCAGACTATCTGTCGTCATGTAAAAATAGTTGAAAAATCAGAATACACATTTCCTATACACTATGATTTTCACGAAAATACTGATTTTTTTTTTTTTTTTTTTTTTTTTTTTTTTGGAGACAGAGTCTCGTTCTCTTGCCCAGGCTGGAGTGCAGTGTCATGATCTTGGCTCACTGCAACCTCCACCTCCCAGGTTCAAGCGATTTCCAGCTAATTTTTGTATTTTTAGTAGAGACGGGGTTTCACCATGTTAGCCAGGCTGGTCTCGAACTCCTGACCTCAAGTGATCTGCCAGCCTTGGCCTCCCAAAGTGCTGGGATTACAGGCATGAGCCACCGCACCTGGCCTAAAATAATGATATTTATGAGGAAGATGACGGTTCATAAAAACTCCTTTATTTATGAACTATATTTTAGTAGTCAAAATACAGGTACTTTTTTACTCTTTTTTAAAATATACTTTCAGTAATGTTATTCCGTAGCATTTTTGGTTGGAAAGGAATTAATCACTCATTTTTTTAAAGTGAAGTCTGAATTTTGATATCTTATCAATTGCTGACCATCTTTCTCAGTCATTAATTGAGAAATATCTATAGGCAGAGAGTCTTAGGCGTATACTCTTAGGCTTCTGCCAGAGGCTGGACTTATGTGAAAACTGGACCAATAGGGAAGTTTATTCTAGCTACTCTCCCCAAAAAATCTCTGTACTCAACCCACTTTCCCTAACTCTTTTTATTTCCCTCTCACAGTCAGGGATTTGGCTTGGCCTCTTTGGTTGTGATTGAGTAATCCTATGTTACATATGGAATTATCTCCTTCCTTTTCTTTCTAGGAAGTGCATTTTCAGCTGAGCACCTCAAACTTCAACTCCAGAAGGAATCCCTAAATGAGCTGAGGAAGGAGTGCACTGCAAAAAGGTAAATGCACACTGAGAAGAATTGCTGTGAGTGTGGAGTTTACTGCGAGGATAGATTTGAAAAAGTAGCATTCTTTAAAGCTGCTGGTATTAATTTATAGCCCATATACCTCAGTACCACATTCGTTTATTCAACACATATTCATTAATTAAGCACCTACTGTGTGTCATGCACTGTGCCAGAGGTCAGTTATGAAAGCTCCTAGTATGTAGTTATAATCAGAAACATGAACCCTATTCAAGTTTCTCAGGCCACAGCATCGTGGTTTAATGTTTGAATTTCTTCCTTCTGTCTTCTACATGCGGTTTAGCTTATAGGTTTTTTTTCAATAATTTTTTCAGATTTACTTCTGCTTCTTGTTAGCTCATTTGGATTACTTCAGCAACTAGATTATCTCTCTAACATCAGTCTCTTCATCTTTCCAGATTGTTCTCCATGCTACGATCAGACCTCTCCTCTTAAAATACCATTTTTACCTTATTTTTTATCTTCTTTTTTTAATGTGGAGAAACATTTCATTCATTCATTCATTCATTCATTCATTCATTCATTCATAGACAGGGTCTCACTCTGTCACCCAGGCTGGAGTGCAGTGGTGCAGTCGTAGCTCACTATGGCCTCGAACTTCTGGCCTCAAGTGATGCTCCACCTCAACCTCCCAAAGTGCTGGGATTACAGGTGTGAGCCATCATGCCTGGCATTTTTATCTTCTTAATATGGTGATTCTTTTGCTTAACTTTCAAATAGCCTGTAATAAATTGGCACCTTGCAACTGTAGTTAATTTTAGTCGCTCTCCCAACATTCGTTTAACAAATGCCAATAGTTTTTCTCTTCATTTTTTCCAACATATGCTTAATTCGTTGGTACCTCTGTTCTTTTGGTCATCTTCACTTGCTTTTCCTGGAAAATCCATCCATCATGCACTTTTCTTCAAAAAACTTTAGCAGTTGGGGATTCAAAAATGCTAGACTGGCCGGGCATGGTGGCTCACACCTGTAATCCCAGCACTTTGGGAGGCCGAGGCAGGCAGAGCATGCAGTCAGGAGATCAAGACCATCCTGGCTAACACGGTGAAACCCTGTCTCTACTAAAAATACAAAAAATTAGCCAGGTGTGGTGGCGGATGCCTATAGTCCCAGCTACTCGGGAGGCTGAGGCAGGAGAATGGCGTGAGCCCGGGCGGTGGAGCTTGCAGTGAGCCGAGATGGCGCCACTGCACTCCAGTCTGGGCGACAGAGCGAGACGCCATCTTAAAAAAAAAAAAGTGCTAGACCTATAGAAAACCATAGAGATTATCTATTCCAATTCTCTCAATTTGCAGATAGGAAGTCAATGCTCTGGTAAGTTACTGTTTGTCCAACTCACTAGCAAAGCCAGGACTAGATCCCGTTGTCTTCAGTGCTGTTTTAGATAACTAAAAAACCAGTGATTTTCGTACTGTTACACACCACTCAATACAACACTTTTAACATTAGATTCTCCAGCAGACCCTCACTGTATGTCTTAGAATTTCTCACTCTGTCTTCCTGCAAATAGTATCAGATCCCACAGAATTAAGGACTCATTCCCACAAGACTGCCTCACCACATCAGGTGCCATTTGGCAAGCCCCAGGTTGTGACCTGTGCTTCTGATCGACCTGCTTTAAATAGAGGTTCCCATAACCCACTCCTTGGATTCGATTAATTTGCTAGAGCAGCTCACAGAACTCAGAGAAACATTTACTTAACCCTTACTGGTTTATTATAAAGGACATTACAAAAGATACCGATGAGCAAGATGGAAGGCATGCATAGGGCAAGGTATGGGGGAGGGAGCATGGAGCTTCCATGCCCCGTCTGTGCACATCAATCTCCAGACACTGCCAGTCTGGAAGCTCATTAGATCTTGTTGTGCAAGATCTCCAGCCCTCTTCTCAGAGTTTGGTGGGTGGGGAAGAAAGTCCAACCTTCTAATCTCTTGGTTTTTCTAGTGACCAGTTCCATCCTGAGGCTGTCTAGGAGCCCCTGCCTTAAGTCATCTCATAGCATAAACTGTGGTGTAATCAAAAGGGGCTCATAATGAATAGCAAAAGACACTCTTATCGCTCAGGAAATTCCAAGGTTTTTAGGTGCTCTGTAATAAGAACCGGGGGCAAAGACCATATATATGTCATGTTATACTTTGATCTACAGTTTCTCCTAAATTCCTTTTGTTCTTAAATTCTTGACACAGTTGATCAGGCAACTTACTTTACAGGTATTTTATGTATTGATCATGTTTCTTAAGTAGTGCAAGAAAAGAGCTGGTGCCAGGCAAGGTGTCTCATGCCTGTGATCCCAGCACTTTGGGAGGCTGAAACAGGCAGATAGCTTGAGCCTATGAGTTTGAGACCAGCCTGGGCAACATGGTGAAACACTGTCTCTACAAAAAATACAAAAATTAGCTCAGCATGGTTGGGCATACCTGTAGTCCCAGCTTCTCAGGAAGCTGAGGTGAGAGGATCAGCTGAGCCCGGGAAGGTCGAGGCTGCAATGAGCCAAGATTGTGCCACTGTACTCCAGCCTGAGTGTTAAAGTGAGACCCCGTCTCAAAAAAAAAAAAAAAAAAAAAAAAAAGAGAGAGAGAAGGGTAATTTCATACTATAGCTTTTTATTTGTTGTTTTTACTTTTTTTCTTACAGTCCAACATATTGGTTTTTGAGGTAATTATAATATGTAATTGTGAGTGAAATATAGAATACTTTTTGAGGAAATACCATCCAGATCTTTCTTGAAATCAAATTGGCCTCATTAAATTGACTGTGAAATCTTGGTCACATTACTCAGACTCTCTAAATATTGTTTCCTTGTTTATAAATAGATATAACAGTATCAACCTGCTAGAGTTGTTAGAATAAATAAGGCCATTTGTAGATGCCTAGTGAATGATTATTTGTACCCTTTACATTTCTTTTTTTTCAAAGACAAGGTCTTGCTCTGGTGCCTAGGCTGGAGTGCAGTGGCATGATCAGGGCTCACTGCAGCTTCAACCTCCCAGGCCCCAGCAGTCCTTCTACATCAGCCTCCCAAGTAGCTGGGACCGCAGGCATACGTCACCAAGCCAGGCTAATTTTTTTATTTTTGTAGAGACGGGGTCTCCCTATATTGCCCAGGCTGGTCTTGAACTCCTGGGCCTCCCAAAGTGCTGGGATTATGGGAGTGAGCCACCACTCCCAGCCCCCTTTACATTTCTTAGCATGGTACTAATCACACACAGTAGCACTCAGTATATAGTTAGCTTGATTGATACTATTTGGAGATAGGTCAAGACTTACGGTAACTATTATTTATGCTTCTACTTCTGAGTTTCTGTGGCCTATTACAGACAGTATAATCTTTCTTTGGATTAATTGTGTGGAAATAAATGTTACAAAGCATGCAAGCATATATTTTTTAATAAATGTATTTTTTCTTTCCTCATTAGAGAACTCTTCTTGAAGACTAATGCTCAGTTGACAATTCGTTGCAGGCAGTTACTCTCTGAGCTTTCCTACATTTACCCTATTGATTTGGTAAGTTTCAAATTTTCTGAAAATATTTTTCGTTTTGAAAAGATGATTTCTGTATGACATTTCCTCTCAATGAAAAAACTCATTGCTTTAGGCTTAATCATATGCTCTGTCATGATTCATTCAGGAGCTAATGTCTATTTAAAACATAGATTTAGACTTGTTTGGCCTTAGGTCCTACTATTTCATTTATATCACTTTGGTGGTGGGATGCACTCATCATCTGAAAGACTGCCAAATTATTTTTGGTTTCTTTAGGATCTTTTTACTTAACCACATTATCCATTATCACCACTTTTTTTTTTTTGAGACGGAGTTTCGCTCTGTCACCCAGGCTGGAGTGCAGTGATGCGATCTTGGCTCACTGCAAGCTCCCCTTCCCGGGTTCACGCCATTCTCCTGCCTCAGCCTCCCGAGTAGCTGGGACTGCAGGCGCCCGCCACCACGATGCCTGGCTAATTTTTTTGTATTTTTAGAGAGACAGGGTTTCACCACGTTAGCCAGGATGGTCTCGATCTCCTGACCTCGTGATCCACCCACCTCAGCCTCCCAAAGTGCTCGCATATCAGGTGTGAGCCACTGCACCCTGCCCATTATCACCATTTCTGACATACACATGCAAATATATGTGCACTGCTTTAAAAATATGATTGATAATTTTCATGTATTAGTGTTACTTAAGATATTCCTGGGGTAACTGTCAGGCTGTTAGGTTTTTGAGCCTAGTTTCTTAGAATGAATGAAAAAAGGAAAACTTCAATAAAATTGATTAGGATTATTTTTCAGAGAACTAAATCTGCTAAATTTGATAGTTTTCTTTTTAATGAAAATTTGTTTAAAAGACTAATTTTCAGAGAAGAAAGCTAATAGGATTTGAGTTTGCTTATAGAATCTTATTAAACCATTTATATATGTGAATGAAATAAGGATATTTTTATGATGATAATTTTACATGGCTTTTTCCTTGGACATGATGTCTTAAATGTTATTATAGAAAATTTCAAGTATATGTAAATGTAGGGAGAGAGTAGAATGAATCACCATGTACTCATCATCCAGCTTCAACAATTATGATAATACTTGGAGTTTAGAACAGTGTTTTGAGTCAGCACCGACCTGCTGATCTGAGATTTAACTTAGAGTTTCTTTGCTTTATTTATTAATTTTATTCTTTAATTAAATTCACAGAATGAACATAAGGATTACTTTGTATGCGGTGTCAAGTTGCCTAATTCTGAGGACTTCCAAGGTATTTTATTTTTTATTTTGAAGATTTGTTATATATTAATATATGGAAATAGAATATCTTGAAATGCTGGTTGCCTAGCACTTTATCCAAAGGAATTTTTGGACTTTCTGTCCTTTCCCAATTGCAAGTATGTATATCAGACTCCTTGATGGGAGATAGAATGTTAGGTCTGATCATAGAAAAATAATTACTGAACCTTATATTAGAAATTTAAAAGAAAATAGTTTTTAAATGGGCTTTAAGCAAATTAGACAGTCAGGTTCTTAAGAATACAAATAATCGCCCTTCCTTTTGGTTTGATTTTTATGAAAAATTTGTGTATGGTTGGGAGCAGAGGAACAGCAAACAAAATCTGTTCTGTTATTATTTAGAAAGTCATATTACTGCTGACCTGAAAAGTATTTGAAAATTTAATTTTGTGAAGTTTCCATTACCACAGGCTTAATTTGTTATACTATCATTTCTGTTATCTTTTAACTAAAAATAAAGAAAGAAATTACATTAAAGGTATTATAGAATATGATCCTTAGTAATTTCTATATTTTAAAATCTTTTGTTTTTCCTACTCTGCAAATATTCCAAAGAATTTATTTTCTTTGGCATATCAGTGATCATTTTTATTGTTAGCCAAGTGGGTTCTTTTCCCTTAGCCTAAACAATGCTTTGAGGCCTACTAAATATCTTTATAGATTATTCCCAAGCCAGCGTTTTATCTACTTGAGAAGTTACTAAAGAAGAGAGCATTGCTAGTTTTGATCAGGACTTTCATTTTCTTATAAAGAAGCTGTTGTTATTGGTGATCATTTAACATCTAAGAGTGTTTTGTTACCCTGTTGGGCCCTTACCTGTAAGTACTTTGGACGTGATAAAAGGAGAGTGATAAACCAGGAGTTGGAAAACCTGTGTTCAAGTCCTGATTGCCCCTGTATAAACCATGTAATTTGGAACAAGTAATGTAACCTTTGAGTTGATTTCCTAATTGATTGAATGAACTATTAATTTATGCCCTACCTGTCTTATATGATTGTTGTGGAAAATAAGTGAGGTATACCAGTAGCTATAAATGCATAAGATTTTGCCTAATCTTTAATACTCACAAAAACAAAGGGATCCTATAAGGAAAATGGTATTCAGTGACTTGCTTGAGGCCACAAAACTAGGTAATAATATAGCTAGGATTTGTCTGGTTTCCATTTCATAGTGCTCCCTCAGATATCTGTAAGACATTCACAAAAATGTGTTTTGATATTAATTTTAGGCAAAGTTGTGGTATCTTGAAGCCCATGGCGCATCATTTTCCTCATTGATTCATTTAGTAAACATATTGAGTACTTTTGTCCCGTACCAGTTTCCTGGGATACAGAACATTATTCATTGAAAAAAATGTTCATTGAACACCTAAATGCCAGGCACATGATGCAGAAAGTAAACATGTTCTCTCCTTCCATGGAGCTTATTGGGGGAGACAGCCAATAAACAAGAAACTAAGTAACTAGCAAGTATTTAATAAAGGAATATGCTATCCCAGAGAATGGAAGAAACTGCTTTAGATAAAGCAGTCAGAGAAGACCTCTCTAAGGAGAAATATAAAATTGAGGGCTAAAAGGAGCCAACTATGCTACAGCTGGGGGAAGAGCATTTCTAGGAGAAGGGTCACCAAGTACAAAGGTGATGATGAAGGAGGAATGGGCTTGGCATCTCTCAAAAAACTCAGCGTTTGGGGAATGTGAGAAAAGACTTGTATTTTGGGTAAATCATGTAATCTTTCAGCTTAATTTCTTATAAGATATCTATATCTGTAATTTCTTGTGATGATTGAATGAAATCACATTTGAAAAAGCTTTTCATATAGGAGGTACTCAATAAATATAATTGGAATTTGTTGCAAAAGAGAGAGGCAGGAAGGACAGTAAAGACCAGACGTGTGCAGCTGGAGCATAGTGAGCGAGGGAAGAGCTACGTTAGAAGAGGTAGGAGAGGGCAGCCAGGGCCTTGAGGTCACTATAAGGAGTTGATATTTTATTCTCGAGGAAGTAGGAAATGCCTGAGGGACTTCAAGAAGCAGGATGGCATGAGCTGAGTTAGGCTTTTAAAAGTCACTCTGGCTGCTAAATACAGAATGATTTGAAGGGGGCAGTCAGAGAAGTAGGAATATCAGGAGTGGTGGTCTGATTACTCTGAGATGTGTCTTGATTCTATTTTGTTTTCTTTGAAATTCCTTGTCTCCTAGTTTTTCATAGCTTTTGTAGTTATCTACACTTACAATGCCCAACAAGCTGAATACAGTCTCCCTACCCTTTAATAAATTAGTGTAGCTTTTTAGTGCAGTTGTTGAAAAACAAAATGTGAGATAAAATGAAATAAATGTTTAATTTTACTCTAAGGTCATATTCATTCCCATTCCCCATTACCCTTAGGAATCAGAAATTTTAAGAAGCACATGCAGTAATATTGGACTTTAAAAATCTTACATTGGCCGGGTGCGGTGGCTCACGCCTGTAATTCCAGCACTTTGGGAGGCTGAAGTGTGCAGATCATTTGAGGTCAAGAGTTTGAGACCAGCCTGACCGATATGGTGAAACACTGTTTCTACTAAAAATACAAAAAATTAGCTGGGTGTGGTGGCACACACCTGTAATCTCAGCTACTTGGGAGGCTGAGGCACGAGAATCACTTGAACCCAGAGGCAAAGGTTGCAGTGGGCTGAGATTGCACCACTGCACTCCAGCCTGAGTGACAGAGTGAGACTCTGTCTAAAAACAAAAACAAACAAATAAAATCTTATGTTAATATCCTGCAGGCACTTGCATTTACTAAATGTATTGAGTGTTCTGTGTATGTCATCCATGGTGCCAGGTGTTGAGGGTGTAAGAGATGGTTAAGACATTGATCCTGCCTCAGTGAGATTATAGTCCAGTTGAGGATATCAGATTTGTAATCAAGACAGTCAGTAAGTATTTATTGAATTCATACTCTGTGTCAGGCACTTAGAAGTTTATAGCAGGTACATGGTACTCAAAAAAGTGAGAATAATCACTTCTATCAGGAGCGATCAGGAAAACTTTTATAGAGAAGATGATTTCAGTGTCTTAAGAAATAAAATGATGTTTTCCAGTAGAAAAAAGAGTAAGAAGACATTTTAGGCTGGGTGAGTAGAAATATAGTAACATAGGCTGGGCATGGTGGCTCATGCCTGTAATCCTAGCACTTTGGGGGACTGAGGTGGGAGGATTGCTTGTGACCAGGAGTTTGAGGCTGTAGTGAGCTATGATTTTGCCACTGTACTCCAGTCTAGGTGACAGAGTGAGAACCCATTTCAAAATAGAAAATAAGAAAGGGAAATAAATATGATAACATGGAACATCATGATGTTCTCACATTTACCCTAATTCTCACAACTGTGAGAATTAATTCCATCTGTAAGGAAAGGAATTACCCTCAATTTAAAAAAGGAAAAAAAAAAAGAAAAAGAAAATTGAAGCTCAGAGAGATTAGTTAATTTTTTCAAGGAGTCATATTAAACAGTGATAAACCTAAGGTTATTCCTGGTCTGCCTGATTCTAAGATTCGTATAATTCTTGCCACAATTCAGTTTTCTTCCTCGCTTTGAATAATAACCTCTTTAAACCTGTGACAACTTTTTAGTATTCTATAGCAGCTGCTTTCTGGGAGAGACTCTAGTGAAGGAACTCCAAGCTGGTTATTCTGTGATATTCATGAGACTTTGCTGGGATAGACTTTATGCTGCATGGGGTGATACTGTTTGAGAAACTCCACCGTAGTGCTCCAACATTAGTGTGCTTTTCTAAGTGGGTAAGTTACTGTTGCAGTATGCCAAGGAGACCTGGACACAGTGGGAGAAAAATGTCCAGTGAAGGGTGTTCATCTGAGTTCCACTGACCGAGACATTTAGCTTAAAAAAAAAATGTTTGTGTGTGTGTGTGTGTGTGTGTGTGTGTGTGTGTGTGTGTGTGTGTGTGTTTAAGTAATCCATAACACGAGAGCCTTTTGTGGTAATGAGACCCAGATTTCCTTCTGTGTCTGTATCCCTTTATGCAGGCATGATTTCTTGGAAAGGAGAGTCCATATGTCAAACAATGTCTCATTGAGAACATGGAATGATTCCATAGATGCTGTGGCAGTGATTAGAGTCTTAAATATTTTGTCCTGTCTGGATCAGTGGGTGCTTGGTTCCTTAACAAATCAGCTGCCTCAGTGATTGGGAAGGCAGGATGGTAAGAGCTTTTAGATCACTTATTGTACTTGGATGCGTTTGAATATTAATAGTTTGTCCAACATATAAATCAAAGGAACATTTGAATGCATTTATAATGTTATGGCCATTGCGTGTTTGTGGAATTTGTTGTCATAAAAATTATACAAAAGCTACAGCCTTGAGTGGTTACCTACATTTTAAAAATAAACCAGGAATATTTATTATGAGGAAACTGGGTTTTAATTTTATTTTCAAGCCCCTTAAAAGTTTGTTGGAATTAGCATCTTTTTCACATACCTGAGTCTTAAGGTTCATTCGTGTTTCTCCCTGGACCGTCCACTCCTGCTCCAACTTCTCACTAACAAAACTATTGTCTGTGACCTTTCTAACCCCCAGAACAGCATAAGGTACACAAACTTCTGCTCTGCCTTAGGTGTTAGGGACGTCATTAATGCTTACTGGAAAAGCACACCCCAGAGAGCTGGGTTTTGGCTGTGGCAGGTAAAAAAATCTTTCAGATCTTGCAATGCTGGAAACCTTAAACCTTTTGGTTTTTTAGCTAAAGTGATTGGCAACAGAATGTGACATCTGAGGTTGCATGGCCTGCAATAGCCATAATTAACCACATGAGCTCACATTTTCCCACTGGAGATTCAGTGGTCTTGGGGTGATGAAAGTGACTTCCCTACCAGGAGGTGGTTTTCCTTTTGAGGGTATTGAAATACCCTTGGGCCCTGTAATGCTTCACCCATGGTCCTTTTAAAATGCTTTTTAATATAAAGGTTCAATATTGGAAATCTAACACCACAGTGTTTAACACTGAGTCTGTGATGGAGCACTATGGCCTGGAATGGGAAACCTAGAATTTTTAATAGGTGGAGTGGGAAGACTTGTGGCAAGAATGGTGAGTGTGAATAACCTGAATCAAAGCTGATTTCCAATATTATTCAATTTTCAGTGTGTGCTATTTCTTTTTGTTTTATTTCTGTGTGTAGACTTCTCTTAGAGATGCCTTTTTATCTTTAAACAAAGTTGTTTTGTTCATTGGTGGGAAGTGATGTTAGAAAATCAACTTTTGGTTATTTTAATAGAGATGTGGATGTAGTCTCAAAATATACAAATATAATTCTTTAGCAGTCCTCCTTTCATAATATGGGGAAAATGTAGATGCTTGAATGTTTAGCATTAGATAGATAGTTTTGAAACATTCATTGTTTGCATTTGACTTGCTTGAAAGGCTAATTTAAGAGGCCTGCTCCTTTCTGGAAGTTTTCAAATCCTCTTCTGTCAGGTCATATAGGAAAGGAAAAGCTTTGTATAAAGCACATAGAGGGAAGTTGCAACTTAGCATAGTATTATCTGTCTTTAAGTCCTCATCTTCTTCCTCTTCCCCTCTCTCTTCAAAAGGTGGTTATTGAAGATCAAGTCCTTTTACTGACAGGAATATTTTAAATTTGATAAGACCTAATCTTTACGGAAAGCACGAGGCAGAATTCAGTCACCTGTGAAGAAACTCACAGTTACAGCTGTGACTCCACACCTGTATAGGTATTCTGGAGGATTGTGGACACAATTCTTTCAGTTACTTCATCACTCATAGTTTCTACCTATGTGGCTTTGACCAAGCCATTTATACCACCTGGGTCTCATTTCTCTCTTCTCCAAGTTGGTAGCATCAGAGTCAGTGATTGTGAAAGTTTCTCTTAGTTCTATTATTGTATGATAATGAATTTATAATGTAACAAATTTATAATGTAAAGTACTTTTAGTCCCTAAGGTAGTCTGATGTACGGGTTTCAGCAGAAGGAAAGTGTTGTAGTAGTATTCAAGGTACTTGGGTGGGACTGGGGCAAGAGGACACGGTCTCTAAAAATAATTAGGATTCTAGTTAGTTAGAGCATGACTCAGTAGTTGGTTGAAAATTACTGCTGTTTGATTTTTTTCCATGGGTTTGTTTTAGAGAACAGACATTCCTTGAGAAGCCCATTTTCTGTTGAGTACTATGCAAGTCATCGAGGACTCTCAGACTTTTTATGTGCTCTTTGCTCTTACTAGAAAACTGTGAAGAAACTAAGGTGGTACACGTGTGTCATATGCTTGGTACATTCGAGGCTCCCAAGTTAAAAAATTGTTATATGCTGGGCACAGTGGCACAAACCTGTAGTCCCAGTTACTTGGGAGGCTGAGGCATGAGGATTGCTCGAGCCCAGGAGTTTGAGGTCGGCCTGGGCAACATAGTGAGACCTCATCTTTTTTTAAAAAATAATTGTTATATTAATGTTTAACAATAAATTTATGAGACAGTACAGTAGACTGGTTAATCGTGGAAGATTGGGTGTCAAGCCAACCTGTTTACTAGCTGTATTACTTTGGAAGGATTCCTTAATCTCTGAGCCTTAGTTTGTTTATCTGTAAAAGGAATGCAATAGCATTTAAAAGGTGTTTAACATTGTTAGTGAATGAATGAATGTCATATATAAAGTACTATAGACAGTTCTGGACAGAAAAAAGTATATATATAAAAAAATATATAAATAGTTACCTATTTTTATAAGACTACCAAAGAAAAACAAATAGTCTGCTATGGTAGTTAAGGGTAGAGAATTCACTGAGGAATGGATCTCTGTAGTGGCACTTCTACCATAAGAAGGTAGTGCTTACGTAATTAAGTGGAAACAGAAAGAAGAATGCGAAAATTTTTATTGGTAATTGAGGTTAAAGCCACCCTTAGAAGTCAGGGAATAGTCAAGGCATGGTCATTGTGATCATTTCAGCCCTTCTTCTCTAGCCAGATGGGATATTCCAGATTATGTGTTAAATGTTTTAGTGTATGAGTGCACACACGTGCACTTGTGCACTTTTAAAAGCATTTAGGAATACTGTATACCAAGAAGATCCTGTTTCCTTCCTCTTGGGGGAAGTTTAAAACTTTCTGTTGTATTACTCCCTTAGCCCCTGAATCATCATTTATCACTTGATAGATAGTGGCAGAAATCTGGATAAGTTTAGAAAATGTAATTGTCTGTGGCTTTTTGAAAGCTAGATGCTTATGTCTGATTATAAGATACCTGCATTTTTTCCTAGTAGTTGCTTCCACCTATATTACATAAATAGGGTGGTATATGAACAGTGTGGTTTTTCACCTTTTGCTTTTGCTGTTTAAAGCATTTTCCCCCTTAACCCATATTTAACTTCATAGACTTATTATGTAACCCTGTCTTTTTCAATATCAAGAACATACCCCATAAGAATGATTATACTATTTCATTTCCCTTTAGAATTAATAATGTTGTAAAATAGTACAACTATATTGTCTAGGAAATTCTTAATGAATAAAATGTATAACCACTGTATAGTGTGTTAAGTTTAAACCTCTGAAGCTAATTTTCATATCATGTAATAGACTCAAGTATTAATTCATCCTGTAAAAATGCTGGGAAAGAAAGCAATGGTTATTTGGACATAGTAAGAGTTCTTGCTTTAAGGTATATATCAAATGTTAATCTCATCACATTAATTATTGGGAAATAGTTTAAAATACAGTTAGTAGATGAAGTTTCAAGTCTTGTTAATGTGTTTACATTTGCATAAAATTTATATAATTTAGATAAGTGGTTAATATTTTATGTACCACATATTTTTATAAAATATTCTTTGAAAATTATTTATTATCTTATGGTTATTTATAAGGTAAATAGTTATTTTCTTTTCCTCTGCTTTTGAATTTACAGCAAAAGATGATGGAAGCATTGCTGTTGCCCTTGGTTATACTGCACATCTGGTCTCCATGATTTCCTTTTTCCTACAAGTGCCCCTCAGATATCCTATAATTCATAAGGGGTCTAGATCAACAATCAAAGACAATATCAATGACAAACTGACGGAAAAGGAGAGAGAGTAAGTGTCTTTTTTTTAAAAAAATGATTTTAACATCAAGCCAGTATAAAACATGGGGTATAACAAAATACATAAAATGTAATCTAAATTATGACAACTTTTATATAACCTTTGTAGAGTGCCTCATTCATTTAAATCAAATGTAGTTATTATGTGAAACTAGTTATTCATATAAATTTTAATGACTCAACCCCTGGGCTTCCAAGAATTGCTAATGGTGGCAAAAATTTACTTAAGTTTCATTTACTTTCTTCTTACTTTTGTGAGGATAAGTGTCATATGATCTACAAATATTCACCTAGTACCTCTTGCCTGCCACTCAACAAGTAAAATGTTAAAAGATTTGTCAGAGATCTAACTAGGAAAAGATATAATGGCAGATTGAACATAGCTGAAAAGTAGATTAGTGAATTGGAAGATAGGTCAGCAGAAAATACAAGTGTCTAATATACATATAATTTCAGGCACAGAGAGGCTGGAAAGATTGTGAGGTAAACACAAAATTTTAAGAGATAATGACTAAGAATTTTCAAATTTAACAAAAGACATGAAATTACAAATTCAAGAAGCACTAACAAAACAGAATGACAATAAAGAAAACATACCTGGGGAAATTAAACAGCTGAATATCAAAGAGAAAGTGAAAATACTAAAAGCAACTAGAGAGAAAGACATGATAGCATGAAAAGATTGATAGTAAGACTGAAAGCTGATTTCTCAATGGAACAATGGAAGCCAGATGGTGATGCAGTGACATTTTAAAATATGGAAAAAACAGAACTGTCCACTTAGAATTCTATACCCAGTGAAAATATTATTCAAAAGTACAGGCAAAATAAAGATATTTCAGACCATCAAAACTGAGAAAATATATCGCAGCAGACCTGCAGTAAAGGAAATACTAAAGGAAGAATAAAAATAATTTCAAAAAGAAACATGGAAATACAGTACAGAACAAAGAATAAGAGAAAGGAACAAAGAATAAGAGAAAGGATAAAGATGTATTTCTAAATTCATTTTGACTATAAATAAATACTAATGTCTTCTTAAATATAACATGCATATACATAATAATATATGTAGGTTTATAATGCATGGTTCTAACACAAAAAGTAAAAAGGGTTGAGTGGGGTTAAAGTGCTCAGAGATCTTAGCATTGTCTGGAAAATGGTAAAGGTACTAATTTATATTCAGACTAATAAACATGCATATTGTACTTTTCTTTTTTTTTGCCTTCAGCACTTTAAATATGTAACATCACTCTCTCCTGTCCTGTTAGTCTTCCACTGTAAAGTCTGCTGCCAGATGAATGGGAGCTCCATTGTATGTTACTTGTTTCTTTAAAAAAAAAAAAGATAGAGCTTTATTGTGAAAAATCATTTGATTGCTAATGTAATCCAATTATTTGGTTCCACTGTGTTTTTTTTGTTGTTGTTGTTTGTTTTTTTGAGATGGAGTCTTGCTCTGTTGCCAGGCTGGAGGGCAGTGGCGCAATCTCGGCTCACTGCAACCTCCACCTCCTGGGTTCAACAATTCTCCTGCCTCAGCCTCCCGAGTAGCTGGGAATACAGGCACGCACCAGCACGCCCAGCTAATTTTTGTATTTTTAGTAGAGACGAGGTTTCACCATGTTGGCCAGGATGGTCTCAATCTCTTGACCTCATGATCCACCCACCTTGGCCTTCCAGAGTACTGGGATTACAGGCCATTGTGTGATTTTATAGCATTCTTTGCCATTGCTTTATTTATATTTATCCTTGTTTCTTTTCTCCTGCTGCTTTTAGGATCTTCTCTTTATACTTGACCTTTGGGAGTTTGATTGTTAAATGCTTTAAGGTAGTCTTCTTTGAGTTAAATCTGTGTGGTGTTCTGTAACCTTCTTGTACTTGAATATTGATATTTTTTCCTAGGTTTGGGAAGTTCTCTGTTATTATTCCTTTCTACTCCTATCTCTTTCTCGACCTCCTCTTTAAGGCCAGTAACTCTTAGGTTTGCCCTTTGAGGCTATTTTCTAGTTCTGTAGGCATGCTTCATTCTTTTTTATTCTTTTTTCTTTTGTCTCCTCTGACTGAGCATTTTCAAATAGCCTGTCTTCAAGACCACTAATTCTATCTTCTTCTTGATCAATTCTGCTATTAAGAGACTTTGATGCATTCTTCAGTATTTCAGTTGCATTTTTCACCTCTAGAATATCCACTTGATTCTTTTTAATTATTTCAATCTCTTTGTTAAATTTATCTGATAGAAGTCTGAATTCCTTCTCTGTATTATCTTGAATTTCTTTGTGTTTCCACAAAACGGCTATTTTGAATTCTCTGTCCGAAAGATCACATACCTCTGTTTCTCCAGAATTGGTCCCTGATGCCTTATTTAGTTAATTTGGGGAGGTCATGTTTTCCTTGATGGCCTTGATGCTTGTGGATGTTTGCCAGTGTCTGGGCATTGAAGAGTTTAGGTATTTACTATAGTCTCCACAGTGTGGGCTTGTTTATACCTGTCTTTCTTGGGAAGGCTTTCCAGGTTTTTGAAAGGACTTGGATGTTGTGATCTAAGCTGTATCTGCATTAGGGGGAACACTAAGCTCAGTAACACTGTGGTTCTTGCAGTCTTGTAGAGGTACCACTTGGTGGTCTTGGATAAGATCCAGAAGGGTTCTCTGGATTACCAGGCAGAGATTCCTGTTCTCTACCATTACTTTTTCTCAGTCTCTCTCTCTATGCTGAGCCATCTGGAGCTGGGAGTAGGGAGACACAATCACCCTCGTGGCCTCCACCACTGGGATTTCCCTGGTTCAGACCTGATGCCAGCATAGGACTGGGTCTTATCCTAGGCCCTGTGTAACCTCTACCTGGCTACCACCTATGTTTGCTCAAGACCCTGTGGCTCTACAATTAGCAGGTGGTGAAGCCAGCCAGGATTGTGTCCTTCCCTTCAGGGCAGCAAGTTTCCCCCGGCCCCTGAGCAGGTCCAGAGATGCTGTTTAGGAGGCAAAGACTGGAGTCCAAAACCTTAGAAATCTATCTGGTTCTCTATTCTATTGCGGCTAAGCTGGTGCTTAAACTCTAAGACAAAGTCCTTCCCACTTTTCCCTCTCCTTATTATACGCAGAGGTTTCTCTTCACTTGGCCACCATCACCTAGACCCACGGTGGGTACTGTCAGGCTATCACTGATGTTCACTTAAGGCTCAAGGGCTCTTCAGTTAGCTTGTGGCGAATGCTGCCACACCTGGGAGTCACACTTCAGGGCAGAGGGTTCCCCTCTGGACCAGGACACGTCCAGAAATGCCATCCAAGAGCCAAGGCCTGGAATCAGGGACCCCAAAAGCCCATTTGGTGCTCTACTCCACTGTGGCCAAGCTGGTACCTGAAAACAGCACATCTCAGAGTCTCACCCAAGGCCCACAGCTTACTGTCTAGCTATTACTCCTGGTTCTTCAGGGCCCAAGGGCTTTTTGGTCACAGGTGATGAATCCTGCCAGGACTTGGTCCTTCCTTTTAAGGCAACACATTCCCTTCTGGCCCAGCGTGGGTCTAGATATGTCATCTGGGAGCTAGGGCCTGGAATGGGGGCCTCATGATTGCCCAGTGCCCTATCCTATTGTGGCTAAGCTGGTATCCAAGATGCAAGACAAAGTCTCCCTTCTCCCAACAAGCAGAAAGAAGGAGTCTTTTTTTTTTTTTTTTTTTTTTTTGCTGCAGGCTGCGCTGCCTAAGGTTGGTGAAGGGGTGTCACAAGAACTTCCTTAGCCACCCCGGCTAGTGTCCCATGTCCATTGCCTCTAAGGCCAGCACTAGCACTAGGACTTACCTAGGAATTGCAGTCTTCACAGCCTAGACTGTCTTTCAAGATTATTTAGAACCCCAGAGCACCTTTTCCGTGGTAGAAAGTTTTGCCAAAACTCAAGTTCTAACCACTGGGATGGGCGATTCCCCTCTGACTAGGGCTGATCTAAATGCTGCCTCCATGGATGGGCATTGGCTGAGTTTAGTCCAGTTTTGTTTCCCACTGTGACAGAGCAGCACTGAGTTGAATGCAAAGTACCACAATCGCTGTGCTCTCCCTCCCTCAAGAGCACAGATGCTCTGTATCTCATGGCCGCTGCTGAAGGAGTGGGGAAGGGGCGGCGTCAGCAATTCAAGTCTGTCTTTCCTACCGTCTTCAATGCCTTTTTCAGCTATATGAAGTTAAAACCAGGTACTGTGATTGCTTACCTGATTTTTGGTTCTTATGTAGGTGCTTTTTTGTGTGTGTAGATGGTTGTTAAATTGGTGTTCCTGCAAGGTTAGCAGGGGAACAATCGGTGAAAGCATCTATTCAGCCATCTTGCTTCACCCTCCTCATGGTGTTTTCTTATAATCCTTTTCATTTCTGTAAGGTTTGTAGTAATGTCCCCACTTTCATTTCTCATTTTACTGCATTTTCTTTCTTCTTTTTCATAGTCATTCTAGTTAAAGATTTGTCAATTTCTTTTCAAAGAAAAGACTTGTGGTTTTGTTGATTCTCTCTAGTGTTTTTTTGCTCTCCATTTTGTGTATCTCTGCTCTTATCTTTATTATCTCCTTCATTCTGCTAGCTTTGTGTTTTATTTTCTTTTTTCTCTAGTTTCTTAAAGATGGCAACTTAGGTTAATGAGATCTTTCTTTTATAATGTCAGTGTTTACACCTATAAAATAGTTTCCATACCCCATTCATTTTTGTATGTTATGTTTTTTTAAATTAAAGTCAAAGTATTTTCTAATTTCCCTGTGATTTCTTTATTGACCACTGGTTGTTTATGAGAGCATTCTTTGGCTGGGCCTAGTGGCTCATGCCTGTAATCCCAGCACTCTGGGAGGCCAAGGCAGGCAGATACTTTGAGGCCAGGAGTTTGAGACCAGCCTAGACAACATGGCGAGACACTGTCTTTACAAAAAATACAAAAATTAGCTGAGCGTGGTGGTGTGCACCTATAGTCCCAGCTACTCAAGAAGCTGAGGTGGGATAATTGATTAAGCCCAGGAGGCGAAGGCTGCAGTGAGCCAAGATTGCAGCACTGCATTCCAGCCTGGGTGACAGAGCAAGACCCTGTCTCAAAAAAAAAAAGAGCATTAATTTTCACATATTTGTGAATTTTCTAGTTTTCCTTTCATTATTGAGTTCTCGTTTTATTCCATTGTGACAGAGAAGCAGAGATGATAGTTTTATGATTGTAATATTTTTTAAATTATGAAGACTTGTTTTGTGGCCTAATGTATTGTCTATCCTGGAGAACATTCTACATGCACTTGAGAAAAATGTGTATTCTGCTGTCATTAGATGCTATTTATGTCTGTTAGATCTAGTTGGTTTATGATGTTCTCAAGTCCTCGATTTCCTTATTGATCTTCTGTCTAAATGTTCCATTTATGACTGGGAATAGAGTATTGAATTCTTCAACTATTAGTGTAAAACTGTATATTTCTCCTTTCAATTCTGTCAACATTTGCTTCATATATTTTAGACCTCTGTTGTTTTGTGCACATATTTCTTGTTATGTCTGCCTGATGAATTGACCCTTTTATTGGTATATTTTTGCCTCTTATAACAACTTTTGACCAAAAGACTGTTTTATCTGATATTAGTATGACCACCCCAGCTCTCCTTTGGTTACTATTTGCATGGACTGTCTTTCCCATCTTTTCACTTTGAACCTTTTTATCTAGAATAAGTCTCTTGAAGATGGCATATAGTTGGAGCATGCCTTTTATGCATTCCTCCAATCTCTGCCTTTGGATTAGAGTTTTTAATCCACTTACACTTAGTTACTGGTAGGGAAAAACTTACTTATGCCACTTTGCTATTTGTTTTCTGTATGTCTTATGCTTTTTTTGTGTCTCATTTCCTTTATTACTGCCTTCTTTTGTGCTTAGTTGATATTTTTTGAGGTGTACCCTTTTGATTCCTTTCTCATTTCCTTTTCTGTGTATTTTATAGATTTTTTATGGTTATGATGGGATTTTAATTAACACCCTACATTTATAACATTCTAGTTTGAACTGATACCAGTTAGCTTCAGTAGCATATAAAAACTCTGTTTCTATACACCTCTCCTCCTCCCTCCCATCTTTATGTTGTTGTTGTCACAAATTGCATCATTATACATTGTGTGCCCATAATACTGTCTTTTTTATTTACATATGTAATTACCTTTTCTGGATTTTTATTTCTTTATACAGCTTCAAGTTACTATCTATGGTCCTTTAATTTCAGTTGAAGGCCTTAGCCTTCACTTTCTGGTTGCACTAAGCCTAGCTGTCAGCCAGAGGGGAAAGTGTAGGCCCTTCAGGTTTTTTCTGAACATGCATCTTGTTTCGGGCATGAATGTAGCTTCTACATTCCCCACTATACTTGGACACTTTTGAATGACCTAATTTCTCAAAGAAACTCTCTCCAGCTTTTCTTCCCAGGCTTTAGGCAATCTGTTTTATGTCTGAACTGTAATTTTTTTGCCCCAGGTGGCTCTGGGTTGTTTGTTTGCCTTACTGCTTGAACATTTGTTAGCTGCTTTTCAGTTCTGAGTGAGTTCAGACTAGGTGAGGAACAAGGGAAAGTGACTTGCATTAGTCCTTCAGGTAGCCACCAGACAAGTTAGAACAGACACACTTTGTTTTTAGAATAAGAATCTGATCAAAAAATGAGGTGTCATACTGAGAGGGCAGGCTGTTGTCTTCAAGACCTATGCTGAGCTGGAGAGGAGGGTGGGGCCAAGGCAAGTCAAAAAGCTGCAAAACTTTCTTCCTGGTTTTGAGTTTCTTTTTTCTTGATTTAATGTTCAGACAATTGATATAAACCTTTGACTGTTTTCCGGGGTTTTGACAAAGTTGATTTTGACAATTTTTCTTGATTTTTTCTTTTTAGATGTTTCCCTGGAGGGATAGGTCTTTGGCTATATCTACTGTACCATTTTTGCTGACATCATTTGGTTTGTTTAATGATGAAAAACATGGCTTATAAGGGATGAAGGGACGCCTAGATGATTTTAAGCAAAAGAGAATACCATGACCAGATATATACTTAAGAAAGATCACCTTGTAGTTCTCTGGAGACTGGGATATTTCCAACCAGCCTTCTCCTAGTGCCGTAATGTTCAAATTAAGTGTCTTTCCAGATTTTTATCAAAATTTTTCATGATAATCAGACTTTAAAATTAGTTATCCAGGAAAATCACTTTGCGAGCTTGCAGGAAGGGTGTTCCTTGAGATGGTAAATATTCTTGCTCCAGATCAGTTGCACACTTTAATTTGTGAAGTAGCAACTTAATATGTGGGCAATTTCAAGTAGCATGCCCCAGTGTGAGTAGCAGCAGTGATTTATTAATTGATTGGTTGATTTTCTCGAGTGATCTGGTAAGGCCAGCTGGTTTTAGGTGATTATGTTATCCCTTTTTTCCTTGGCAGCCAGAGGAACCACAGGAATTGCATTTTGGTGAATGAATTTTATATTCTTCCTCTATCTTCCTCCTTTTGCTGAAACACAAATTGTATTTTGTTGATTTTGATATATACATTTTGGGCATTTTAATATTGATAAAAATGAGATGCATCTTATAATTAATGGGCATGTCATATTATAATTGATAGTACTTTTCTTAGTGTTACATAAGTTAATGATGCATTTTACAATTGATGCTGTCTTAGATTTTAGGAACTCTTAAGTGTTTTAGCTGGTTTTATGCATTTTTGTGAAGTACTTCAAATCCTTTTTGGAATAACATGGATGTATAAATAAATATATAAATAGAAATATGTTTAGTGATTATGCTTATGCCTCAGTTATTCTTAGCCTGGATCACTGAAAGAGCAAATTAGACATGGTTTTTCTTTCTCTTGTTTTCAATTTTGATGTAAACCTTTCCAGGACATTAGATGGAATCAGATCTTCATGGGAGATGGCAAGTAGAAATTGAATGACTCATTGGATAAATTATAATTAATGTAATGGCCCTAGGAATTTTCAGCCTCTCCCCTCTCTGATTATCTATCTCATCTGGCTATTGGCACTTGAGATGTTAAAGTTCAAAGCTCTATTTAGCCAGTTTTGCTGGAAGAGAAAAAGACCGATTTCTTTTCTTTGTCTGGCCAGTTTGAAACACAGGCCTGGACTGATGCCTTGTCTAAACCATTACTTGTGCACCTGCATACTGTAAAGGGAAACTCTGAAATCTTTGCTGCGTTTCACTGTGAGGCTCAGACCACAAAACATGAGGAATGTAACCAGAGTCCAGCTGCAGTGTTCCTCCACCCCCCACTTCTTTCACTGAGGACTGAAAAGTATGTTTTAAAGTGATTTTTGGAATGAAATTCATTAGTCATTGTTATTGTGCTACTTAACTGTCTGGTAGATAATAAATTCAGAATGGATTAGTGAAACAAGCCATGAGTTAGGACCTAGCTGATCAGAGCATATGGCTTTTTCAAGGCCTTAAAAGATGTCTGAAGTTTGTTTTATTCTCAGGAGGAGAAACAGGGGGTGGTATAATTGGCAGGCACTTTTGAAACTTTCTGGCCTGCTCACAACAATACTTTTATAAATCTCTAAAAGATGGTCAGCCATTTTTCTGTTGTAGAATTATTGGAACTTAGAGAAATGGTAATGCTGTTTCCTTGATTTTGTGTACTTATGTTTGTTCCTATGGAGGATCCTGACCTTACCAAAACCCCAAGAGTTGCCCTTTTTACCTGATTGATTCTGATTTCAAGACAGAATTTCTAAAGTATAAAGAAATTGTGATGTGTTCAAAATCAGATAATATTGGGCCAAGATCATAGTCATTGCATGTGGACCTGATTCTCATTAGAGTGGAATGGTCTAACACCTTTTTTGTGACTAGGTGCATAAGGCGGTCATATATCCTATGTATAAAGAGGTTGGCCAAACAGGTCCCCAAGTCTTATGACCTGCGTTTTTTATTATTCTTGCAGCCACATAGACAGGTCAAGAGGATTATGGACCTTCCCGTTCTGCATAGCTAGTTTGCATTTTACC
This sequence comes from Homo sapiens, assembly GCF_000001405.40. NCBI lineage: Eukaryota > Metazoa > Chordata > Mammalia > Primates > Hominidae > Homo > Homo sapiens. The sequence continues at coordinate 76,025,986 of NC_000011.10, forward strand.
AAGAGGGAAGAGACAAAGGAGTTTTCAGAGTAGCAGTGAGCAGGCTGATTCCTTATCTCTGTATTCCCTCAGCCTACCTCTTGGCTGAGCAACACTAACTTGATAAATAAATGAATGAAAATGTCTTTCTGATGGCCTCTTCTTGAAACAATTAGAATACCTTGAGCTTTATTTGTATAAGTAATAAGTTTTCTGTAGAAATAGTGAGTGGCACCCAGAATTTTATTGGTAAAAAGCTTATATTGAAAACATAAATGAAAATTCCAGAACTCTAGTTTTCAGACTGCTGTAATTCTGACTCCTCATTTCTATTATTACCTGCTTCAGGCATACTTAAACACCTGTTGACAACATCTTATATTAAGAATTACATATTCCTTCCTATAAAAATTCTCAGCTTCTGTTTGTTAATCAAGCTATTTTAGTGCAGAGAGTTCAGAAATGATTGTTGTTTTCACTAGATTAGCATCTGTTTGCTTTCATGGCATCCAATTAAATCTGATGGCCTTCTTCCAGAAATGGGGAATTTTCATATCATGCTTAGGCTTAAATGCTATGGCCTTCATTTCCAACTCTCTTCTGTGTATCCTATAAATTAGAACATTTCTTATAACCTTTCATCTTCATTTTATTGTAGGTTGTTGCTCAGATGTTGGCATTTAGAGCACTCAGTAGACCCAGACCCTAAACCTTTAAATTGGATGATAAATACATTGACTTGAGGCAGTGGAAAAGAGTGGACCAAATGCTTTGGTTCTCTATCTTCCTTGCTATGCAACTTTAAAGTATAATTAAGCAAATATTTTTCAGGGTGACTAATACTACTGAAATGAATGAAAATTGTTAGTTCTTTTGGATTTTCCACTTGATTACAGGAATTTGACCTAACTTGAAAAATCTCTGTTCATGTGAAAACTTTCCCAAATGTCTGTAGTCCAATTCTCTATAATTACCTAACAGTACACCATGGAACAGAAATCAAGGTGAAAAAAAAAAAGTCCATGCAGAATTGTAGACTTACTGTGTTTTAGAACCAGTCGGAATATTATTACATCATCTGATTGAACCCTTCATTTCACAAATGGAGAAACAGGTTGAAAGATGAAGTGAGGTCATACAAGTTAACTAAGCATTCATTTTGATATGCCCCCCTGAGGAGAGGCAAGCCCAGAAGATGAAGTGCTAATTATTAAGTTTTGTACTTGTAAAGCAAACATATAGGAGATGGAAGAAGTATTTTTATCAAAATGGGTCTGCACTGGAGCCTGAAATACTCCCTTTTCCTGATTTAGGGAAAGCACTCTTGTAAAGAATGCAGAAATGTGAATCTCTGAATATTAAGCAGTTACTCTGTTACTTTCTCACTGAAAATGTTAATTATTCAAATCACACTTATTAGTTAGTTCATTCGACATTTGTTTTTTCTCTAAAAGGTATGGTGCAAAATGCATCTCTTTTTTTCTCTCTTGCCTCCAATTTAAACTTGACAAAATTTTTGTTTTTTATTTCCAATTATTTTGGACTTTGGGGTCATGTTGGCTTCTCTCTTATTGCTGAGTGACTGTGGCAATGTTCTCCTCTCTGAGTCTTGGTTCTCCTGGCATAGTACCTATGTCACTATGCCACTAGGTTGTTGTAAGGATTAAATAAGCGCAGTGCTTGGCATACAGAAAATGCTTAACAAAATTTTGCAACTACTGTTATGTATACGTTGAGCTTTGCAATAGGAATCCTAGGCATGTAAGTTTTTATTCTGTGTGCTAGATAGAAGATGGGCCTAATAAAGGGCAAGGAATATTAAAAATGTAATCCAGTGGGAAAGTACTGTATTTCCTTTTGTAATAGTGTTGTGAGGTACATCATCTTTAAGTCAATGGTCTAAGTGCAGAGGACTAGTGAAGTTCCCCATAATGCAGGGATAAAAACTGGTGTAGGTCTGAAGGCTTGTCTGTTTACAGGCATACCTCATTTTTTTGCATTTTACATTATTGTGCTTCATAGAGACTGCATTTTTTACAAATTGAAGGTTTGTGGTAACCTTGCATCAAGCAAGTCTGTCAGTGGTATTTTTCCAACAGCATGTGCTCACTTTGTGTCTCTGTCACATTTTATTAACTTTCACAATATTTCAAGCTTTTCATTATTATTATATCTATTGTGGTGACCTATAATCAATGATCTTTCATGTTATTGTTGTAATTATTTTGGGACAATACAAACCACACCAATATAAGATGGCAGACTTAATCAATGTTGTGTGTGTTCTGACTGCTCCACTGACCAGCTCTTCCCCCATCTCTCTCCCTCTCCTCAAACCTCCATAGTCCCTGAGACACAACATTATTGAAACTAGACCAATTAATATAGCCCTATAATGGCCTCTAAGTGTTCAAGTGAAAGGAAGAGTTCCAATATCTCATTTTAAATTAAAAGCTAGGAATGATTGAGCTTAATGAGGAAAGAATGTGAAAAGCTGAGATGGGCTGAAAGCTAGGCCTCTTGTGTGAAAGAGCCAAGTTGTAAATTCAAAGGAAAAGTCCTTGAAAGAAATTAAAAGTGCTACTCCAGTGAACATACAAATGATAAGAAAGTGAAAAGACTTATTGCTGATATGGATAGAGTTTTAGTGGTCTGGATAAAAAAGTCAAACCAGCCGCAACATTCCCATAAGCCAAAGCCTAATCCAGAGCAACGACCTAACTTTCTTCAGTTACTTGAAATCTGAGAGAAATGAGGAAGCTGCAGGAGAAAAGTTGGAAGCTACAGAGGTTGGTTAATGAGGTTTAAGGAAAGAAGCCATCCCTAGAACACAGAAGTACAAGGTGAAGCAGGAAGTGCTGATAGAGAAGCTGCAGCAAGTTATCCAGAAGATCTAGCTAAGAGTATTGATGCAGGTGGCTACACTAAACAACAGATTTTCAAGGTAGACAAAAATAGCCTTCTGTTGGAAGAAAATGCCATCTAGGACTTCGATAGCTGGAAAGGAGAAGTCAATGCCTGACTGCAAAGATTCAAAGGAAAAGCTGACTCTTTTATTAGGGGCTAATACAGCTGCTAACTTTAAGCTAATGCTCAGTGACCATTCTGAAAATCCTGGGGCCCTTAAGAATGATGCTAACTATACTCTGTGTTCTATAAATGTAACATCAAATCCTATATGACAGCACATCTGTTTACAACATGGTTTATTGAATATTTTAAGGCCCCTGTTGAGACCTACGGCTCAGAAAAAAATATTCCTTTCAAAATATTACTGTTCATTGAAAACACACCTGGTTACCCACAAGTGCTGAATGGAAGTTGTCTTCATGCCTGCTAACATAGTATCCATTCCGCAACCCATGGATGACTTTTAAGTCTTCTTATTTAAGAAACACATTTCATCACATTTCATAAGACTGTAGCTGCCATACATAGTGATTCCTCTGATGGATCTGGGCAAAATCAATGGAAAACTTTCTGGACAGTATTCACCATTCTAAATGCGATTCAGAATATTCATGATTCATGGGAGGAGATAAAAATATCAGCATTAACAGAAGTTTGGAAGAAGTTGATTCCAACCCTCATGGATGATTTTGAAGGGTTCAAGACTTCAGTGGAAGAAATAACTATTTCATGATAAAAGTTTAACAATGAGGAGTTGCATCTTATGGATGAGCAAAGAAAGTGGTTCCTTGAGATGGAACCTAATTCTAGTGAAGATGATGTAAAAAAAGGATTTAGAATGTTACATAAACTTAGTTGACAAGGAAGTGGCAGGGTTTGAGAGGAAGGATTGACTCCAATTGTAAAAGAAGTTCTACTGTGGGTAAATGCTATCAAACAGCATTGCATGCTACATGAAAGGCAAAGTCAATTGATGCCAAAAACTTCATTGTCTTATTTTAAGAAATTGTCACAGCCACTCCAACCTTCAGCAACCACCACCCTGATTAGTCAATAGCTATTGCCAAGTAGGCAAGACCCTCCACCAGCAAAAACATTATGACTCTCTGAAGGCTCAGATGATCATTAGCATTTTTTAGCAATAATATGTTTTTAAACTAAGATACGTACGTTGTTTTAAACTATATATTTTGTATTTTCTTTAATTTTTTCCATGAACACATGTTCAAAGATATTTTTAAAACATAATGCTATTTTCATATATACTGGGAAACAAAAAAAAAACTGTATGAGTCACTCTTTATTGAGATACTCACTTTATTTATTTTTATTTTTATTTGTAGAGAAAGGGTGCCGCTATGTTGACCAGGCTGATCTCAAACTCCTGGCATCAAGCGATACTTCTCTCTCACCCTCCCAAAATGCTGGGATTACAGCTGTGAGCCACAACACCCGGCCAAGATACTAACTTTTCTGCAGTGGTTTGGGACCAAACCCACAATATATCCAGTGTATGTCTGTACTTCAAATAGGCCGAGAGTTAACTGTCTACAGTCTGCTAAGTAGTCACGTAAGCATGTGTGCCTTGGAAGATACGGGTTAGTGAATGCTGAAGCCCTTATTCTTACAAGGAATGCAGAGCATTTTCAAACTAAATAGTTCTCACCCTGGCCCACTATTTACTTTTTTAGTCATATCCCCAGGTTCCTTCCCAGTTCGTAACCTATGCTTCAGTCAGACTGAACAATTGGTTGTTTTCCAAACACATCACAGTATTTCCTACCTTGATACTCATTGTCCATGCTATTCTATTTGTCTGGAATGCCCTCCCTAGCCATCTCTAGCATCAAAACTGTGCTTGTACATGAAGCCCTCCCTTATTATCAAAACTTTCATCGTAAGCTCTTTCTTGATTTCCCATAGTTTGGTAAACTGTAATTCTTTTGGATTCCTGTGAACTATTCTCTCTATATAGTATCACAGAAATGAAGTTCTTTATATGTACTTTAATTTAATAACAGCCCAACTCAATGATGCAGGTAGTGTATTTGAGTTATTTATCCTTGTCTGAAATATTTTCAGGGTAGAAACTGCATCTTACTTGGTGTCAGACTTCCCTGACTTGCAGAGAGGCTTGTATTTTGTAGACACTCAATAAATATTTCTTGAATTAGGAGAGTAAAAGGAACATTCAGTTTTTGCAAATTCTATTAGGTAATCTGACACTCTACTCTGTGACCCATTGTTTTAACTCTGGATGCTCTGGCCAGGACAATCATTATTTCATAGAGTCCCTTGGGACTGTGGCAAGCTATTAACTTCTGTGCTGTTGTAATCCAAGGCACAGGCATCAGCACTGATGGGGTTATGTTCAGGGGTGTGAGCAAAGAACATGTTTTAAAATAAGGAATCCCCATGGAAATTCAGGCAGTAAAGATCAACAAAATAAAAATGCAGAAGGTGGCTGCTGGGTGAGACAGGAAATGAACACCTTGTGAAGATTAGGCATTCCGCTGAGAGAGGAGAAATGTGGAAAATGAGTCAAGAGAAATTGTGCAGCTATTTCATCACTGACACTTGGAGGTATATTGTTGTGTGTGTTGTTTTTAATGAAGTGTGCTTTTATAGTGCTGATGTTATTATCTGGATGAGGAAGTCTTCTCTAGTATTACTGTCATCTCAGCTTTCTGTAACCAACTAAATTAAAATACAGTAATGTAATGGGACAGTGGGATAAGAAAGAAAACCAGATGACTCTGACATGTGACCCCAACCTGAACTTACTGCTTTTCTAGTTTTCGGTATACTCAAATAAAAATAGAGTCCAGTGTAATGCTTGCAGGGGCTGGGGGGACTGGACAGAGGAATAATATATTTAGTTAATAGTGGGGTATGTCCCACATTCAATACTGTTACATTATTAATATATGTGAAATCAGTGTTTCTCAACAGGACTCCCAACACATCAGTGAGCGTGCCAGTAGTTCATGGACTATTTGCAGTCCATTATTATTTATCATAGGACAGCATAGATGCTTTGTGTTCTGATATGAAGTAATCATTGAATTTAATAAAGCTTTATTTTATTGGTGTTGCATGAAAGTAGCTCTGTTCTTTTCTTTAATTCTTGTATGTTTGAATTTTTTGGTAAGCAAAGAATGGGAGAATGAGGGTAATTATATCAAGCCAGAGAGTTTGCAGTAGGTAATTTGGGGGAATATTTTGGTTTCCTGACAAAAATGAATGGAAGGAAAGAGTAAAAATTATTTTTAGGTAGATGTGAAATTATTTTAACTTCCAAAAGCATCTCATAATAGTTCTCTAGACAGTTTTCTAAGGATAATAACATTTATGTCCTGGGTAATGGTATCATTATAAAACAAATTTATGTCACTCTTTAATCCAGATAGTTTTAACTACCATATTTTTATACCTCTCTTTTGGATGATTTACAATTATTAAGGATGATCACCAAAAGTAGTTTCTGAATCAGATTAAATGATCAATTAGTTTTTAATAGTTGCTTTTCTTCTCTAATTCATTGAAAATGAAAAACTGATATAACATTTAATTCATATATAGTTAAATCATAAGAGAGTTCAGTTGTAAGAGGGGACATCGCAAGAAAGCCAACCATGTTTATTGAGCACTAGGACATACTAGTCACTGCACAAGATGCTAGAATTAGGTAAAGTTACCTGGCTCTGAACTGGCATCAGGATGCACAGCAAGTCAGCAGAGTCATTCTCCACATAATAAGACCCATGCTAGAGATCAGCACAGGGTTGGGTTGCAGGTAGTCAGCAGAGGCATGCTTGATGAGATGGCCCCTAAGCATCTGAGCTGCTGAGTATGGAATAGGATTAGGAGCTGTCCAAGTGACCCAGATGTAATGAAACACGTACACTGGCACAAAGCAGATAATACACCTTTCCATGGACCAAAGCCTCCACTTTCTCACCTTGCCTCATAAGTGAATTCACTTTACACTGCTGAACAGTTAACATTGAGACATGTATAAGAGAAGAGTATTAATATTTAGTCTAAGTATAAATTAAACTTACCTTCAAAGATGATTAGCTTTAAGTGGTTAATATTAAAATACATTTGTTCAAAGGATAGAAACCTATCTATAAAGTATTTTTGATCACGGATTGGTTGTAATAAATATATGACTAATTTGATTTAAACAGAGTTTCTTCCACATGTAACTATCTAACAGAGATAAGCCATGTTGGCTTTTAAATAATAAAACTTGTATATTCTAAATTAGGAAAGGAAAAATCATGGCTTTCCTGTTTCACTCTTCTGAAAGAACTTTGGCATCAGATACACCTTGAACCAGTTTATTCCACCTCTCTAGCCTCAGAATACTCTTTTGGAAAGCAAAAATAATGGCTTCACAGAAAGGTGGAGAAGAATAGAGAGAATTTATATAAAATGACCTTTGCATATAATAGTCACTCAGTAAATATTTGTATACTGATAAATGAACCTAGTAGTCACGATATTAATTTTTCCCTTCTAGTTGAATTTATCTTATATTATTCCAGTAGAAATGAGACTCATAAGTTTTTAGAATTTGAAAAATCCTTGGCTTTGAATTTAGAAAGGATTTCTTAACTAAATCACAGAAACAAGACCATATTATGAGAAATGGTCTATAAGTTTGATTTAAGAAAAAAAAACCTTGTCTATAATTCATAGCTTTTAGATTAACTAAATGTCAGGATCCAGAATATATATTTTTAAAACCTTTATTTATAAACAAGTAAAGGAGCAATCAACCTAATAAAAATATGGACATAATATATGAAGAAGCTGTTACAGAAGAACAAACCCTAGATGTTTAATAACATAAGAAAAATACTCAGCCTCACTAATAATCAGGAAATGCATGTTAAAACCAGAAGGAGATGCCATTTTATATCCATCAAACTGGCAAAAATTAGAATGTCTATTTAGTACCAGATTTAGTGAGCACATAGAGGAAGAGAAACTCTCATCCTTTGCTTGTGAGAGTTTCAGTTCATTTGTTTCAGAAAGCAGTTTAACAATACAGTTAAATCTGCAGGAACCCCACTCAACCTAAGAACCTCAATCCTGGTTATATACTAGTCTGTTGAGTAGCTGTTACATATATGCATCCTACAAATATTTATTATGTCTGTATTATATAGATATTTAAACCTTATATCTTAGTTACCATTATTGTGTTTTGGAATTATTCATAATTATATAGCTAATATTTAATTGTTTTAAGAGCCTGTGTCCTCTTGTACTATCCCTTTCAGAGCCATTATTTCTGTGCAACATTATTTTCTGTCTATTTCTATTTTTTTGAAACAAGGTCTCACTCTGTCACTCAGGCTGGAATGCAGTAGTGTAGTCATAGCAGCTTTGACCTCCTGGTCTCAAGCACATCTCCCACCTCAGCCTCCCGAATACCTGGGATTATAGTCTTATGCCAGCATGCCCAGCTATTTTTTCTAATTGTATTTTTTTGTAGAGATGAGTTCTCCCTGTGTTGCCCGGGCTGGTCCTGAACTCCTGGGCTAAAGTGATTATCCCGCCTTGGCCTCCCAAAGTGCTGGGATTACAGTCGTGAGCTACCCGCACCTGGCCCATTATTTTATTTAACGTTTTTTTAAAGGCTACTTTTTAAAAGTCTAGGATATATGTTTCTCTGTACCTAGCTTCTTTCTTTTTATTAACATAAGGTCAATGTGGGTGGTTACTTTTTTCTTATAATTCATGTCATTTTCATACACCAGTTCTGGCTTCTTGATTGGTTTTAATTTTATAGTAGCAGTTTGCCATATTTCCTTTTGAGCAAAGACTGGTGTTAATAATGCCTAGAATTTTGAGTGCTATTCATTTATATTATTGGAAACCTTTAAAAAGACTTACAAAAGCATTAATTCTTCCCATGATGCTCATTAGTTACTCCCATTAATATAAATGATGGCTCCCAGGTTCATGATGTGGAGAGTCTAGTGATGAAATACTAGAAGTATTAACTGTAGCTAGTTATGGGAATTTACTGTTGTAAATTAATTAAACACACCAATAAGCAACGGAAACTTTTTATTATTTTAATTTGTATAAATATAAGGTTGGTAAGCTAATGAGAAGTGGCAGGTCTCTTGGAGTTGATTGACACCTATACTTAAACTCTTTTAAATGTGTAGATGACGAATTTATTGAGACAACTTCTGTTGTAAGATGTTCCATACAGCGAATATTTATTTTTGAGTGTGTAGTACACAATTTTGTCATTTCCAGCTTTAAAAACTTAGTTACTAGGAGAAAAACTTTTTAGAAGCCACCTCCTAATATTGAATTTGCTGAGTCATGTTCTGTGTGAGAGATATAAGAATTTTGTATTATATTCTGGTTTCTGTATTGGTGGTTTCTGTATAAATCACAAAATGGGAGGTTCATAGTTGCTTAGAAGGAATTTGGTAAATAGCATGTTATTTCACTCAGCAATTTCTATGAGAAAATGATAGATAGTATTCCTTTCTAAGATGATGCAGTTTGGTTTAAAGAAATTTCCTTTTCTATTTTTGTATTATTTTAATTGGAAACTGCCCTGTTTTGTAGTATGCAATTTGGAATAGACACTTAACTCAGTTTTGTATTATTAAATACTAATTCAAAATCAAGAGTCACAGTCTCAGAATGATAAATATACAAATGAACCTGTTCACCTATTCATGCATTCATTAAATGTTTAATTAGTACATAGTATGTGACAGGTATTGTTCTATTGATAGGTCTTTGTGATTTAGTAAAGAACAGTAACAACAATTAAAAATGTTCTGTCTTTAAAAGAAATGGACAGTTTAAAGTAAATTCTGTAAATACTGCTGAATATCTACCATATGAATATACTTCATGCCATATATTTTTATGAAACAGACTAAGAAAGTGAGCATACTATCAGCTTATTATCTAGTTTCAGAGATAACAAAAATCGCCTTGTTTCATGCCTTTTATTTAATAACACTCCTTTCTTTACCTGGCATGCCCTTGTCTCATGAGTAAATACATTGCAAGATTCATTAGGTATCCCTAGGGGTAGAAAGAAGTACAATCTGATTTTAAGCAAAAATAAGGTTGGTTCATAGGTGGTTTGGGACCTGTCTCAAGTGTCAATTTGTCATTAAGAGTAAAGGCTCGATAATTGACTGGAAAGAGCTTTTTAAAGTTTCAGGATCAACTTAAAATTTACTTTGCTCAGAATATCTATTTAATGTTTAGTTCTCACTCCTGCAAAAATATACTAAATCAGGATCTAGTTGTTTGACAAAACTGAAGCAAAGGAACAGTGAGTAGTGTTTATCCTCTCAACTAGCCAATGAAATGAAAGGTTAAAACGTTAAATTAGGCTGGGCACGGCAGCTCATGCCTGTAATCTGAACACTTTGGGAGGCCAAGGCTGGAGGATCACTTGAGCCCAGGAGTTTGAGACTTCAGCCTAGGCAACATACTGAAACCCCATCCCTAAAAAAATAGAAAGATTAACCAAGTGTGATGGCACCCAGCTACTGAGGAGGCTGAAGTGGGAGGATCACTTGAGCCCAGGAGGTCAAGGCTGCAGTGAGCCATGATCCTGCCACTACCCGACTTCAACTTGTGCAATAGAGTGAGACCCTGTCTCAAAAAAAAAGAAAATTAAATTAGAAATACCATGCATGATTCATTGTCATGAGTTTCAAATGTGGATGTGCATAAAAGAAGTTATGGGACATGGAAAATGATTGAGAGGTGTCAACATATATCTAAGGGGAATTCTAGGAATAAAGATTAGAAGACATGGCAAGAAAGAAATATTCAAAACATGGTGGCTGAGTTAAAAAAAAAAACACAGACAATATTAAGAACAAAAAAAGGAGACACATGTGCCACACAGATTGAAAACTCATAAGAACATACTGTGAACAGTTTTTAAAAGGTAGGTGGAATAGTCTTTTTTAGAAAAAAATATAAAATAACAAAATTGATCCAAAAAGAAATGGGAAAACTGAATAGGAGCTGCTTCCAGAGTATAGTAGCATAGATATCTTGACCAACACTGAAACTGCTTGAGAAAAACAAATTCTTTAATTATATTTATTAGTTCACAAGAAAATAAAGAATACTTAGGTCAAAAACTGAGTAAAGGCAAGAACCTAAAGAAATAAGGTGAACACTGAAGCCAGCTTTTTCCTTGAAGGCATTTAATAAACTGAATAAGTGTGAATTTGATAAAACAACCTGAACAGGACAATAGAAGAAAACAAAAGTTATAGACAAATATCTTTCATACTAAGTTGCCACTTTTGTATGAAAGACATACAAAACAAAACATATGCAAGCTGAATCTGGCAATTCAGGAATGAGTCAATGGCTCAGCATTTAAAAAGCTTTCCACATAACTCACCCATTAACAGATTAAGAAAAATATCATATCATTTCAATAGATACAAAAAAAGCATTCAATAAAATTAGATACTTATTTAGAAAGGCAATATACGTTTTGATTAGGAACATACATTCTCAGCAGGGCGCAGTGGCTCACGCCTGTAATCCCAGCACTTTGGGAGGTTGCAGCGGGCAGATTGCTTGATCCCAGGAGTTAGAGACCAGCCTGGGCAACATTTCAAGACTTTGTCTTTACAAAAAAAAAAAAAAAAAAAAAAAATCAGCTGGGCGTGGTGGCATACCTGTAAGTCCCAGCTACTCAAGAGGCTGAGGTGGGAGAATCACTTGAGCCTGGGAGGTTGAGACTGCAGTGAGCTGTGTTCACACCACTACACTCCAGACTGGGTGAAAGAGCAAGACCCTGTCGCAAGGAAAGGGGTGGTGGGGGCGGGTACTTAAATTCTGGAACCAGATAATGAGAGTTTGAATCCAGACTGTTATTTAGTGTAAATGGTAGGCAGAATTTGAAACAGCACTCAAGATTCCCATTATCCTGGTGTACATGTCCGTATAAATGTCTTCCCCTTCAGTGTGGGCAAGACTTGTGAATATATAGTCGGCCCTCTCAATCTGCAGATTCAACCAGCCACGGATAGAAAATATTTAGACAAAAACAAACAAAAGGTAACAATACAAAAATTTTAAAAATACAGATTTTTTTTTTATTTTCAAAGTATTTAGGAATTCTTTAATTAGAAAATTAAAGGCAATGGGATTATCTATTGGTTCTAGAAGTACCCATGAATTAAATCACTTACATCTCCCACTTAAAAAACAAAACAAAACCTTAAATCACATTGCTGTTAAGCTTTCATACAGTAAGAAATAAGACCAAGCTATGCTGGAGTACAAAAACCTGAAATTGTGAGCATGAAAATAATTTATTGATTAGACATCTTGCTTACTCAAGCATTAGGTCTACTGGAGATAGAATTAACACAGTTCATGAAAATGGAAAAAAATTCCATTCAGCACCTGCTTCCTTTCAAATTTCCTGGGGACATGGTTTATGCAAAAAAAAAATACAAATTGCAAAAAAAATACAAATTTAAAAACAACAGACATAACTATTTACATAGCATTTGCATTGTATTAGGTATTATAAGTAATTTAGAGATAATTTGAAGTATACAGGACTTATGTACATAAGTTATATTTGTAGGTTATATTAAAATACAAATTTTATATCAGGGGCTTGAGCTTACTTGGATTTTGGCATCCACAAGGGTCCTGGAATCAATCCTCCACAGATACTGAGAGATGAATGTAATAGAATTTTCCTCCCATGATTAAGGTTCCCAACCATTTGACTTTGAGTTAATTTAAAGCAAAATTATCTGTGTAGGCTTGGCCTAATCAAGTGAACCCTTGAGAGCCAAGAAGCAGTAGCAGATGCTCTTCTGCTAGCCCACAAGAAAGCAAACAGAACTCCTCATGGAGGGAGCCATGTGGCTAGGACCTGAGGGTGGCTCCTAAGAACTGGGAGTGAAATATGGCTGACAGCTAGCAAGGAACTAGCTCAGCCCTACCACCACAAGGAACTCAATTCTGCCAACAACCTGAATGAGCTTGGAAGATGACCCTGAGCTACACATGAGAAGCCTGGCCAACACCTTGATTTTAGATTTCTTAGATCCTGAGCAGAGAACTCATTTATACTGTGCCTAGAGTTCTGACCTACAGAAACCATGAGATAGTAAATGAGTGTTTTAAGCTGCTAAGCTTGTTTTATTTTTTAAAGCAGTCATAGAAAACTAATATATTGTGTGACTTTGGACAAGTTACTTGATCACCCTATGTGCCTTACTGTCATTGTTAAATGGAGAGATAACAGCACCCACTTCATAGGGTATCTAGGTGGATTAAATGAGTGAATACATGGAAAATATATGTGGTACTTGGTAAAGCATCAAATGTTGGCCAATAATAGTAGTAGTGGTTGTTATAAGAACTCATTGTAAAGTAGAAAATGAAAGGAATTTCCTTAAAATGCCAAAAGATGATTATCACAAACCTATAGCAAGCATTAGACTTAATAGTGAAACTTTGTAAGGACTCCACTAAAATCAGAAGGCACATAAGGATGCCAGTTGTCTTTACAATAAAATATTGTATTTGTGGCCCTGGCCAATAGAATTATATGAGAAAAAGAAATGAAGTTTACATATTTGAAAAAAGGGAAAAAAAGCTTACAAACTGAAAATGAATACAATACAAGCACCTAGCAATATGGTTAATAAAAAGGGTGAGGCCAGGCGCAGTGGCTCACACCTGTAATCCCAGCACTTTGGGAGGCTGAGTCAGGTGGATCACCTAAGGTTGGGAGTTTGAGACCAGCCTGGCCAGCATGGCGAAACCCTGTCTCTACTAAAAACACAAAAATTAGCCGGATGTGGGGGTGGGCACCTGTAGTCCCAGCTACTTGGGAGGCTGAGGCAGGAGGATCGCTTGAACCCAGGAGGCGGAGGTTGCAGTGAGCCAAGATTGTGCCACTGCACTCCAGCCTGGGCAATGAGAGCAAAACTCTGCCTCAAAATTTTAAAAAATAAATAAAAAGGGTGAAAGACCTTTATCAAAGAAAAATATAAAACATTATAAAAATGATAGTGAAAAACACAAAAGTTCTGAATAAATGGATGCACACACATATATACATACCTTGTTTAGCTATGCCTTATGCTTCTCTGATTTGGCATAATACTATTTGTATATATATTTTTAAGTTGTTTTTGAATTTGAAATAATTCATTGCAGTATATTGTAAATCTTTTTTTCCCTGGGCATTATCAAGTGTTCTCTGCCTATAGCCAAGTAGAAGAACTTTGACCCATAAAGACTAACTAAAGTATGCAAATAACAGCACTAGATCTGCAGCAAAGAAGTAGAAGAAGCGGCCGGGCATGGTGGATCACGAGGTCAGGAGATCGAGACCATCCTGGCTAACACAGTGAAACCCCGTCTCTACTAAAAATACAAAAAATTAGCCGGGCATGGTGGCGGGCGCCTGTAGTCCCAGCTACTTGGGAGGCTAAGCCAGGAGAATGGTGTGAACCTGGGAGGTGGAGCTTGCAGTGAGCCGAGATCACACCACTGCACTCAGCCTGGGCGACAGTGTGATACTCCATCTCAAAAAAAAAAAAAAAGGAAAGAAAGAAATAGAAGATGCACAACACACTGGATTTTTGGTTTTTTGTTTGTTTGTTTGTTTTGTTTTGTTTTTTGGTTGGGGCGGGGACGGAGTTTTGCTCTGTTGCCAGGCTGGAGTGCAGTGGCGCGGTCTCGACTCACTGCAACCTCTGCCTCCTGGGATCAAGCAATTCTCGTGCCTCAGCCTCCCGAGTAGCTGGGATTACAGGCACGCGCAACCACACCCGGCTTAATTTTTGTATTTTTAGTAGAGACGAGGTTTCACCATGTTGGCCAGGATGGTCTCGATCTTCTGACTTTGTGATCCGCCTGCCTTGGCCTCCCAAGGTGCTGGGATTACAGGTGTGAGCCACCGGGCCTGGCCAACACACTGGATTTTAAAATGCAAGTGTTAAGTGGAAATAGAAAACACGGTAACAATCAGCAGACAAGGAGGGTTTGGTTGAAGTTACTTGACAATAAGAAGAATATCATGCACATTACTGCAACCCTAGAAAGACTGATTAACAATTATATGAAAGTATATCAGAAATGAGTTTGTGAGTGAAAATTTTAGCACATAAATAGCAAAAAAAGAAAAAAAATTCCAATGCAAGAACCCTTAGGGAAAATGGTTAAAAGACAAACCACTCAATTAAAAAATTATCAAAGGGTATTGTATCAATCATGTTTCAGTCAGAAAAGCAGAATTAGTGTGAATATTATGGTCTGATGGATTTATTGGGACAAGATCGTACGCAATTGTGGAAGAAGCTACAGAAATAAGAGTGCAAAAGCAGGGCTTGGAGATCAGAGAAAAGTCACTACCCCAGCCCTTCTGAAGCTCTGGTGCAGGTAGACAACTCAGGCAAAGAAGTAGGAAGTGAGGTATATCCAGCTGCTGCGTGGAACCCCAGAGGAGAGCAGGTGGAGACATCTATGGAAGGCTGTTGCCACTGCATCTGATAGTGGGAAGGGAGTTGGTATTGGTCAGCAGGGCCAGCAGCTGGGAAGAAGAGCTAGATGCAGAATGGAAGCACAGACACCAAATGGAATCTGCAAGCAGCCTTGCATCTGTGGATTACTGTGTCTAACACCATGCCCTGCCACCATGCCAGTGTAGTGGCTGCTGCCATGGCCAGTTATTATCTTTGGAAGACAATGAAGTGAATTCTATCTTCCAAATCTTACCCAAATTTATCTTTTGTTCATCTGTAACCTGGATCCATATAGGCAGTCGTCTTCTGGTAAATACTTCCAGCTTAGCCAGGTTGACACAGTTAAAAAATTACAGTGGATATAAACAGGCCTTATATTATATTCTAGTAATACAAAGATTAATAGCAATAATAGTAATCACTCAGAAAATTATAGTTGCTCTTGCGATCTTTCAGGTACTGTTCTACACGTGAATTGTCACAAAAGCAGTATGAGATTAATGATATTATTATCTACATTATATTCACAAATTGTGTCACAGAGAGTTCAAGAAAAAATACTTCCAAGACTACATGTTGTTCTCTAGGGTTAGCAGTACCAACAATTTGTCAGAATCTAGTAAAACGGTTTCGAGTACATACTGTTTAGAAGTTTGTCCCCTAGAGAAACTTGCTCAAAGGAGGGCATATAAAGATGTTTAGTACATCATTACTTGTACTGGTGAAAAAATTAGAAACAACCTAAATCCCCTTTAGTAAGGGAGTGGAGAAATAAAATATTGAACATCCATAAGATGGAATACTAATCAGGAGTTCAAAGGAATATTTTAGATACACACACAGACAAAAATAGCTTTCAGAAAACACTATGGAGTGAAAAAAAGTAAGTTGCAGAATGGTACGTATGGTTCATTGTTTTTCATAGAAACACTTGTATTTTAAAAGTATAAAAAGCAGTAAACACAGATATTAACCAAATTATAAAAGGAGTGGCTTGTGGAGAGAAGATATGACAGGTGCTGTTGGTTACCTAACCATGGTCATTCCTGTTTCTCAAGAGGTCCCTATTGTTAGTAATTAACTCTCTTCTTGGGTATGTGGAAAGTGGGTTCCAGTCTCAGTGCCAGGGAGTGAACTACAATTGGCTTTTTACTAATCATGTGATCCCACTGCACTCAACAGTGATGGATTTAGGAGTTGATTCACAATTCTGGCCAGTTCTATGGGGTACTGCTGGGAATAGTTTTATGCACTAAGACAGACACGTGGCTGTGATGCTGGTAATATTCAATTTCTTGGTCTGGGTGCTGGTTTCATAAAAGTATTAATTCTGTGAACATTAAGGGAGTTTGCCCTTACCTATCTGTATGTTATACATTAATAAAAAGTTTATATATTAAAAAAGACACACAGGAGAAAAGTCTGCCATTTTCTACTAGATGTCTCTACAGATGAGAGCTGATTGTGTACCAACCATCCTGTGATCATGAATGGGCCTTGCCCAATTTTCTAAGGATGGCAGAGTGGAAAGATGGGAAGACCTGGGTCCCAATTAATGTAATAAAGTTTCTGAGTTAGCCATTTCTTTTTCTTCTTTGAATCAGTGATTTGGTTTTTCTGTCACTTGAGGTTAAAATGATCCTAACTAATGGAGGAAGGGGGAGTCCCTGAATTGGTAAACAAAGAAGGCTCACTTGATCTGTAATGTTTTATTTATTTTAACTAAAAAATAATATCTGTTGTCAACTCTGCGTAGTGAGTATGTAGGTCATTATTCTCTAATTTTAAAATGAAGTGGGTAGTATTATTTAAACTGTTCTTTAATTTTTTTTAAAAAAAGGAAGAAAAAGTATCAGATGAGTTGTTGCTCATCAGGAACAAAAATGAGGGAGTGATTATTTTAAGTTGAGGGGCAACTGGGAAATAATATTTCTCAGCAAATGAATCAAAAGCCAATTTGTTTATATTCATTTAATAAATACTTAGTGGGCTTTTACTGTGTATAAGCTACTGTGACATTCTGTTTGGACCTATATTTGAAATCACTAGGTTTTTGTAAAGAACATCTTGATATATTGGTATGTGTCTTCAATAGGAAGTTATATGTTCTAGAGGACACCCATATGTCTGGGTTAAAGTCTGTATTTTAAATTAGAGTGTCTCTAGTAGTATATTCAAATTTGGCAAAAAACTTATGTAAGTATTTTTGTATGATACAGAAACATATGTTTCCATCATTTAGCTAAGTAAAATTCATAAAACAAATTATTCTTATGTCTAGTAGAAGTGTACATAGAATTCTGACTCCCAAGTTTGTATTATTTCTTGAGATAGTAACCATGCTCAACCCTCAAATTATGACATACATATGTATGTGTTCCAAGATACAATAATTTAAAGAAAGTCTTTGGTTAAAAATACACACTGTGGTGTAAGACCTGAGTTAGAATCCAGCTCTTTGTCACCTTAACCCTGGGCAAGTTACTTCTCTAAGCTTCAGTATGGGGAATAGTGTCATTGTGGAGTTTGTATGTAATGGAAACCTCAAATTAACAATGACTTAAATAAAATTTTATTTTCAGGCATAAAAATCCAGGGATCAGTAATCCAGGGCTGGAGTGGCAGTTCCGTAAATGCTTCAGGAAATGCAGGCTGCTTCAAGGTCTCTGCTCTGCCATCCCTGGATTGTGGCCCTCATGGTCCAAGATGGTTGTTGGAATGTCAGTCATTATGTAGCCAACAGGAAGTGGGCATTCCTCCCTCCTCTAAGGACTCCTCTAAGGACCTCTGTAGGAGGTTGAGAAATGTCTTTTTTCTAAGTGGCTTTTAAACTTCAGGGGTTCTGTTAACAACAGAAGAAGAGAATGGGCATTGGGGCACAATCAGCAGTCTCTGTCACAGGGTTGTTTTAAGAATTAACCAGTACATATAAAGCCCAGCACACAGAGCCTGACATGGAAACAAAGGCTGCTATTTTAATCACTAGTAGTAAATGTCAAACTTCTGACTGAACAAATGTGCTTATCTTTTCTCACCAAAATGCCAATGAAATAACAGTATACGGATTAAAATTTAAAAAGCAGGCCAGGCGCCGCGGCTCACGGCTGTAATCCCAGCACTTTGGGAGGCTGAGGCGGGCAGATTGCCTGAGCTCAGGAGTTTGAAACCAGCTTGGGCAACACAGTGAAACCCTGTCTCTACTAAAATATCAAAAACATTAGCCGGGCATGGCAGCATGTGCCTGTAGTCCCAGCTACTCGGGAGGCTGAGGCAGGAGAATTGCTTGAACCTGGGAGACGGAGGCTGTAGTGAGCCGAGATTGTGCTACTGCACTCCAGCCTAGGCTACGGAGCGAGACTCCATCTCCTAAAAAAAAGAAAAAAGAAAGAAAAAAAATTTTAAAAAGCATAAGTAAGGAACAGGAGAGGCAACCTCCAGAGCAGAGAAACTGTGAAATCAACAAAATTGTGAGAACTGAACAGCAGGTGAAAGTAGCAATTGACGTAGCAGACTGGAAAAATGAAAATCTAAGAGCTCGCAAGGGGGAAGGTTAAGAAGCAAGCTGATTCATGCTGCAGAAGTCCAGAAAGTCTCAGAATTGGAGGCCAGGAGTCTTTGAAGGTGAGTCGGGTATGTCTGGAAGTCTGTATTAGAAGCCAGTATACCCTGACAACCTCTCTCAGGCAACTACCTTTCACTTCACCAGCAGAAAACCTGATGTTTACTCTAGAGAGGTCGAACTAGACTAATGCTGGATTCAGAGACAGCTAGCATAACTGAGGGCAGAGGTGCCAGCTGAAAAAAGGAATTGATTGTACATATAAGAACGTGGAAAACTGATCCAAGAGAAGATACATACAGCTTCTTAGAGTTGTACATCTCCATATGAAATTTCCAGTTCTCTGCTAATAACCCCAGAGTGAAACCTGCCTTTTGGCCAGTTCTGTCAATGCACATCTTTCAATATGTGTGCTCTTTAGTGCCTTGCTTTTAAAAATGATTAACCAAAGAATTACCAGACATTTGAGGAAACTTGAGAAGCCAAAATCATGAAAAAGAAATGTGGAGGAAAGAAAGAATATAGGGATAAATAAAAATCAATAGTTTGTTGGGATTTTTTTTAGGAGACTTTAAATAATATCCTCAGAGAGACAAGGGAAAGTACTATGTCCAAGAACAAAAACAAGATGATATAAAAATGAACATTTAGAAAAGATGAAGCGTGGCAAATTAAAATGAAGGAAGTGTTTTAAAAATTCAACAGAATGCTGGAGGTAAAGTTGTTTTTCTCTTAAAAAAAAAAAAAAAGCCGGAGATCAAAGATAAGAAAGAAAAGATAAGAAATTAGAGGATTTCCTCAAATATTTGATGATCCAACAATCCAGATAGCAGTGAGTACAAAAAAGAAACAGAAAAGGGAAGGTAGGAAGTTATCCAACAAATAATAATGCAAGAAAATTCTAATAATTAAAATACTTGATTTCAAATGGAAAGAGTCGAGCCCAGTGAGTGCCTAGCACAATAACATTTTAAAAGCCCACACTAAGGTACATCACTGTGAAATTATGGAATTCTAGAGGTAAAGTGAAGATTCTAAAAGCTTGCAGAGAAAAAAAAATACATACAAAGGAATAGGAGTCATAATATCCGACTCCTCAAAGGCAGCACTGAAAGTTAGAAAGCAATGGAACAATCCTTCAAAGTACTGAGGGAAAATTATTTCTATAACCTATATTTAAATCAAGCTATCAGTCAAATAAAAGGGTAGAAAAAAGACTTTTCAGGCATGAAAGTCCTATGCACCTTTCCTAGGAAACTTCTGGAAGATGTGCTCTATTAATATAAAGGAATAAACCAAGTAAGAAGAAAACATTATTCATGGAAAAGGAGGGATCTCAGGGTGAAGGGAAACCATAGATGATCAGCCCCCGCACTGGCCAATGGAGCAAGAGATCGAAGGCACCAAGAAAGAGTGAAACTGAAAGAGGATTTAACCATAGCAAGAGGGAATTTTCATTGCTTCCAGGGGTTCTGGGAATAAATTAGTGAGAGGTACGTAAATTTAGCAAATGAAAAAACTAGGTTGTTATTAACTCCAGGGAAAACCAAGTTTAAAAGAATTAAAATATGATACATTATATGGCTCTGCTCAAAAAAATAACATGGTTATAATACTGTAATGTTGCATACTGATTTAACCAAAAATTATGATGTTGACCCTAGTGAATGGATTGGAGGAAGGGGAAGTGTAGGTATTTTGGAAGAGGTGGGGAAGCAGTGTGTAAGAGAGCTATATCCTCATCTTCCCCAGTATATTGTCAGTAGATCATTTTTAAAGCCATAGGGTCGAGAAACAGGAATAAAAGGATATTAATTAGAAACATAGAGGGAAAATACCAGGGGGAAAAAGCAGCCTAAAGTGATGAGAATAATAAGCTTGGAGGTCTAGGAATGGAGATAAAGCTCTAGGGTATTTTAACTAATAAACATGTAAACTAATGTTTTTAGTATCAGGCTTGTAGAACATTTTGTTTTTTCAACCATGTATATGTTTTATTTTGATAAAAAAACATTGATTTTTAAGTGTGCTTTTGGTGGCTTCATTTGTACAAAGTCTTTGCAAACTAACAATACAATTCAGTGAACATTTATTCAATACCTGCTCTGTTAGACCATTGTACAAGAGACAGACATGTAAACATATGATTGTAAAACAAAGCCTAATGTGATTACCTGCTCCCAAATGATGAATAAATACTGATATCTCATAGAAGCACCTCACTTCTTTTGGGACTAGGGGAAGGCTTCAGAGAGGATAGAACATTTGCACTGGGCCCTGAAGGGTGGGAGCAATCTGAAGAGGAGGTTCAGTGCCAGCTGTGGCCAGTGTTGTCCAATCCCACCATCACTGGAAAAGGAGATGTGTTTAGGAAAGAAGTCTGGTGGAGCTGTGGGAGGCTGTTTTGACTTCTCTGCCTCTCCTAGACATTTATATTAGTCATTTCTTCCTGAGGATTTTCTCCTCCCTGCCCTATCACCCAGACACCCTTAATTTTAGTATTGACTTTACCATGCTGAGTTATATTGTGGTTCTCTCCCCACTGGCACCCTGCCTCTTAAACTTTTGGTCTAATTTAGAGAAGGACAAGGGAAGGGAAAAGAAAATATTGGTTTCACCTGGCCAGATGTAGATTCCCGAATATAAAGATAGGAACTCTCTTTCCTAACCTCATAGGCTACTAGGTATAGCTGTTATCTTTTTTGAGGCACTAAGATTAAACTGTCATTTTCACAGTTTGAACGTAATTTTTAGAACCCTCAAGAGTAATATAGGACACATCTAATTTTTTCAAAGAAGTATAATTGTTTCACAACTATAAAATATTTCTCTGTGAAGATGCTTTTCAGAAGTAACTGGGCAAGTCATTATGGTGTGTGTACATGTGTAACATCCTCCAACTTTAGAATTTTGTGCCCTGGATTTGTTTTCTTTTATATTGTTGGGTCCAAAAGAGGAAAGGCTGGCTTAGAACTAAATAGCAGAACTAAACCATATGTTTTATACCAAATTAGAAACAGGTGAAGGTTGTTAAAATCCAGCAAGCACTTAGAAAAGCTTGAGACACAAGTTTGTATTAAAGGCAGGTGGTTATATGTACAATAAAAAACAGTCACCAGCACACTGGCTGATTGATACATATGTGATTGATCTTTTTGGATAAAAACAAGGAGGAGTTAATAAATCACTGCACATAGCTATAAAGATGTTTGGGCTTGAAAGCCTAGCCTGTAAGAGCAAATGTGGGCCCTGAAGGAAATTTATGAAGCCTAGATCCTTTTAGCTTTACTTAACAGCTAACATCTGACTGACCCAGGGGGACCATGGAAATTTATTGCTGGGCCATTCAAATATTTAAGCTGTTGTGTGATGCAGAACAGGTAAAGATTAGCCCAATAACAAATATGAGGCTATAAAATAAAATGAGATTTCGATGACTTGTAAGTACTTGTCAGAGGTCAGCTCCAAATGACTGGTCAGAAATGGTAAAAACTTGTTGATAATTAAAGGGGATTGACTATGACAACCTAGATGTTTGCATTGGTTGCTGTCAGATCAGTGATCCTTGGAATTTCCTTCTCCTTTGAAGTCCATGCTTAACAAAATGACTTAGGGGCCTCTAAATTGTCTTTTTGTGCTCTGAAATTGGGCAAGATGATGAATTGAGGTGATTCCTTTTGCAATTTTATCATTGAAATATGTCTTTCTCAAATACATTCTGAATATAATGCAATTCCTAGACAGCATATTCACTTTAGAAAACTGACTTTAGCTAACTTATGTGTGTAATTTTGAGCATTGACATCCAGAAAGCAGGTAAAGTTTTTAGGCTTTTTATGATAGATGATCTAAAATCAGCCTTTAAAACTTAAGTAGTTTAACAGATTTATGCACACCATTATTGAAAAGTTGATTTAGTGGAATTAAGTGGATGTAAGGAACATGGCTGTGCTGCAGCCAAGCAGGCATAGGGCAGCAGGCATAAGCCGAGGTAAACAGCCCACATGACTCAGCGGGATTGGGGCGCAAGCGCACAGTATCATATCTTATATAATCATAGCCATGTAGACACAGCATAGAGAAGCTCCCCACCTGGCTCTCAGCCGCTATTGTTTGTGTAGTGTATAAATGTAACACTAACCCTGTGAAGGGGCTGCTGAATAAAGCCATGTCTCATCTACCTGCTGTCTCTTGAGTGTTCTTCCAGCTCCCTGCCCCACATCCACCCACTCCGCTCAGCCCTCAGCTGGGGCTGGAATCTGACCCTGAGCATGACAGTGGATTTTTCAAAAACTTTCCAAATATTCTACCCACATTTATTTAAGCCCCAAAAGCAATAATGTATATAATATTGTTAATAGGACTATGGAAGTTACATGAATGAGATCTACAGTTATTGGTATTGACAATCTTTGCCTTTTTGACTTTAAACATAAAATGTAGATTTGATGGTTTTCAGAGTGCCAGCTTATCAAATCACTTGGTAAATTTGGCAGTGATTTGGCATATGAACATCTGATTTGTGGGGAGAAGAAATCCCTTAGTTTTTAATAGAAATCTTGTATGAAATGAAATTTACAAATAATACAGCTTTACAAAATGGGGTTATTACTTGATGGAGAGCATGGAATAGAATAAAAAGCAGAGGCTTAGAAGTCAGACAGGCATGGGTTGGAAGTAGCTCCGCCACTTCTACTTCACCCATACATTCACCCCTCCCTCCATTCCACAAATAAATGTGTTCCAGATGCAGGGCTCTTGGAACTGGGATACAGCATCAGTAAGGACTTCGGCTCATAGTTCACATTCCTTTGGAAGATTCAAGGAATAAACAAGCAACTACAATACAGTGTCAAAGGTACCCTGTTAGGGATTGTACAGGGTTCGTGAAGACACATGGGGAGAAATAACTGATTCAAACTTGGGGCAGGGGTGAAGTGAATTGGAGATGGGTGGCTGTTGTGGAGTGTTAGGAAACGCTATGTGACCATGGGCACTAAATTAATAGTGCCTGCAGGACAATTGCTAGGATTGTATAGATAAAGTATAATAAGTACAATACCTGCTGCATAATAATATTCCATAAATGCAATCCAGCATCAACATCATTGTTATTGCTGTCATCTTATCAGTACTCACTGGCGTTTGCTCTAATAGTAGACGGCTCTACCTGCTGTTAATCTGTGGCAAACACCATTCTGTAATTTAGGATCTTCTCTCAACCAAATAATTTTTCTTTTGAGCAGAACTCAAAGCACTTTCTAAAAATAAGAGTTGGTTGTCTAGGTATATTAAAACCAAGAAAGAAAGAGTAATAAGAACATACCTGAATCTTGAAATCTTCCGTATTGATTCCTGTGTTTTGTTTTTTAATTCACAGAACTATATGTTACTTAGTTCTCCTTCAGTATTTACTTAATATATTCATTTGTTTAATCATTCATTTGCAGATATTTGTTGAATACCCACTTTCAATAAGAATCTGAGCTTAACACCCATGTCCTCAAGGAAATTGCGTTTTAATTCAGGAAGTAAGACATTTGTATAAACAGACATTTGTATAAAATATTGAGTAGAAAGTGCCAGGTGCATAAGAATACTTTTTGATTTCAGAAGGCAACAAAATGAATAAAATATGCTGTCTCTCTTGAGACACTTACAGATAGGAGTGGAGGAAAAGAAAAGGGAAATCAAGCATACCGTTAAGAAAGGTAATAATAATAATTGAATGCCTGCTGTATCCTACTAACTGTGCTGGGTCATAGATTTTTTTTAAATGCATTTTGTTATGTAGATTTGAGGTTGAGTCATAGATTTTCTTGTTTAATTTTCACAGCAATCCTTAAAGATTGCTATTATTAAACCTATTTTAGAGTTTTGGAAACAATTTCAGAGTAGCATGTTCTAGTTCATACCACAAGTGAATAACAAAGTTCTGTCCCTCTGACTTCAAAGCCTTAACTTATTGTACCTAAATAGCCCTTTTGCCTTTCTCCTCTTCTCATCTCAAAATAGGTATCAGCACAAAAATTAAATAAACAATTTTTATATAAAGGATTGAGTACCTGTTATCAGCACTGTATAAGGAAGCAATTTATAGACAATATAGAATTAGGTGTCCTGATACGTTTAAGCAAATCAATATTATATGCACACATTGTGAAGTGTTGTCTTTAGATATTTCAAGTGGTGAATAGGTTTTCTTCCAAATTTATGTTCCAGATGGAAAATATCTTCTGGCATTACCAAGTATTTATGCACCTTGCATGCTTAATTGTGGATTTGGTGTTTTTTTTTTTCTTAACATTTACAGATTTTTGTGGGAAACAGGTGCTGTTAAATCCAGGCAAATGCAGGATGGCTGTTAATGTTGTGGAATGTGATTTTGATTTGCTTGGCAGAATTTTTATTTAACAAAATTGACTATTAAAAAAAGACATGGTTTCCATCCTTTAATTTTACTCTGTTCACTGAAATTTGCCTGTGGACTGTTTTTCAACAGTTACAAAAAGGGTGTGGAAAAACTGGAAGGTTTCTATAAGGAAATTGATATTGAGTTCTTTAACAATTTCCACAGCCCTGCAACTTACAAGTAAAAAAAAGGAGGGGGGATTATTTTTAACCTTCTTACTAAAATTACCTGGAATTCAATTTCCCTGAAATTCCATTCTTTTTTTAGTATAGCTCTGTCTAAAATATTGTATATAATATTGGCAAAGAGAATGTTCTGGTGTAAATCTTCTCATTACATGATTTCTCCTTTAAAAACTTTGGGGTGATATTTTATTTCCTGTTATATCAAATTTAACCTCTTTTGGTTGGCACATACGTCTCATATTTTCTCTTTTTTCTTCCCCCAAAGAAGGAGGAAAAAACAATCACTCCTCTTTTTGTTCTTCCATGAGGACTTTTAGGATAGAGATCAGCCCATGGTCTGGCGTGGTGTGTGTAGAGGGCCCTACCTAATCTGTCACATACCTTCCTATGCAACTTCAAAGTCGTCCCTTGCCATTCCTCCTTCAGTCCAGTTCTGTTGGCCTTCTTGCCAATCCTTGAAGCAGCATGTCTCCTCCTTCCACAGGGCCTTTACACAAGCTGCTTCCTCTAACCAGAACATTTCTTCCTTTAGCACCTACCCATCTCATTTATTAGGCTGATTATATGAGCACTATCTGTCTAACCCACTGGACTTTAACCTCATGTTTGTGTTTGCCCAGCCTTATATCCCTACCACCTAACACCATACCTGGCACATAGTATGAGTTCTTTGAAAACTTGTTGAATGAATAAACAGCATCCACAGTGGTCATTTTCCTTCATCCCCCCGGTTATGATGAAAGAGTTGCCCTTGTCTCACCTGCTGTCTAAGGCAGACCCTTCTGTACTCTCACCTGTGTGGTAAGGAAGCTATCCTCTTTCACCTCAGGACATGTTTCCTGCTGTGCCTCACCACATCCCTGCAGCTGCTGAGCTCCCCTCTCTCTATGCCAGGCTTCCCACCAGCTTCATTTCCTTACCTCTAGCCACTGCTGAACTCATACCAGTCGGCCTTCATCCCCTGCTACTTCAGTTAAACTTTCATTTACCATATTATCAGCGCTACCTACCAGTGAACCCACAGAGTCAATCCAGTAGACGTTTAATTTTGAGATTCGCTTGACCTGTCTGCAGCACTTAACTGTTGATAGCGTCCTTCTTACATTAGCAGTTTGTCTGAGCTTTTCTGGTGAGATACTTCTTGGTTTTCCTCATATCTTTTAACCAGTCCTTTTCTGGCTCCTTCTCCCCATCCTTCGTTCATATTCTCAAGGCTCTGAAGTGGTTCTCTTGTATACCATTTCTTTAGGCCATCTCATTCATACCTATGGCTTTGGTTTCCATCTAAAATGTTTATAATTCCCTATTCGATATTTTCGGCCCAAATTTTGTCACCTCATTTCATTTATATATAATAAATATACTTTGTTTATATTATAGAGTATCTATATACTATAGAGTATATAGGTATAAATATATATAGTTTATAAGTGTATTATATTTATATATAATAAATATATAGCCAGGCACTGTGGCTCACGCCTGTAATCCCAGCACTTTGGGAGGCCAAAGTGGGTGAATCACCGAAGGTCAGGAGTTCAAGACCAGCCTGGCCAACATGGCGAAACCCCATCTCTACTAAAAATACAAAAATTAGCTGGGTATGGTGGTGTACACCTGTAATCCCAGCTACTCAGGAGGCTGAGGCAGGAGAATTGCCCCAACCCAGGAGGCAGAGGTTGCAGTGAGCCCAGATCATACCACTGCACTCCAGCCTGGGCAACAGAGTGAGACTCTGTCTCAAAACACACACACACACACACACACACACACACACACAAAAATAAATATGCACCTGCTCCTTCTCCCGTGTTTCCCATCACAATTCACAGATACCGCCATCTGCCTCGTTTCTCAATTGAGAAACGAAAGGGTCATCTTTGACTCCTCCCCTCTTTACCATTTTGTAACAATCAATCCATCACAAAATTCTTTCAGTTCTTCCCACATATCTATTCACATATCTTCCTCTCTACTTCTGGAACCCTAACCAAAACTGTTATTTCTGGCCTGGATTTTGCAATAACCTCCTATCCAGGTCCTGTTCACCTTTATTTACCACACTGTAGCCAGTCTGGTCTTTAAAAAACATAAACACCCATGCTTTAAAAAGTTATTATCCTCCCAGCTGGGCACGGTGGCTCACACCTGTAATCCCAGAACTTTGGGAGGCCAAAGCAGGCGGATCATGAGGTCAGGAGATCGAGACCAGCCTGGCCAACATGGTGAAACCCCGTTTCTACTAAAATACAAAAAATTAGCCACACATGGTGGCATGCGCCTGTAATCCCTGCTACTCGGGAGGCTGAGGCAGGGGAATCATTTGAACCTGGGAAGCGGAGGTTGCAGTGAGCCGAGATTGCGCCACTGCACTCCAGCCTGGTGACAGAGCAAGACTCCATCTCAAAAAAAAAAAAAAAAAAGTTATTATCCTCTCATTTTCCTTAAGGATACAGTATAGGTTTGGTTTTCTTGTGGTTTATAAACCCTTGCATAGTCTGGTACCTGCTGATCTTAGCAGCCTAATCTTACGGCACTTCACCCCTCACACTCTTTTTTTAACCCTAGCTCCTAGCTGTTTAATTTCACCCGTAATTTTATAAAAAGATGGCAATTCCATTCTGTCAGTTGCTTAGGTCCAAAACTTTGAAGTCATCCTTGACTCCTCTTCCTCTCACACCTCATAGAAGATCTGTCACCAGATCATGTTGGCTCTGTCTTCAAAATGAGAGAATCCAACCACTTCTCACCACCTCCACAGCCACCATCTTGGTTCAAACCGCTGTCTTCTCTTGCCTAAATTTTTGCAGTAGCCTCCCCTTGTTTCTTTTCTTGCTCCCCTGCAGTTTATCCTCACAGAGCAGCCATTAAACCCTCCAGTGCTTCTCCTGTCATTCAGAGTAAAAACTGAAGTCCTTGCTGTGACCTCCAGGACCCTGCATGATGTAAACCGATTCCTTTGCTGACCTCATCTCCTGGTCCTTTTTCCCTTACTCTGCTCCAGGCACTCTGGTCTGCCTTCACTTCCTTGAATGTGACTATACCAGGCATTCCTGTCTCAAGGCCTTTGCACTTTTCGTTTCACCTGCCTGGAACACTCTTCCCCAGATAGCTTCAAGACTTTCTCTCACTTCCTTCAGGTTTTTGTTCAAATGTAATCTTCTCAGTGAACCTCCTCTTATTTGTCATGTCTCTCTCACTGAAGTGTAAGCTTCATGAAGACAGGAACTTTTTTTGTCATTTTGTTCACTGTGTTAGCACCTAGAAGAGTGCCTATCACAAGGTGATGATGCAGTAACTATTGCTAAACAAGTGAATGAAGAATAGTATTTGCTTTATTTGTCCAGTGCTCATTAGAGTCTTTGGTATAAAGTAAGTAAATCATTTATTGATTGAATCAGTTCTTTTACTCTAATTTCAAATGCTCTTACGTCTTCTCTCTTTCAAATTTCTGACCTTTACTTTCTTCAAAACTAGTTTTAAATTTTCCACCTATAGGAAGCTGCCTACGATTAATCCTGTCACTCAGACTGGAGTGCAGTGGTGTGATCTCAGCTCACTGCAACCTTCATCTCCTGGGCTCAAGTGATCCTCCCACCTCAGCCTCCCAAGTAGCTGGGATTACAGGCATACACCATCATGCCTGGCTAATTTTTGTATTTTTAGTAGAGACAGGATTTTGCCATACTACCCAAGCTGGTCTCAAACTCCTGGGCTCAAAGGATCCACCTGCCTTGGTCCCCCAAAGTGCTGAGATTATAGGCATGAGCCACCGCACCAGCCTGTTTTTCTCTTATTATTTACTATTAGCTAAACCTTTTGTTTGTTTATTTATGTTGTATCCCAAGATTTTATTATGAAAATTTCTAAACATACAGAAAAGTTGAAAGAATCTTGTAGTGAACACCCATACACCCACCACCTAGATTCTGCGGTTACATTTGCTGTACCTGTGTTATTGTATCTTTCCATTTATCTATCTGTTTATCTATTATATCAACCTATTTATTTCCGTGAATCTTAAAGTAAGTTTCAGATATCAGTAGACTTCCCCTCAATGCTTCATCATGCATATGATTAACCAGAGCTCAGTATTTGTTTATGGTTCTTTTTTCTTTTGAGGTAAAATTTATATGTAATGAAATATACAAACCTTTTTTTTTTGAGACGGAGTCTCACTCTGTCACCCAGGCTGGAGTCCAGTGGCAGGATCTCGGCTCACTGCAAGCTCCGCCTCCCAGGTTCATGCTATTCCCCTGCCTCAGCCTCCTGAGTAGCTGGGACTACAGGTGCCCGCCACCACACCTGGCTAATTTTTTGTATTTTTAGTAGAGATGGGGTTTCACTGTGTTAGCCAGGATGGTCTCGATCTCCTGACCTTGTGATCTGCCCACCTCGGCCTCCCAAAGTGCTGGGATTACAGGCGTGAGCCACTGTGCCCGGCCAGAAATATACAAATCTTAAATGAACTATTCTGAGTTCCATCAAATACATAGGCATCTGTGCAGTCCAGCACGTCAAGATACAGATCATTGACTCTCCCCTGAAACTTCCCTCTCTCTTTTTTCTAGTGAATCACTGTCTTTCCCAGTCCCCTGCTTAACCATTGTTTAACCGTAAGCATGCAGTATGAACTTCTTTACATAAGGCTTCTTTCACTTGGCATATTATTGTAGGTTCTTTCATCCTCAACACTTAGGTGGTTTTCAGTTTTTGGCTATTGTGAGTAAAGTTGCTGTGAACATTTTTGTACATGGTATTTTTGTGGGCAAATGTTTTCATATTTCTTGGGTAAATACGCAGGAACAGAATTGCTACATCATAGGATAAGTGTATGTTTAGTTTTATAAGTAACTGCCAGACCTTTTTCCGTAGAGCGTAATGTACATTTTATACTCCCACTCAACAATATATAAGAGTTCTGGTTGCTCCACATCTTAAGTCTCTTTTAATCTGAAGGTTCTCTCCTTCTTTATTTTTCCTTGCATTTTTTTCCTTGTTGTATAAGTTAAACTTACTCTGCAGATCCCTGTAAAGTTCCTCACATTTTGAATTTTGCTGATGGTATTAACATGTTTATCTTTCCCCTGTGTTACCTATAAACTGGAGATAAAAACTTAGTTGATCATATTCAGTTTTCTTGGCAAGAATACTTCATAGGTGTTACTGATGCTCCCTTTTATATCACATTTGGAAGCATATTATGTCTAGTTATCTTTTTTGTGTGTGTAATGTTAAAATTGATTAGTACCCCTGGCCACTCTTAGTCTAATCTGCCCTCAGTAATCTTTCTGAGGAAGGATTTTAGATTGAGTGACCTGCAGTGGTCTCTCTAAGGGTGATTCTGATCAAAGGCTAGAATGACAGGAAAGTGTCAGCTCTGGGAAGATTTAAGGAGCAAACACTTAAAAAACAGAGAATAGCAAGTTCAAAAGTCCCAAAGTAGGAAACAATCTTGGCATGTTCAGGGAACAGAAGGAAAACCAGCATGACTTGAGCATAGTGAGTGCCAAGGAGAATGACATGAGGTAGCAGTGGCTTTAGCCACGTAAGGCCCTGTGGGCTACCCTGTGTGGTTTAAATTTTATTTCAAGTGCAGTGGAAAATCTTTTGATGGTTCTAAGTAGGAGACTGGGTGCCACAATCAGATTTGATTTTTTAGGATCAGTTGGCTATGGGAAAGAGGGGGAAAATGTCCATTGTTAATCATGCTTTTCATAGATTATAACTTTAGCCCGAACCAATGGATATCTGTTACTTTCTGTGTTACTTTAAATTGATTATGATGTTTAAAATGAGATATCACTTATGGGGGAAGGTTAAATGGCCCTTAGTGTAAAGTTATTAATCCAAAGAAGAATGGAAACTTAAAAAATAGATTTGAATACAGTTAAAATATTAAATGATAAATGGAAACAGAAATATTATTTTAAAATGGCTTATTTTTTAAAGAGTACATTTTGGACTGGTTAATAAATGTAACTTTTTAACATGGAAACAGATGCTGAAATATTTTCAGTCCCCAGTGTAACCCCCCACAGCCAGCCATTTCCATCTCACGTGCCTATGGCCTGCCTTATGCTTTCACAGCATTACCATCAACAGTTAAAACTTCAGTGACACTATACAATGTAGCAGAAAAATGCAAGATGTTTTTTTTTTTCCCCCTCTTTAGTCTTGGCAGGGTAAAACATGGTCCTTTTTACTCTACCAGGTGCTTTACTTTGGCCATAATAATTTAGTATGGGTCTATAGCTTTTGGTCACTTCCCTTACTCGATCATGGGGGAAAAATAGGGGCAGCTTGCATGCTGCTGGCATTTTACATTAACATTTTTTTCACAGGTTTTTGTTGTTGTTGTTGTTATTGTCGCCCTGGAGGACTTGAATGAGGCTCGTGTGGTTTTTTTTGTTGTTGTTGTTTTGTTAATTGCTTCTTTGAAGTGCATGTAGCCTTAACACTTATCATAGCCAACCAAGAACTGGTTGCTCCTGATAGTAGGTCATCCCACCAGTTATACAGACTGGTATTCCACAGGAGGAGCCCAGTAGGTATTCATGTTATAATCTATCCCAATTTCTGAACCCCTAAGCATACCAGAGTTAACTCACAATTTACTATAGTTGTTGTAGGGGGGACTTTGGGAAAATAAACATTGAAAAACGTCTTTTAAAATGAGTTTTAGGTCCGGGCATGGTCACTCATGCCTGTAATCTTAACACTTTGGGAGGCTGAAGTGGGAGGATTGCTTGAGCCCAGGAGTTCAAGACCAGCCCGGGCAACATAGTGAGACCTTGTCTCTATCCTCCCGTGCAAAAAGTTAGCCAGGTGTGGTAGTGCACACCTGCAGTCCCAGCTACCTGGGAGACTGAGGCAGGAGTATTCCTTGTGCCCGGGAGGTCAGAGGCTGCAGTGAGTCATGATCATGCCACTGCACTCCAGCCTGGGAGACAGAGCAAGACCCTATCTCCAAAAAAAAAAAAAAAAAAAATTATTGTCTTTGGCAGATACCCTGATTTAATTTTGGTCACTTCTTTAAATGTGATATAGCTGTCAAATAAAGCATGAGGCAGCAAGAACAAGAATTATGCACATGTGAATGTGAATCATGAAATGTGGGAAAATTAATGCACTACCACCAGAGCATGAGATAAATGAATATGGAAACAACTACCAATCAATCTCTAGGCATTAAATGGGCAACAGGAAGGTCAAAGGAGAATCATTGAGTCCTGGAGTGGTCAAGGGCAATTTAAAAAGGAATGTGACAACTTGAACTAGATCTCATAAAGGATGGAATAGTATTTAGATAGGAAAGCAAGAAAGATGGACACCTTCGAGAAGTAAGTAAAGGCAGAGAAAGAAAAGTGAACTTGATGTGTTTGTGACACTGTGAGGAAACCTCTTGAGCAAAAGGTGACAGATAAATTGGGCAGATGGGTCAGATCACTTAGGCCTCGAAAGGTAGGCAGAGGAGTTGAAATTTAAAACAATAACTGATTATGAAGCAGGGCTGAGAAGTGACATGATAAGAGGTCTTACTTAAAAGAAAATAATAACTTATATTTGTGTCATGCTTTACAGTTGCAGTGTACTTTCTCAATCTTGTGGTGTTGTATCCTCACAAGATACTTGTGAAGAAGGCAGGAAAGATGATAGTTTCTCCACTTTACAGCTTAAGAACTTAGCATTAAACTAGTTATGATTTACCCAAGTTCATATAACAACTAAGTATGTAATGGAGCTGAGACTAGAAAAACTATGTCTTTTCTGTTGTAATTCAGTTTTTAGAAACCTACTGGGCTTCCTAAAATCAATCTGACAGTGATATGGAGAATGAACTGGCATTAAGGATTCTGGCTAGGTAGTAAGCAAATTGATAAGAGCTTGGACCAATGATTCTCAACTGGAGGCAGTTTGAACTCCTTTCCCCACCCACCCAGGCAACATTGGGTGATGTCTAGAGACATTTTTGGTTATCACAGCTGGGAGTCGAGTGCTATTGGCTTTTAGTGAGTAGAGGATAGAGATGCTGACCTTTCTAAACATCCTGTAGTATATAGGACAGCACCCCACAACAAAGAATTATCCAGAGTGGCAGCAGGAATGGAGAATGTTACAGAGGGGAAATGATTTGTCAGCTTGGTGAAGCACTGCATATGTAAAAGGCAAATCAGGTGGGTAAAGTTGAATGCCACTCTAAGTCCAAGTAATTGATAGAGAAAAGTAGTAATGGCAAACTAGTCTGGACAGGAGAAAGTATACCGAGTTTGAGGTAAAGTCATTGCCTCAGAATATATTGAGTCCATGTTGTCACATTTTCTATAAATACGAATGGCAGAAGTAATCTTAATATGTATGATTTAAAAATTTGAATTAACTATAGCCATGTCCTCATCCCCAGTTGCCATCAAATAACTAAATCTGGATGTGAGGCTCTGAAGGTGAAGGCAAGAAACTATTAGCAGCTTGGAGTCCTTTGTAGAAATGTCTGGGTTGGTGGGGAGAGGGTAGTGTTTATAACAGTGTATCTTTTATAAATATTTAAAGTTTGAAAATCAGTTTCTTTTCACAGTTTTTTTCAAGTTGTGTGTGATCTATTTTTCATGTGTTGCGTCTCTGTAGGTGTGTATATGATATATATGTGAATTAGTAAAAAAGAAAAATCCTGCTCAGACTCAGCCTGTACATAGGAATTTCTTTTTTTGGTACTTTACTTACCAGATTTCAGTCGGTCTACTTTGCAACCTTACCTGCTACCTATCATGATGACTCTTTGGCATTAGAGTCTCAAATCTTTCTTGGTTCCTGAAGGAAAAAATGAAATTGAGGGGTGACAGCGTGCTGACAGCCCTCACTCGCTCTCAGCGCCTCTTCTGCCTGGGCTCCCACTTTGGCGGCACTTGAGGAGCCCTTCAGCCCACCGCTGCACTGTGGGAGCCCCTTTCTGGGCTGGCCAAGGCCGGAGCCGGCTCCTTCAGCTTGCAGGGAGGTGTGGAGGGAGAGGCGCGAGCGGGAACCAGGGCTGCAGCACGGCGCTTGCGGGCCAGCTGGAGTTCCGGGTGGGCGTGGGTTTGGCGGCCCCGCACTCGGAGTGGCCGGCCGGCCCTGCTGGCCCCAGGCAGTGAGGGGCTTAGCACCCGGGCCAGTGGCTGCCGAGGGTGTGCTGGGTCCCCCAGCAGTGCCAGCACACCGGCGCTGCACTCGATTTCTCGCCAGGCCTCAGCTGCCTCCCCGTGGGGCAGGGCTTGGGACCTGCAGCCCGCCATGCCTGAGCCTCCCCCTCCTCCGTGGGGATCCTGTGTGGCCCAAGCCTCCCCGACGAGCACTGTCCCCTGCTCCATGGCGCCCAGTGCCATCGAACACCCAAGGGCTGAGGAGTGCGGGCGCATGGCGCGGGACTGGCAGGCAGCTCCACCTGCGGCCCTGGTGCGGGATCTACTGGGTGAAGCCAGCTGGGCTCCTGAGTCTGGTGGGGACTTGGAGAACCTTTATGTCTAGCTAAGGGATTGTAAATACACCAGTCGGCACTCTGTATCTAGCTCAAGGTTTGTAAACACACCAATCAGCACCCTGTGTCTAGCTCAGGGTTTGTGAATGCACCAGTCCACACTCTGTATCTAGCTACTCTGGTGGGGACTTGGAGAACCTTTGTGTTGACACTCTGTATCTAGCTCATCTAGTGGGGAGGTGGAGAACCTTTGTGTCTAGCTCAGGGATTGTAAACGCGCCAATCAGCGCCCTGTCAAAGCAGACCACTCGGCTCTCTGTAAAATGAACCAATCAGCAGGATGTGGGTGGGGCCAGATAAGAGAATAAATGCAGGCTGCAGGCACCAGCAGTGGCAACCCGCTGGGGTCCCCTTCCACTCTGTGGAAGCTTTGTTGTTTCGTTCTTTGCAATAAATCTTGCTGCTGCTCGCTCTTTGGGTCCACACTGTGTTTATGAGCTGTAACACTCACCGCGAAGGTCTGCAGCTTCACTCCTGAAGCCAGCGAGACCACGAACCCACCGGGAGGAACGAACAACTCCAGACGCGCCACCTTAAGAGCTGTAACACTCACTGCGGAGGTCCCAGCTTCACACCTGAGCCAGCGAGACCACGAACCCCACCAGAAGGAAGAAACTCCCAACACATCCGAACATCAGAAGGAACAAACTCCGGACACACCGCCATTAAGAACTGTAACACTCACCGCGAGGGTCCGCAGCTTCATTCTTGAAGTTAGTGAGACCAAGAACCCACCAATTCCGGACTCAAAATTATATTCAGTATGTTTAGTTTCACATATTGAGAATTATAACATCTTGGAGTTGGAGGAGATACTATACCTCATTGAGTCCAGTGGATCATCCAGTATTTGATTCCTCCTGTGTTAGTCTCTCAAGCTACTGTAAATTACCAGAAACTTGATGAGATAAACAGCAGAAATTTGCCTCACACAGTTCTGGAGGCCAGAAGTCCAAAATCAAAGTGTCATCAGGGCCACACTCCTTTCTTTATCCTTTCCAGCTTCTGGTGGCTCCAGGCATTGCCCGGCTTGTGGCTGCATAACTAAGCTCTGCCTCCATCTGCACACAACCTCTTTTCCCTTTGTCTCACCTCTGTGTTTCCTTATTACGATACTTACTAGATTGAGGGCCCACCTGAATAATAAAAAATGATCTCAACTCAAGATCCTTAACTATTTTAGATCTTTTCATCAAATAAGTTAACTTAGGTCCCAAGGATTAGAATATGGACATATCTTTTTGGAGGCCGCCGTGTAACCCGCTACATCCACTGAATACATGTGCATTGTTTGTGTTTGTCGCCCTTCTCTACTTGGCTGCCTGTAACCAAGATCTTTAGGATTTTGAATAACTCTGTAGTGAAATCAATCTCCTGTAACGCATATACCATTCACTTTGGTTCTCCCTGCTTGAAGCCATGCAGAAAAAAACGAATTCTTTTTCTCTCTGAAAGTCCTTCATTTGTTGTCCCTGAGACTGCTATCCTCCAGGACAAACACCTCTGGTTCCTTCAACAATTTCTCTCAATACTGACTTCTGTTCCCCTAATCATCCTGGGTTTGCTTCTCTAAAGCATTCAGAGGCAGTAGAGAGAATACTGGATTTATTATTGAAGACCTAATACTGAAGCCATGTCTCTTCCACTTCCTACTTAGGTGACCAAGCCAAATCAGTTTATTTTAAATAACAATAATACTGACTACTTCATTGTTTCACTGCATGCTTTATATAGTTAAATGAGATTGTTATAAACGTTCTCTAGAAACATAACCTTTAAGTAAGGATATGAGTGTTCTTCTGTCTATTTATAAAATACTTTCACTCCCAGAACTGAACATAGGTCTCTCGGTACAGTCTAACCTAGTACAAAGTAGTTATCACTATCACGTTCCCCAGCTGAGCTGCTCTGCTTCTGTTACCGCAGCCTGGGATCGCATTAGCTTTTTTGGTAGTCATCGCATAATTCTTAACTCATATTGAAACTGTTCTGTACTAAAGAGTTCCAAATATTTTTCACAAATAATCTTTTTTAAAAAAAATTCAACAAATATTTATTGCGTTCTGCTAGTAGCAGTGCGTAGAGACTTGACAGAGAGGCAAAGAGGAAGAAAATAAAATTTCTGCCCTCTTGGAGCCTACAGTATCATAAGGGAGACACACATGAACCAAGTAATCACA
This sequence comes from Homo sapiens, assembly GCF_000001405.40. Lineage (NCBI taxonomy): Eukaryota > Metazoa > Chordata > Mammalia > Primates > Hominidae > Homo > Homo sapiens. The sequence continues at coordinate 76,063,255 of NC_000011.10, forward strand.
CAGTGAGTGTAAATTTACAATCTGAGACAGACTGGAAAAAGAAAGGGTTGCAAACTGACCTAAGCCAGTTTGATAGTTCACAATGATACAAGTATTTACAGTAGATAAAGGTGGGCTCTGATAATTAAGATTGGATTTCTGCAGTTCTCCCCACTAACCTCTTCACCACCTGTTGTTAGTTAGAGTGACAGTAAGGCTCAGATGGAATTCTGTCACACACGTAATCTATTTATTGCTTTCTAATTCCTTGATTTTTCTACTATTTATAGAAAGAGCTACAAGGTATGGTTCAAATAAGGCCATTTGAAGACAGTAGAGTCGGTGAATTTTCAATGTGGAAATTTAATTTAATTTGAAAATAATATTAGCCATTTTAATTGAATATAATAATAAATTGTATTGAATCTTCATAGGAAATATATAGTTCATCCTCCAGTTATTTAATGTAATACTCCTTTAATGAGTCCTCTTTGTGGTGTTATGGACCTGCTTCTGGTTGTACTTTAATGACCACATTCTTATCTAAAGCTTCTATAGCTTGCTAATGTAATTCTCCAATATAAGATTTGTATCTTATGTTCTGACGATAATAGGTTTTACCCTTTAAAATGGGTATTTTTCAAGATTGATAGATCTATAAATACATGTACTTTTGTAAAGTAAGATGAATGCATGATAGTTATAAGCTATTATACTATTCAACTTCAAGTGACCTAAGAATTTGAAAGCAATATAAAATGTAAATTCTGTCCTAATATTCGATCTGTCTTTGCATTGCCTTATCCGAACCATACCTTGTGGCTTTTTGTATAAATAAGTCCCACTGAAGTCATAATAAAGTCAAATGTTGTGAAATCAATTTTTTAGGAATGTTGAAGCTTGGTTTTCAATGTATGCTGATCTCAATTTACTCTTCTAACATACGAAACAGTTTCTAGATTTATACCTTGAAAATAGAGATAGCTATGGGTTTGGAGAGCTGTTCAGATAGTCTACATTTGAAGCTTATAGAATAACAGCTAGACAGCACAGAGGTTTAGGACCGTAGTAGATTTTCTCTAAAGTGCCCCTGTTGGGTACTTGCAAATACGTCGTTTCTTTGCAGGCTACCCCATCTGAATTTGAATGATTCCCAGACATCTTGCAACAGCCTGGTGTTACACTTTGCTTATCCTGAATTTGCTATGCTGTCATTTTTATGCATCTCAATTTGAGGCCAAACCACATGTCCTAGTTTATTTTTTACTGTTTCAATTAAATATGAAGCTCTGTCTTCTTGATGGGTGTGTGAAGCATTTGGTGTTCCTTTAGTAGAGAATAAATACAGTTCAGGACCTTGCTCAGTCCCCAGTGCCTATAATTTTATAGTGTAACAAATTTACCTTTGGATACTATATAGCCAGCAACTCCTGAGAATTTAATATAAAGCCCTTAAATTCTATTTCCTTTATTTTATTTTCTCTAGAAAATAATATCCTCTAGGCTTTATGGAATGTATCTTTTCCTCAGGCAATTAAAAGACAATTGAAATTAAGACTAGTAATTGTCACCTGCCATTCATTTCAATAAGATTATTTTATTCTTGAGAATAATTGTATATCGCAGAAGTAAGGAAGATGAAGTTTTCTTCTTGACCCTAAGTAATAATTGATCTGTTTGTAAAGAAATCTGTATCAGATGCTAAAACTTTTGCTTGATCTTAAGAATCAGAAAACAATGACTAGACTATAGGTATGCTCTAAACTTTTCTTCATTTGCAGGTGTAAAGAAGGGGAATAGTGAGGGGAGTTACTCTCTAAAATAACTCATTATCTTTATGAAGATCCAGATCTCATGCCTTTGTTGCTCCAGTGAGGCAGGTTAAAATGGAAATTCATGTATGAGAGCCTTATGGCATGAGCACATTGCCTTAGAGAAGTTGCATCCAAATAGCCATCCCTGTAAATGTGAATGAATATTTTAATGAATTTTGGCTCATATTGGCACTGTTGATTTCACTGGTCACCTTAAAAGAAACAGAAATCTTATATATTGCTTCTAAGTCTGATTTCTTTTCCTTCTTAATCTTCCTCTCCCATTTAGTAGAAGTTGAGATGTCAGGTCCAAGATATTAGAGGGAAAAATTTCTGGTATCTTAATCTTAGCTAAGGTGGCAAGTTTATGATATGTAAATAGGAACCAGTGGCCTCAACTCCTTGGGGTGGGTTGGTCACTTTCTTAAACATTAGTTCCTTGTTCTGTGACCTGTTCACTTTTTCTTTTGAAAGAAAGCAGCCGTTATTCTGACTTAATTAATATTATGAAGATGTCAGTAGATTGCAATGACTATAGCTAGGTGACTTAGTCCAATTCAGATGTTTATGCTGTATCTAAGAAACTTCAGCCTCTGTTGACAACTTGGAGGTTGTATTTACTCAGCTTTTGAAAATATCTGATCCTTTTTTACCTTTCTTAGGTTTCCACTGTATCCAAAAGGAGGGGAGAAGTTGCAGTTTGATTATGGTGTCTATCTTCTGAACAAAAATATAGCACAGGTAAGTCTCTGTTCTTCACTTCTCTCCTACTTCCCATGCACAGCCTGTTTCCTTAGATTGCCAGCCTTTTTTCTTTATAAATATGCACTGCAGTTGACCCTCGCATTTAACCAGTTACATTAGTAATACACAGTTCTTTTTTTTGATCACAGTCTTTTTCCGTGCCCTTAAAATGACTACAGAGAAGCAATGAATACAAATTGGAATCCTCTTGCTACTTGCTAAACTCAGAATCTTTTTTTGTATTTTTACTTGCTGGTAGACTATACTTCGATGTGTGGGCTTCATCATCTCTTGCCTCTGCAGCTTGACCAATTGTAATTTTCTTAGACTATTTCTAGGGACTCAATTTGCATTGTTGTTTATGGAGTAAAAGTTCAGTGCCTTTGCAAGTACTTCATGGTCTCCTCACTTTATTATTCAGGGCCCGAAGGAAAAGACCAAGCACATGACCCTTCCAGTCTGTCTTAGATGTTTGTGGCACTCTCAACATCACATCAGTTAGTATGCCACTTAAATAATGTCTTTCCGTATGCCGTAGTAAGACTATCAGATGCCTAGGTTTGTATTTTCCTGAAAGAAATATGTAGCATTTCTTTAGAACTTCTGGCCCTACTTCAAGATGTAGGCATTCCACAAGTTTTCTAATTATAAAGGAAGACTAACTTCCTTTGTTTTTTATTTTTTTTTGTTTTTGTTTTTGAGATGGAGTCTTGCTGTGTCACCCAGGCTGGAGTGCAATGGCGCGATCTCGGCTCACTGCAACCTCTACCTCCCGGGTTCAAGTGATTCTCTTGCCTCAGCCTCCCAAGTAGGTGGGATTACAGGCGCATGCCACCACGCTCAGCTAATGTTTTGTGTTTTTAGTAGAGACGGGGTTTCACCGTGTTAGGCAGATGGTCTCGATCTGCTGACCTCGTGATCCGCCTGCCTCAGCCTCCCAAAGTGCTGGGATTACAGGTGTGAGCCTTTAAAACACCCAGCCTATTTATTTTTATAAATAACAAGTGTTTTGTTTTGTTTTCATTGGACATCCTTCCAACTGGAATATCACATGGATGAGTATCCACAATTTGGCTTTTATTTAAATACATTGTGAGCTATATCCTCAGACCTTTTGGTTTTACCAAAGTAATAAGATTTACGATGCTTTTGTTTTTGTTGGCCTGTGTTGCCATTTATCCACATGAACCTAACGACTTGCTAAACATTCCCTTATTCATTTCTGATCAGTCTAGAATTATTCCTCTATGTGGTGTCATCTGCCACTCTTCCCCTTAACCAACCTCAGTTTAATGGTGGAGATTTTTTTAATTTGTTTTTTATTAAGATTGTTGTTCTCTTCTGAAATTGGGTCAGATTTCTGGATTGCAATCCTCAGTTTATCATTTGCTTCATCCTTCACACTCATTGTCCTCTCAACCATACTACTTTTACTGTTACTTCCACTCCAGCTCCAGGAAAGCAGCCCTCTGACAGTCTCTGGCCCATGACTCACCTTTCCATGTGCCATTCTTCCCACAACTGATGCTTGCCCATTCTGCATTTTTGGCAGACAAGTATTTCATTCAAAGAAGCAGGGCTTTAATTCCAAGACTGCCGAGCTCCCACTCCGCTGATCACAGTTCTGTCATGCCATGGAAAAGGCAGTGCTTAAACAGAACTTGTCAAAAGTGCTCAGACTGAGGCCAGGTGTGGTGGCTCATGCCTGTAATCCCGGTACTTTGGGAGGCCGAGATGGGTGGATCGCTTGTGGCCAGGAGTTGGAGACCAGCCTGGGCAACATGGCAAAACCCCATCTCTACTAAAAAATACAAAAATTAGCCAGGTGTGGTGGCATGCACCTGTAATCCCAGCTACTGGAGAGGCTGAGGCATGAGAACCTCTTGAACCCGGGAGGCAGAAGTTGCAGTGAGCTGAGATCGTGCCAGTGCACTTCCAGCCTGGGTGACAGAGCAAGATTCTGTCTCAAAAAAAAAAAAGTGCTCGGACTAAGACTGCACTAAGGAAGAAGTAAATTAGAGGGCTCCTCCAGCGATGTCAGCCGTGGTGGAAAGAGCATGTAGATACTACAGGATCCAGTTTGAGAGTAAAACTGGCATCATTTAGTAGAACTAAGTTCTGATTTGAGTTCAGAACTTCTCTTCTTGCCCTATTTTCTCTTTCTTGCTCTAGGCACTTAGATCCTAAGGTCAGAAGGCTATTGGAAGCTTCCTGGTGAAACTTACTCCTGCTGAAATGCCTGTATTTCCTCATATATTCCAGCTTCAAACATACACACAATATGCACATGTGTACAGATATACACACACATGCACAAACACACTTCTTTCTTCTCAAGGGCCCAAAAGGATGGTATGCCAAAAGATCATATAAAGTGTTGCTAAGAATACCACAGCTTGCTTTGGGAGCAAGACCAAGATGGAGGCTATGTGCAGGGGAAAACTTAGCAAAGTCAGCCCTCCTCATCAGACTCTCAACTCTAGGGCCTGTTTGATCCCCACTTCCCAAGAGGCCTCTGACTTTATTATTAACTGAACCAGGGCCACAAGTATGCTGACCTAGTTTTACTCATCTGAGAAATGGATTGCTTGTAGTAATTGTGTATCCTCTCCAGCTTTATATATGCTCTTTGAAAATTGAGAGAACAATCAATAGGTTAACTACTCTGAATCCATAGGGAGCAAGTATCCTCCTCTGTGGATTTTCTTTTTTTAATCACACTGGAGGCAGTTTTAAAAGGAGGGGACAGTAAACTTCTTAAAAACTGGCTTTTTTATATTTCAAAATGTATTCGGGAAGCCCTTTAAGCAGTTAGAAACTTTTAGAACAGTTGTGACCTTTCACTTTTTTTGCTTCAGCTCTGTCTGTTCTGTCTCTCGCTGTTTCTCAGGGAAGCTTTCATTTTGTCTTTGACCTTACTGCCATCACTTTTTCACGTTTTGATTTGTAACAAATGAAAGAACCATTAATTGTTATGGCTCCTAAGCGAGCATTGTAGCAATCAGGTATTTCCAGCTTTTGAAGGTTTATTTTTATAGACATATAGACTAATATATGTTGTCAAAGGGGAGTTTGTCTTCTCAGCCAGTTCCATATGTACCCATCTTTTAAGATGTGAACAAATCATACTATTAAAATGGCCTCACCTCAGTAATTTATAAGCCACATTAGTGGAGGTGGATGAAAGCATTGGCATGTGTTAAAGTGCCAGAGAAAAAGGAGTGAAGTCATTTAATACTGCATCCATAACTTGGTTGAGGATTTGAATAGTCAATAGGACCTTTCATCACAACCAGAAGTAGTAGTAAAATCACTTTTTTGGTAGAGGAAATGACAGAATTTAGTAATATTTGTTACTTCAGTATTTGGGATCAGTCCAGCCCAAGTTTTGAAAGCACAAGCTTAGAGAGACAGGCCTTCAAGTAGAAATCCTCAAGTGTTGTTTGAAGAGCTGAGAGCACTGGTAAGGCCTGCTTGCCCTCTTCATGTCACTGCTGTCTAAAGGTGTGTGTGTGTGCTGGATTAAGTACTGAGAGTGAGTGAAGCAAAATGCCTTGTTTTCAGCACCATATATTAATATTTGTTAAGTGCCAGCCTCTTCAGTTAGAAATAGCCTTCCTTCTTGGCTAGCATGTAATGCTATAGGAATGGGCCTGTCAAAATTCAGGTGCAGTATAATTGACGTTGACTTTAAAAACCAGATCCTGCCATAATTTCAGTTAGTTCATAAGTACATTATATTAGAATTTGTATAGAGAACAGAAATTTGCTTTTAATTCTCAGAGCATAAAAATTAAATGGAAAACAAAAATTATAATACTTTTATCTTATATTTGTGGGAGCCTTATAGTTTGTAAAGTACATGCATATAAATTCACATGATCCCTATCATCACCCTGCAAAGTAAAAAGGGCAGATGCTATTAAATCGATTTGAGGACAGCTTGGCTTTTGACATTTGTCCCTCCAGTGTCATATCACATAATTTGATAAGTGTGGCAGAGATCCCCTTACTTCTATATACTTCACTGTTCTATATATTTCCATCCTTAAAGTGCACCAAATCAAAGAAGACGACATTCCCAGATAGAAAAGGAAGCAAACGTTTTTTGAGAATGGAGACAAAAACTATTTTGCACATCATAATTTTTCCATTAGCAAGCACAATGCCAGAAACACTGTAAGTTCTAAAGAAATTAATAATGAATGGTGATATAGCACCATCACACAAGAAACTAAGATCTAGAAAAGTTAAGTGACTTTAATGAATTTTAAAAATTGTGATACACAAACACAACGCACACACACACAAATAGAATATTATTCAGCCTCTGTAAAGGACATACTGCCATTTGTGACAATACAGATGAACCTGGAGGATATTATGCTAAGTGAAATAAGCCAGACACTGAAAGACAAAGACTGTATGATCTCAGTCATATGCAGAATCTTAAATGTAAAAGTTGAATAACTAGAAACAGAGAGTAGGATAGTGATTCAGTGGGAGGGAGAGGAGGAAATAGGAAGAAGCAGGCTAAAGGGTATACAAATTTGCAGTTAGATAGGCTGCATAAGTCTAGGGATATAATATACAGAATGAGGATTATAGTTAGTAATATTGTATTGTGTACTGAAAATTTGTCAAGAGAGTAGATTTCTACAGTTTTTATCACACACACCCATGAATATGTTAATTTGTTTGACTGCTATAATCATTTCACTATGTATATGTATATCAAAACATCATGTATACCTTCAAACATCTTGTACCCCTTAAATTGATACAATATAAAATTTTTTTAAAGTTAGGTGACTTGCTTATAATTCATTAGTTTATTCAACAGTATTTGTTGAGCATGTACTGTGTGCTGTGTACGCTGAGTTAGGTTGCAGTGGGTAGAGCAATGAATAAGATACACTAGATCCCTGATCCCTGCCTCGTTAATATGCTAGACACAAAAGGACAAATATTGTAGCGTTCCATTTATATAAGTATCTACAAAAAGCAAACTCATGGAGTCAGAAAGCCACATTAGAGGGCTGGGGGAATAGGAGAGCTATATTGCTTAATGATTACAGTTTCCGTTGGGGTGATGAAAAAGTTTTGGAAATAGGTGGTGACAACCATTATATATCATTGTGTATGTAATCAATGTCACTGAATTTTACACTTAAACATGGTTTAAATGGCAAATTTGAGTTGTACACTTTAAATGGGTGAATTGTATGTTATGTGAATCATATCTCAATAAAGCTGTTTTAATAAAAGAAAAAGAAAGATCCCTGTCTCGTTAAGCTTATAACCTGATGGGAAGAGACATACAATAAACAGAGAAAGTCATTTTAGATTGCAATAAGTGCTGTGATGGAAATTAATTAGGTGATATAATAGAAAATAAGTGGAAAAGGACCTACTTTAGATTAAATTGTCAAATAACCCTTATTGAGGAAGTGACTGTTGAGCTTAGATATGAATGATGACAAGGAACTAGCCATGCAACCAGCTAAGGAACAGAAAGTTCCTGAAGGTCATGGGAATAGCAAGGGCAAAGTCCCTGAGGTAGGAAAGAGCTATGTTGAGGTAACAGATGGAAGGCTGATGTGGCAGGAGTGTAGTAATTGAGTGGCAGAGGTACCCAGGGAGCATAGCACATAAAACCTCAGAGACCACAGCAGAGTTTCCTAAATTATTCTAAATACAAAGGGAAACCATTGAGGGAAGATTTAAGCAGGAAAGTGGCATGATTTGATATGTTTTTTCCCAACGATCATTCTAGCTACTACTTTTTTTTGGCCCCACCCACCCATCTCCACATTCTAGCTACTTTAATGGATTGCAGGGAACTAGAGTTGAAGCAGAGTTACCAGTTAGAAGGCTATTTCAGAAGACCAGATTAGGGGCAATGGTGGTTTGGATCAGGATGGTAGGGGTAGAGATGGAGAGAAGTGAACAGATTTGAAATATATTATGGGACATGAACTAGTGGACTGAACGTGGGAGATGAGGGAAAAAAAGGAATGTCAAGAATGACTCCTAGGTTTTGTGTATGAGCAACTCCTTTAATGTTACTGCCATTTATTGAGATGGAGAAAGATCCAGGAGATGGGAGTGGGGCAACCAAAAGATCTTCTTTGCAAATGTTAAGTTTGAGTTACCTATTAGAAATCCAAGTAGACAACAGGATATATAAGTCTGGATCTCAGGACTGGAGGTCAGTACAGGGTATAGAAATTTGGGACTCATCAACATAAGGATGGTATTTAAATCCAGAGAACTAGATGAGATTACCCAGGGAGAGAACGCAGAGCTGAAAAGAGAGAGAGACAAATACAGACACACACGTACAGTGGGATTTAATCCTGGGAAATTACATTTAGAAGTTGAATAGAGGAGGAAGAACCAGCAAAAACTGAGAGGAATGGACAGTCAGGTAGGGAGAAAATGAAGAGAGAGTAGTAATTTGGAAACTAAGAGGAGTAAATTTCTGAATAGAAGAAGTCATCAGTATGTCCAGTTATGGGTTTGTAACTGGAGATGACTATGGGATTAAGGGAAGTTTCTTTTTGTTTTTGTTTTTGTTTTCAACCTGTTTGTTTTGTGGGAATGTAGAATGGTTTGTTTGCTTTGTTTTTTAAGATGGCAGATATCAAGGCATGTTTATGCTGATGAGAGTGAGCCTTTGCTCTTGCCACTTATCCCAAATTGCCTTTTTCAGATGCATGAAGGATGGTGGGCTCTGGGTAAGGAAGAGAACAGGGAAAAAGTCCAGCTCATTATTTATCTTATAAAAGGAAGACTTTTGATAGGTATGATATAAATGTATAGTTCTTAACCACAACTCACACCATACTGTGAATATATTTTTAATGTGAAGATGAATTGGCCATCTATATAGGCATTGAATTAGTTTAACTTTTGAATACAGTGAAGAGAGCTATACTGAAACTAAATAATTTTCTTCCAGATTGTTGGTACTGAGCCTTTAGTAGATTTTCTGAATAGTTTCACATGAGTGTGCCAACTGTACAGAATTTAAGTGACAGATTCCTTTTTCTTCTAGAGCAGCAGTGTAATCAGTCCCTGGTTCCTTGGGGATCCCCAACACCCTCAGTAGGTCTGGGAGGGCGGAATTATTTTCATAATAATACTAAGACATTTTTGCCTGTTTCACTGTATTGACATTTACATGATGGTGGCTAAAATTGCTGGCCACTTAGAACAAATCAAGGCAGAGGGACTAAACTCAGCTAGCAGTATTTGTCTTCTGTAAGACTGTGTACTCATAGTTTATATATATATATTTAAAATGGGGTTCAATTAAGAATGTCCTTAATGAAGCAGTAAAAATTATTGATTATATTAAATCATGACCCCTGAGTGCACACCTTCTTAATATTCTGTGTGTTGGAAAGAGAATATGCATAAATCACTTCTGCTGCATACTGAAGTACAGTGGTTGTTTCAAGGAAAAGCACATGTGCAATCGAGTTGCTAAGTGAACTACCTTCTTTTTTAAAAGCCTTGTCTTTACTTGAAAGAATGACTGACAAATTATGGTTATTTAGACTTAAGTATTTGGCAAACATTTTCTCAAAACTGAATGAAGTGAGCCTGTCTCTTAAAGGAAATCAACTGATGATAAAATTCAGGATTTTAAATGAAAATTAGAATTCCAGATCGCTTGTGTCTGCCACCATGAGATTGGCAGCTGCCCAATCCTTAAGGATTTTTTTGATAAGATTGGTAGTGATAATAACACATGTGATTTTTAAATAGTTTATAATGGAATGTGTCAGCATTAAAAATATATATAACTCAATGAGCCAATGTTTTCCAAATGACCATTGTATAATGCTATGAAATCATACGTAGGTAAAGATCCTTTCAAAGTGCCAGAAAGACCAATGGATTTTAATGTAAAAGAGTATGAAAACTTTATTGATAGGGTTTCAGATTCTGCATTGCTACTAGTACCTTTAAAAAGCTATTACTTAATGAGGTTGGGAGTAGTATCAAACAAGAATATCCACAACCATCTGAAAAAGCACTTAAAATACTCCTTTCTTTTTCAGCTGCGTATCTGTATAAGGCTGGATTTTCTTACTAAACAACACATGGTAACAATGAGTGCAGAAGACAATGTGAGACTCCAGCTGGCTTCTATTAAGCTAGACATTGCAAAACAGACTTGCAAAAATGTAAAACAATGTCACTCATCTCACTAAGTTTCTTTTTTGGAAAATTTGCTTATTTTTCATTAAAAATATTATTTATATTAACAAGTAATAGATTGCTATTGCTATTTTTGGAAGAATTCACAAACATGCAAAAGTTTTCTTAATTTCAATTTTTAATATGATAATTATTGATACATATGACCCATATAAATGAAAGCCCTTTGGGGTCCTCAGTCATTTTAAGAGTATAAAGGGATCTTGAGACTAAACTTTTGAGAACCACTGTCTTAGAGAATGTGGCCATCCAGATTTTCTGTGAAACTCTTCAATTGCTCCAAGACACATGTGTCATTTCCCCAAATGTGGAAACATAATATGAGAGACCTACCAATTTGCATTCCAGGAATGATATGTAGTACAAGTCAGAAGGCTAGCAGCTATCAGTGGATTCTTCCTTGTTGCTTTTGTAAGCCAGGCCTCTTCTCTCCTTTTCTGAAAGCTCAATATTTAAGAGTATTACTTTGAGGGTATATTGTACAAATAATAATGATGATTTACATTTGTATAGAATGTAATGGCTTTGGAGTGTGTATTTTTATTTGTGTAGCTCATTTCATACTCTATGAAGTATGTTGACCAAGTCTGTCTTTAGAGATAAGAAATTGAGCTGCTGCTATGCTGATTTCCTGGGGATGACAAAGCTATTAAATGGCAAGCAATTCAAAACCAAATCCAGTTATATCCTACTAACATTATTTGTTTTTCTTTTTAATTTGGGCCTTCCTACAATTCTGTGAGTTAGACAGGGCATAGACAATTATCTGCATTTTACAGAAGAGCCCCCTGAGACAGTGAGTTAAGTAGAAGAGCTAAAATTAGAACCTGGGGATTTCATGACTCCCTTCCTTTTACCCTATTACTTCTCTTCCCCTTCAAGTTAAGACTTCATAGAAAGTAAAAATAGCTTCTCCATCCAAAACAGCTGGGAACCCCTGTTCTGCCAAGGACGTGATCCTTCTGTAAATCTTTACTCCTGGGGCCCACAGTGCACAGCTATTTAGAAGGGATCAATGCCAGCTTCTACCCAGCAGCTTAAATTCATGTATATTTCTTTAACATACAGCCAAATGTATGTGACACATGAGAAGAAAATATGCTTTTATTTTCATAATTCTTGGAATCAAAAATATAAATTCCAAGGATGTTTTAATAGTCAAAATGCCTTTCCCCAACTACTGCATACAAAATTTGCCAATAATAATGGTGGAAGCTCTTTATAAAAAGTACTAAATTTAAAAAAAAGTTTACTGAGATATATTTCACATAACATACAATTAACCCATTTAAATTGTACAATTCAGGCCAGGCGTGGTGGCTCACACCTGTAATGCCAGCACTTTGGGAGGCCGAGGTGGGCGGATCACTTGAGGTCAGGAGTTTGAGACCAGCCTGGCCAACATGGTGAAACCCTGTCTCTACTAAAAAAATACAAAAATTAGCCGGGCAGGGTTGCAGTCGCCTGTAATCCCAGCTACTTGGGAGGCTGAGGCAGGAGTGAAGGAGTGGCTTGTACCTGGGAGGCGGAGGTTGCATGAGCCATGCCACTGCACTCCAGCCTAGGCAATAGAACAAGACTGTGTCTCAAAAAAAAAAAAAAGTATATAGTTCAGTGGCTTTTAATATATTCACCAAATTGTGCAACTATCACCACGGTCAATTATAGAACATTTTCATTGCCCCCAAAAGAAACCCTGTACCCACTAGTAGTCATTCCTCATTCCCTCAGGTTCCCCATCCCTGGGCAGCTACCAGCCTACTTTCTGTTTCTATAGATTTGCTGTTCTGGACATTTCTTACAAATGGAATCATAAAATATGTGGTCTTCTGTAACTGGCTTTATTTGCTTTCCATAGGCTCAAGGTTTATCCATTTTGTAGCATGTATGAGTCATTCCTTTTTGTAGCCAATTTTTTTTGCAGTTGGAAGATGTGTATGTATATACGACATGTTATTTATCCATTTACGAGTTGATAGACTTTTGGGATGTTTCCATTTCTTGGCTGTTATAAGAATGCTGTTATGAACATTTGGGTACAAGTTTTTGTGGGGATATAGTTTTCATTATTTTGGGGTGTATACCTAGGAGTGGAATTGCTGAGCCATATGGTAGCTATGTTTAAATTTGAGGAATTGCCAGACTGTTTTCTAAAGTGGCAACACCATTTTACATTCCCACTACTAATGTACAAAGGTTCTGTATTAGTCTGTTCTCATGCTGCTAATAAAGACATAGCCATGACTGGGTAATTTATAAAGGAAAGAGGCTTAATGGACTCACAGATCCACATGACTAGGGAGGCCTCACGATCATGGTAGAAGGCAAAGTAGAAGCAATTTTACTGTGTTACATGGCAGCAAGCAAGAGGGCGTGTGCAGGGGAACTCCCCTTTATAAATCTGATCTCACATCAGATCTTGTGAGACTTATTCACTATCACAAGAACAGCACAGGAAAGACCTGCTCCCATGATTCAATTACCTCCCACTGGGTCCCTCCCATGACACGTGGAATTATGGGAGCTACAATTCAAGATGAGATTTGGGTGGGGACACAGCCAAACGGTATCAGGTTCCAATTGCTCTGTATCCTCACCAACACTTATTTTTCTTTTTTATTATAGCCATCCTACTAGTTGTAAATGGTTTTGACTTGAATTTTTTCTAATGGCTAATGATGTTGAGTGTCATTACTCTTTTATGTACTTATTGGCCATTTGTATATCTTCTTTGGAGAAATAACTATTCCAACCCTTTGACCATTTTTAAATTAGGTTGTATTTATTTATTTATTTATTTATTTATTTATTAGAGGCAGATGACAAGACCCCATAATAAAAAAATTAGCAGGGTGTGGTGGTGTCCAACTGTGGTTCCAGCCACTTGGGAGGCTGAGATGGGAAAATCACCTGAGTCCAGGAGGTCAAGGCTGCAGTGAGCTGTGATTGTACCATTGCACTCCAGCCTGGGCGACATGGCAAACCCTGTCTCAAAAAAAAAAAAAGATGTCTATTGAAAGAATGAATGATGAATGAGTCAGTCAGAGATTGTTCTTTCCTCTTTAAGGTTGATAATTAAACAACTCATTTCTGTTTAATGTATATTATATATTGTATATATAAAATATATAATATATGTAAATATTATATATACACACACACACATCTCTTGTATCTATTTAATGTTTTAATTGAGGTCAAAAAATTATATTTATTTATACATAGTTTTTTCCAAAAGTTCTATTCTGTGTTTAAAGGGATAACATACTGCATTTTTCTAGTTGCAAATGATTGGTTAAGTGTTCATGTATTAATTTTTCTGAGAGCCATCATTAGCTATTAACCAATGTGCTAGACATTTTTAATGTCATTGACTATGATTACTGTACTCTTTGATTGCTGAAAGTGTAAATTGATAAAACTTTTTATCTCAGTTGGACATTTTTTCCTTTTAAACTGAAACTACAAATACAGTGCCAAAAATATATTTCCAAATGAAAAATAAAACAATTGTAACTTACATATATAGCTTATTTTAGGGCACAGGGCCCTTTCACATATATTATTTCTTTTATCCTTTGCAGAAACCCTTAAAGTGTTGGTATTATTATCTTCATTTTACATTTAGATAAACTGAGCCTCTGAAGGGTGAGTCTTTTGCTCATAGTCACACAGCTGTTAGATAAACAAAGAAATTCAGACCCTAATATCTGACTCTAAGTTCAGGAGACCGTACTTGCTGCTTTCCTTTTGTCAGACAGGAAGAAACATCTTACATAACAGGCTTCCCTTTTTTTCTGTGGCTAATAGCTCAATATAAATTTAGCACCTTACTTGGCTTACCATCTTTGATAACATCTATCTCTTCCTTTATCCTAGTTGTTTTAAAAGATTCACTTTAGCCTTTTTACTTGTTCAGTAATAAGATTAGCCTTTTCCAAAGCACCACCATGAGTGACATCTTTTGCTGGGAGGAAAATATTTAAAGAATGTACCTCAACTGAAATGAAATATGCAGTGCTAGCTAGTTCAGAGAGGATGGCATATAAATTCTCACTATACTTTTTATGATTAAGCATCATGAAATGAATTATGAGCTATATGAAAAATGAATTTGGTCTGATTTTAGTTGGCATCAAAGTGACCGGCATAGCTTAGGTGTAAGCTCTTTAAAGAGATGAGCTCCAAAAAAATGGTTTATATTGCCTGATTCAAAACCCAAAGTCTCTAGATTTTAGGGGAAGGTAGCACAGTAGATTTGAAATTCTAAATTTTGGAACTTTTAATGATGTTATGTTTTGCTAATTTATCTTTTTGAAAGAGAGACTACTTTCACCAACATACCCACAGTTATCTGTGGATAGACCCATATCATAATTCTGTATTTAAAATAATAACTTTGTAGATATTTCTGTAAATTATTGGTTTAAAAATATATATATTATAAATGCAGACTAGCACTTTACATTTAAATAATTAAATTATTTAGGTAGATGCAATGAAAGGAATGAAATTTTGTCATCCACAGATTTCAAAAAGGTGGATGAAATGATTTAATGGAAAGAACATAACACCAACAATTAGAAATTTCAAGGTTAGACCGGGTGCGGTGGCTCACACCTGTAATCCCAGCACTTTGGGAGGCCGAGGTGTGCGGATCACGAGGTCAGGAGATTGAGACCATCCTGGCTAACACAGTGAAACCCTGTCTTTACTCTACTAAAAATACAAAAAAAAAAAAAAAAAAAAAAAAAAATTAGCTGGGTGTGGTGGCGGACACCTGTAGTCCCAGCTACTCAGGAGGCTGAGGCAGGAGAATGATGTGAACCCAGGAGGCGGAGCTGGCAGTGAGCTGAGATCGCACCACTGCACTCCAGCCTGGGCTACAGAGCAAGACTCTGTCTCAGAAAAAAAAGAAATTTCAGGGTTATATTCCATCACTTTTAACTTGCCAGTACCTTGGGCAGATAGTATCTTTCTGCTGTGTCTCAGACTTCTCATCTAAAGAATCAAAAAGTTGAGTATTATGTGCCCTGAGCCCCATGTCAGCACCATGTTCTTTACATCTCTGCTTCTTAACTTTACCACTCTTATAATTTAGTCTGTTCATTGCTTTTTCAAAATCACTTTTAAGTTGTTTGACTCGCGACAGCATGATCAAAAAGGTTTTAAGATTCTTGCAAGGTGCAGTGGCTCAAGCCTGTAATTCCAACATTTTGGGAGGCCAAGGCAGGAGGATCACTTGAGCTCAGGAGTTCGAGACCAGCCTGGGCAGCACAACAAGACCTCATCTCTACAAAAAATTAAAAAAATTATCCGGACATAGTGGCTTGTGCCTGTAGTCCCAACTACTCAGGAGGCTGAGGCAGGAGGATTGTTTGAGCCTAGGTGTTAAAGGCTTTAGTGAGCTATGATTGTGCCACTGCACTCCAGCCAGGGCGACAGTGAAACCCTGTCTCAAAAAAAAGAAAAAAAAAAAGATTAAGATGAAATGTACAAATAGTATGCTTATATATTGGTGATTTTGTTTTTAGAAAATATTCAGAGATTTATGGAGTACCATACTAGGCTTATGTAAGTCCAATACAATATGGACTTATAAAACTAATGATAATACTATCTTACATTTATGTAGTGCCTTACAGTTTTCAAAGCATTCTCATAAGAAGCTCATATACTTACCCTCACAATTTTTTCTCTGAAGTAGAATTAGTAAGAATTTCTGCCTTTGATTTAGTAGTTCATCTTGGGAACTCTAGCATAAGGAAATAATTCTAACTTCCTGAAAACAGTTAAATATGTTTATCATAACTGAAAATAGTTATCTGGGAATAGGTTAAATAAATGAAGGAGCATTGCCTTCATTCGTTTTCTGCTGCTATAACAGAATATCATGGACTAGGTAATTAATAAAGAAAAGAGATTTGTTTGGCTCATGGTTCGGGAAGCTGGGACGTCTGAGAGCATGGCACCAACATCAAGCAAGCATCAACCCATGGCAGATGTGAGATGGAGAGAGGAAAATTGGACTGAATTCACCCCTTTATTAGGAGCCCACTCTTGTAGTAATGGCATTAATCCATTCATGAGGGTGGAGCCTTCATGACCTAATCACCTCTTAAAGGTTCCACCCCTTAATACTGTGACAGTGGCAACCAAATTTCAACATGAGGTTTGGAGGGGACATTTAAAACATAGCAAGCATTCACTGTGATTAAAATTTTTGTGAAGATTAGGTAGCATAGAAATACCTTTGTTATTAGTGTAGAAAAGAGAGCATGGGGTTGAAGGCACACTGTGGTTACAGATATTAAAATAATTTTAAAGGCACCAAACAAACTACCCTGTATATAGGAGGGAAAAGACTGCCTGGTTGTATACCAAAACTGTGTTACATGTTTGTTTTGTGGGACTTCAGATAATCCTTCTACTTACCTTTTTATTTATTTTTATTGAGCACATATTGCTTTTATAATAGAATATATATATATAAATTATTTTTTTCAGACAAAAACTGAATCCTAGTGAAGTTTTTTGACATTCTCAAAATGGTACAAATGGTTAATGGTGAACCTGGGACAAGAAACCAGTTTTCTTCTCTTAATCTATTCGTTAGTACGTTCAAATTATAGAATATTCCAGCAGATACAGAAATTTCAGCTTTAAAGAGGCTGGTCAAGCTATGTATTTTTTCTCAGTAACGTGTACTTCCTCTTTAAGATTCATTAGCCCATAGTCAAATTGACAAAATCAGTGTTATTTTTTCATACTTTGTAAAACACAGCTATATTCCCTCTAGCTGAGTATGTTTCCAGACAGTATATGTGGTTAGGAGAACAAGTACAGACAGACATGGATTCACTTCCTGATCAGTGTTGCCACTTGATAACTGTGGCCTTGTGAGTTTCTAGGCCTCAGTTTCCCTACTTAAATAATGAGATTCACAAATTCCGTTGTAAAACGTAATGCTAACTTTTCTAAACTGCCCTAAAACATTTCTGTGTCTGTCCCCATTGTGTTCACATTTATAAATAGTAGTTGTATTTCATTGTTTCCAGATTCCCTTGCAAGGCAGCTTAATGCCTTGGAAAGAGCTCTAGATTGTGTTCTAGCTTCAGAGTTGCTTCTAACTCTTTGGTTTTCTAACTCATTGTCCCTCTTATTCACTGTAACATTGAGCCAGTCTCTCTCTTTTTTTTTTTGAGATGGTCTCGCTCTGTTGCCCAGGCTGGAGTACAATGGCGCAATCTTGACTCACTGCAACCTCCACCTCCTGGGTTCAGGCCATTCTCCTACCTCAGCCTCCCGAGTAGCTGAGATTACAGGCACCTGCCACCACGCCCAACTAGTTTTTATATTTTTAGTAGAGACAGAGTTTCACCATGTTGGCCAGGCTGGTTCTGAACTCCTGACCTCCAATGATCTGCCCGCCTCTGCCTCCCAAAGTGCTGGGATTACAGGTGTGAGTGACCGACCGCACCTGGCCAAGTTAGTCTCTAATTTTTCTAAGCCTTGGCTCCTTCTAAAATAAGAAACTTGAAGTAAATAATCTTTTCATTTCCTTCTAACAGTAATATTCTACAATTTCTCCCAGTCTAGTTTTGAGCACATGTATGATTTTAAAAAAAAACAATAATAAACCGGTTACTCTTAAATTAGAGGTGATGGGAGGGTAGATTGATCATTTAAAAAAATAATTTGACATTATGCAGTGAAATTGAAGATTTGTATATGAGAATGTTTATAGCACCACTATTCATAATAGCTGAAGATTAGAAACAACTTAAAATATATCGACAATATGTTCATCATTAATTAAGGTATATTTATGTAATCAAATACTGTGCAGCCATGAAACCATAGCAATGATAGGGACGAATTTCACCAGCATGATGTAGAGTAAAAGAACCAAAGCAAAAAAAAAAAAAAAAATCCACAATCATCCTCTATTTATGTATAGTTCAAAACCAAGCAAGATTAAACGATATTATTTAGGAATGAAAACTATACAAAAAAACAAGGGTAGTGACTAACTACCTCTGGAAGTGAGAAGGGGTTATAATGAGAAAGGGGCTTGTGGAAGGCTTCTGGGGCACCAGCAGCATTGTATTTCTTGACCGAGTGGTGGTAACACAGGGGTTTGCTTTATAATCCTGATCCTTTAAACAATGTGTATGTGTGTTTCATTTATTTTTCTATATGCATATTATATCTTGCCATTAAAAAATCATAGGTGGCTAGGCACGGTGGCTCACGCCTGTAATCCCAGCACTTTGGGAGGCCGAGGCGGGCAGATCACGAGGTCAGGAGATCGAGACCATCCTGGCTAACACGGTGAAACCCTGTCTCTACTAAAAATACAAAAAATTAGCCAGGCGTGGTGTCGGGCGCCTGTAATCCCAGCTACTCGGGAGGCTGAGGCAGGAGAATGGCATGAACCCGGGAGGCGGAGCTTGCAGTGAGCGGAGATGGCACCACTGCACTCCAGCCTGGGCAACAGAGCGAGACTCCGTCCCAAAAAAAAAAAAAAAAAAAACATAGGTAACAATTTTTTAAACTGTATAACACTATTTCATCAAATTCTTGTCATCTCTTGAAAAATAATTGCCATTACAAAGGATGGCAAGGACTTCGTATTTCAGCATCATATATCAGAAGAAAAAGAATTTTCAGCTAGAGCGCTTAAGCATTGTCTTAGCTTTACACATAAGAATATCTACTTTGGGCCAGGTATGGTGGCTCATGCTTGTAATCCTAGCACTTTGGGAGACCGAGGCAGATGGATCACTTGAGCCCAGGAGTTCAAGACCAACCTGAGCAACATGATGAAACCTCATCTCTACTAAAAATGCAAAAAAATCCTAGCTGGGTGTGGTGATTCACACCTCTAGTCCCAATTACTTAGGAGGCTGAGGTGGGAGGATTGATTCCCAGGAGGTCAAGGCCACAGTGAGCTGAGATTGCACCACTGCACTCCAGCCTGGGTGACAGAGACCGTGTCTCAAAAAAAGAGTATCTGCTTTTGATCACACAATATATCCTTGTAACAAATCTGCATGTGTACCCCCTGAATCTAAAAGTTTAAACTAAAACAAAAAAGAATATCTGCTTTTATTGATACCTATATGCAAAGAGTGTCTTATTCTTTATTCCTAGTCTTCACAATAACCTTTCAGGTTTTTGTTATTATCCTCATTTTACAGGTGAGGAAACAGGTATAGAATATTTTGGTGGATGAGGAATTTTTAAAAAATAATTGAAACATCTGCATGGACCATTTTTGGTATTTTTTTTTCTCCTTCATGTTATAAAAAGATAAATTACAAACAAGATTTGTGACCATTTTAGGGATGTATACTATTAAAATAAGCCCTAAACAAAAGAATAGACTGAGTTTTGGCTGTTTTTTCTTTCAAATGTACCTGGAAGTATGTAAGATTTCCCAAATGCCTAATAGTAAACGAGCTTTTGGGTATTGGGGCATTTGCCACTTATAGGTCAAGCCCCTGCACTGAGTGTTGAAATAAAGCCTAATTAGAAGAGAAAGTGAGAGAAACAATGTCTACATTTTTAATACACTAATTGTGGTGGTCACTCTATACAAAGTTTGCTGAACTATGACCACTAAGCTAACCGGGAAGAGGAAATTACTTTGTATAACCAAGCCAAAAAATTTTTTTTTAGATTTAGTTCATAATGTCACTTAAGATTCTTCTGAAAGGCTTGTGAACCTTTGCCTTCTTTTAATAAGCCTTCATAATGACAAGGTCCCCTGAGAATGAAATCATCTGAACGGAATGTGCCTGTGTCTTAAAATCTGATAAACATCACTTCATGTTATTCAGGAGATCAAAAGAGACTTAAAACACGTAAATGTTACTTTCAGGTTATTATAACCAAGGAAGCCTGTGGCCCAGCTATCAAAATAACTTAGCTTTAGCAAGTTCTAAGCAGTGGGCTTAGCCAGGTTGGTTAGTGCTGCCTTAGGACTGACCGCACTGTCTTTTGAGTTGACCTGTAACTTTCAATGTAGAATGTAAGTGCTTCATCTCTGAGGCACATTTATGTGTCCCTTAGCTCCTGACACTAATTCATCATTTGCTTTATAGTAATTCCACTCAGACATCATCATCAAGCCCCAGTGGAGGCTAC
Source organism: Homo sapiens (assembly GCF_000001405.40). Classification (NCBI taxonomy): domain Eukaryota; kingdom Metazoa; phylum Chordata; class Mammalia; order Primates; family Hominidae; genus Homo; species Homo sapiens. The sequence continues at coordinate 76,084,176 of NC_000011.10, forward strand.
TAAATGATGTGAGTGGATATATTTCCTAATCAGTGACATTAGTTTATATCTCCTTATTAAGATACCCATTAAATTCATACCAGGAGAGATAACATGAACGCTAATGCACTTTACATCTTCCATCAGTGCTTTCTTATTTATTTCTATAAAGGCGGTATTAATATCTGAATTTAAGAGTCCAAGAGAATGTACCGCTTTTATTAATGGTCTAAGATCTTTTATTTTGTTAAGAAATGGAAGATGTGAAAAGCAAAGACATTTATTATCATGTTGTCATTTTTATTCTCTTTCCCTGCCTAGAACATAGCCATTAAAATATACATACTATCATTTATTTTTAAAGTTGTTAATATATTTTATATACTTTTTCCAATAAAATGTATGATCCGAGTTTTCCTGTATTTTATCTTTATAAGTTATCTTATTTTTCTCATTTTAGTCTGAAACTCAGAATATATATAGTGTTTTGTGGACGTTTTGGATATACCAGCCAAAAAGTATTAATTGAATATACTATACTAGGCTCTGGGTGGTGGTGGAGGGAAACAGAAGAAGTTGCTTTATGTGACAAATAGTTCACATGTGTATAAAATCTAATTGTTCTGGCCAGTCGCAGTGGCTCATGCCTGTAATCCCAGCACTTTGGGAGGCTGAGGAAGGCAGATCACTTGGGGTCAGGAGTTGGAGACCAGCCTGGCCAATGTGAAACCCCATTTCTACTAAAAATGCCCCCCAAAAATTAGCCAGGCATGGTGGCGGGTGCCTGTAATCCCAGCTACTCAAGAGGCTGAGGCGTGAGAATTGCTTGAACCTGGGAGGCAGAGGTTGCAGTGAGCCGAGATTGCACCATTGCACTCCAGCCTGGGGGACAGAGCGAGACCCTGTCTCAAAAAAAAAAAAAAAAAAAAAAAAAATCTAATTGTTCTGATGAATCCCCCACCACATTGCCTTAACCAGAATAGTTTGTTCAACAGATATTTCTTCATTTATTATATCCTTTTGAGACATTTGGCAAAGTTACTAATGTGATTTATCATTTGAGGAATCCATAAATTACTGTGTTCAGGAACTATAGCAACATCATGGCAATGTGGTCCCCTTTGTTTGGCTCTGGCTTTTTGCTGTTATTGCTTTCTCAGAACTGATAACTTTTTTTAACAATTAAAGTATAAATTGTGCTGGGATTGTCTGTGTCAGTGCTCGTCAAAGTGTGATCCACAGGCCAGCAGGCAGTCTGTAGTCCATAGAGCTTGTTGTCAGTCTGCAGTAAGATAAGGAAATTGTACCAAATGTGAATCAATTGTGTCACCAAACACACTACTTAGTTCAGATGCAAATTTTTCTTTTGTATCAAGACATTCTGGATGAAGGAAGCAGGGCATTTATTTATATTCTCTCACTAGCTTCTTTGTTACATACTGGCACTTTAGCCTTGGAGTTTAGGCAAATATAAAAAGCAGAATATAATATCCTTTTAAAAATCAGATTTTCTTTTTCACCTTGCAGGGACTTTATTATATATACATCTGCTTGTCTGCTACAGGGGAAACCACTCTAAGCTGGGCATTGGCAAATCACATTACTTATGTCAGTGGAAGGCACATTTAGCATTTTTCAGCATTAGGTCTTGTGATCAAGGTAAGCAGGTTTGTCATTGTCATATTTCCACGTCCTTTTCCATGTGTGTTTTTCACAACTCATCTATCAGCTTGTATTTCTGGAGCTCTTTCTACATGTCAGACACCCCATGCCTGCTGACACCCAGTGCCCTCATTCTACTCTGTTAAAGCCATGAGCCCTGAAGTTGGTGCACCACCAAAATCCACTTTCCCTCCCAGTTCCATAGTATGCAAAGTTCCATTCCCTCAGTAAGCAGATAGCTGACTAACTGAAGGGAAAACAACCTGCTTTAAATAAGTAACACGGGTAATTCACCTTCTGCTTACATATTTGTAATTTAAAATTCGGGCCTGTTAATGGAACTATATAAGACATATTTTTGAACCATGGATGCCCTCGCTTAATCATGAACTTAAATCTTTCTTTAGTTTTTTCCATCATGTATTCTAGAAAGATTTGTCTTTACACATCTGTAAAGCTGCTCACTCCTGCCCTAAAGTGGGTATTGGATTTTCCCACAACCTTTTACTTTGTTTGGTAACCTTCTTGCATGGAATAACCTTGGACAGGGAGACATGAATCCAGGAAACCAATCAGAACTATTCTTCGTATGTTTAAGGATTTAAAGTATTGGCTGTATTTTGTTTTCAGTTGTAAGTATCCTTTCATATTTGAAATTAATTAGATAGAGATTTGGTCTATTTTTTAATGTGTTCCCAGATCTTTGATGGCTTGTTAACATGATGTAGTAGACTAGGAACTTCTAGTTTTGCTTTCATACTTTTAAAAACTAAAGTGCATGTTTCATAAAATTAAAGTGCCTCAAGAGTCAGCTAATATAAAGTAATATTTTACCAAGGTCATAAGTGATTTAATATGAAAGATCATATTTTATCATAAGCATAACAGACTTAACAAAATCTAGACAGACAAATTGCTAGTTTAGAAATGATCTGAACTTATTTTTCCCAAAAAAACAAAGACCCGCAAGACTGTGTATATATGGCAACAGGCATTATTTCATTGATCCCCAAGGCTGTGGATCTAGCAGCAGCTATTATAACATGCTTTGTTTTCATTATTGCAATGCTTAGTTAGTCATCTGAATTCTAGCTGTTGCTGTTTATAGCAAGAAATAGCATCCCAGCTGAGGCAGCACAGCTAGTCATACCTTTTTATTGATGTAATTTAACTTATTTTGTTTCCTTTCCTAGTGTCTAACATTTTGTGAAGCCCTAACATAAATTATTGGCTTGTATAACCCACTGCATCAACTTCACTTGGAGATTTGCTGCCTATGCAGTTCCTTAATTTTCAAGTGTGAGAGATTTATTTTTCCTCAGTGAGTCCTAATGTTTCTACATGCGCACACACATACATGTGCTTGTGAATGTGTGTGTAGGTACATAGGAATGCCAGTGAGAAAGTCAAACATATTCTTGGTTAATTCCTGCATGATATTCTGGAGAAGTATTTACAATTACAGATATGAGTTGCCATGTTCTAAAATTGACCGGTGAGCAGTATGGTAGGTAGTGTTTTTAAATTTTGTCCCTACTTTGTTTTCTTTTCCTTAGAGACTCTGACTAATTAGGACTCTGCACGCTTCATGTCCTCAGTGAATACTTATTGACTGCATCACAGACCAATTGATTTATCATACACCAATGTAAATGGCTAAAATACTGCCACAGATGATAATCATAATTACTGTGTGTCAGACAAGGCACTTCAGTCCTCATAGCATGAGGACTGTAATATAGATGGAATTCTCCCTGGTTTACAAATGAGAACTTCGAAGCTCGGAAAAATTAAACAAATTGCCCTTGTTATACAGCTTTATAAATGAAGGATCAAGATACTTTATCAAAGTATTTTTATGTGTATTATTTCCTTTGATCCTTATAGCATTCCTTAAGGTGGACAGAACAAGTCCTTCTCTATTCCCATTTTAGAACTGAGTAAAGAGGTTTAGTAATTTACCCATGGTTACTACAGCGGGCCTGATTGTCAGGACTATCCTCTGAACCCTGATACTACTTGGCATTTGTAAGCGTTTAGTTGTTTTGGTTTTTTGTTTTGTTTTGTTTTGTTTTTGAGACAAGATCTCACTCTGTTGCTCAGACTGGAGCGCAGTGGTGCAATCACAGCTCACTGCAGCCTAGACCTCCCTGGGGTCAGGTGATCTTCCCAGTAGCTCCCTGGGGTCAGGTGGCTACTCCTAGCCTCTCGAGTAGCCAGGACTACAGGCATATGCCACCACACCTGGCTGATTTTTATATGGTTTTTTGAGTCAGAGTTTTGCCACGTTGCCCAGGCTGGTCTCAAACTTATGGGCTCAAGCGATAGTGATGGGATTACAGGCATGAGCCACCACATCCAGCCCCATTTGTGAAAATTCATAAGCCAGTAATGACATCAGTGATACCATTATAGCGCCCCTATAGTAGTTTCCATTGGCTGATTTTTGTCACTTAAGTAATTCTTCATTGCCTCTACTAAGGTAGAGTCCTGCTGAAATACTTGGCATTTAGGTAAGCACTTTTATAATGAGAAAAACGAGGACGAGGGGTGGGAAGTTTGCAAATCTGTTATGTCCACCCCTGCTTAAAACCTTGTCATCGTTTTCCATAGGCTACCTTCCCCCAAATCCCATCTTCTCCTATGCCACCCCCAACCCCCACTTCCGCCCACCCGCGCCCCCTCCCCCGCCTTGCAACAAGACTCTTTTGCATGGCAAAGTCTTCACATGATCTATCTGTCTTCTCTCTCACGTTTCAGCCTCAACTCCTGCAACCACTTACCCCAAAACCTCCGCCACTGGCCCTTTATGCCAGGAAAGCTGAACATCACTGAAAGGCCCATCTTCTGCTTTTGCTTTTATATTCCCTTTGCCTGAAATTTCCTTCCCCTTTTGTCCATGTGGTAAACTCCCACTCATTCTCCAGGATCCAACCAGGCCAACTTCTCTTCTGTGAAGCCTTTCTTTGCCCTCCTGAACAGAGTTATCACCCATCTTCTATTCTTCCTGCTCACCTTGTTTTAAAAAACAAGTAATCGATCAAATATGTGAATATTCTTACATTTCTGTTGTTATTTTGCATGTATGTCTCCCCTACTAAATTAATAAGTTCCTTAAGGGCCAGAGACTGAGGTTCATTCATCTCTTTATCCAGACACAGTAGCTAGCACATAACATGGACTCAGGAAAGGTTTGCACATGCATGATAGACTGAACCAGTGACCTTCCTGCATGGACTAAAAACTTAAGAACTCATCTCTGAAAGGAATAGCCTTCCATTTAAAAGGCAAAGGGAGTTCACATTTGTATCAAATGAAATTACAGTCTTACTTATAGATATGCCTGGCTTTGCTTGTGTCTAGGAAGATAATGCAGGGCTTTGAGAAGTGGGGTGAGATTAAGGAGAAATTATACAGTAAGCGAACATTTTCCCCAAAATATATGCCTGTGGTAATAAGTTGTTATATGTTGAGTGACTTTTTCTCTTCTAGTCAGAGAGCTGACAAATATTTTCAAAGTGTTATAGTGTTTTCTAAGTGTTATTCTTTCACTGACAATTTTATTTAATAATTTTAGATACAGTAGTGGCTCTAGAGCTAACTGAATTACTGGCTTATATGTAATTCAGCTAGTATATTCATATTGACAGTATAGGAGAGATGATTACCAGCTCACAAAGAATGCATGACGCGATGCCATTTGAAGAATTGAAAATGGAAGGAAGGGGGTATGTGAATTTAGATAACTCAACCCTAGAGTTCTGGCCTATTAGCCCTTTGGTTTTAGTTTTATAAAATTATACATGCTGTTAAAGAGTCAAATAGATCCTTAAGGCTAATTGTGAGAAACAGTATTTCTGCTTGTTTCCCAGAGGTAACGACTTTCAACAATCTTAGCAGATTATGTTACTACTTGCCTCTAAATAATTTGATAATGTTGATGCTTCTTGGATTTTGTTCGATTTCTTCTGATTTCTTCAGTAGGAGATGAGACTTTAGTTCCCTTTCACACATTCATATCCCCTTTCTGTTCCCCCATTCTACCTGAGAAATAAAAATAAATTCCTAAGCCTCCCAACCAACTGAACATACCCCGTTTTGGCCAGAAGGACCCTGGAGAAACCCTAAAAACTGAGTTTCCAGCTGTGATGGGATAGGAAGTTGGACCTGCCTTATTCTACCTCCGCCCTCGCTAGCCACCATTCGGTGTTCTTTCCCAAGGGCTAAATGGAAACCAGCCCTTTAGAAAGACTTCCTGCACCTCTGATTTCAACCAATCTCCTGACTGCACCTCCATTTTTATGTTTCAAATGCAGCAACTGGTCAGCATTTCTTCCTGATAAGAGACCACACTGACTGTGGAGTGGTTCTGCCAGTCTACAGAGGCTGTGCACAGAGGCCTTTCATGTCCTCGCTTTACCTTTTGATGTACAGGGCCTACTTGTAATACATTTAAATGTTAAGTCTCTACCCCAAAGTGAGCATGGTGTGCAGACTGTATACATATTAGCCTACTACGCCTGCTTGTGCTTCCCCTTCATGAATATTCATAACTCCTCCTATAACCTGTTGAATGTATATACTTAGCCAACCCACTCAGCATAAATTCCCATTCCCTTTAACCCTCCCTGGCAGTGCCTATTTCCAGCTTCTGGCCAGAGGCTATCCTTCCCAGTCTGTCAGAATGGCTACCTGCAGGCTGCAACCCTTTATGAGAAATAAAGCTCTCCTTTCCAGACTTAGGAACCTTGTCATTCTTCAGTTGACCTACCGTTATAGGTTTTCAAATTACTTTGTCTATATAAATACCACTCAGATAAGCCATGTAGTATACTGTGATTACTTTTTTTCCCCTAATGTTTTTTATTTCCTTTGGAGCTTATTTTCTTATTTTTTCTTTGATTAGTTTTCAGTGTGCTTATAACTAATTTCATCCTAAATTCTCTACCAGTTATCTAATCACCTCTCAAGATATTCAGACATGTTAGATATACAATAAATTACATATCGGGTATTCACACAATTTCATCTTTGGGAGAAATCTCTCCTAGAACTTCTGATCTGCTGCAGTCTGTCATATTGTTTTCTATGGCTTTACCATAATCCTAGGGATTTCCATAATTTCTCTTATGTTGAAACCTCTATTTTCTAGATAAATCCTCACAAAGAATGCATGACATGATGTCTTCCTCTTTCTCAGTGTTCTCCCTTGTTTTGTTGGAGCATATCCTTCTATAGCTTCCTAAGAAAGCATGCATGGAGATAAATTTTTGAGACCTTGTAAATCTGAAAATTATCTTTATTCTTCTCTGACTGAAATGGAATGTTAGGCTGGAAACAATTTTCCTTAAGATTTTGAAATCATTGTTCTATTATATTTTAGCTTCCAGTGTTACTGAAAAATCTAGAGATATTTGATTCCCCCTTTTTGTATGTGAAATATTATTTACTTATTTTGCTTTGCCTTGCTTTTTATTTTTAGAAATTTGTAGGAACTGTATTTGTGCCCAATGTTCTGAAATCTCAGACTGATAAGTCTGTTTTTATCTGTTGTGCTCGGCACTCAATGGATCTTTTTAACCCAAAAGCTCAAATCATTAAGTTCTGGGAAAATTCCTTGAATTACTTCATTAATGGTTTACTCCCTTTTATTTTTTTTTATATCTCTTCCTGGACTACTATCGTTTAGATATTAGGTTTCCTGTACTGCTCCTGTAATTTTCTTACTTCTTCTCTCCTGTTTTCTATCTCTTTGTCTTTTTGTTCTACCTCTGGAGAGATTTGCTTACCTTCATCTTCTTGCCCTTGTGTTTTTCATTTTGGCTTTCATATTTTTAATTTCTAAGAGTTCTTTTTCTCTGAATAGCATCTTATTGTTCTATGTGTGTAATATCTTCTCTTTTCCACTTGAGCATATTAATGATTTTTGAAATTTTTATTGTTGTTTTTGTTTTGGACTTGATATATCATTTGTATTAGAAGCTTTTCTTAGAAGTTTGGAGATACCCGATTGTATATTTGTTTTTTTTTTATTATTCTTTAAGTTCTAGGGTACATGTCCACAACGTGCAGGTTTGTTACATATGTATACATGTGCCTTGTTGGTGTGCTGCACCCATTAATTCGTCATTTACATTGGGTATATCTCCTAATGCTTTCCCTCCCCCTTCCCCCGACCCCACAACAGGCCCCGGCGTGTGATATTCCCCTTCCTATGTACAAGTGTTCTCATTGTTCAATTCCCACCTATGAGTGAGAACATGCTGTGGTGTTTGGTTTTTTGTTCTTGAGATAGTTTGCTGAGAATGATGGTTTCCAGCTTCATCCATGTCCCTACAAAGGACATGAACTCATCCTTTTTTATGGCTGCATAGTATTCCATGGTGTATATGTGCCACATTTTCTTAATCCAGTCTATCATTGATGGACATTTGGGTTGGTTCCAAGTCTTTGCTATTGTGAATAGTGCCGCAGTAAACATACATGTGCATGTGCCTTTATAGCAGCATGATTTATAATCCTTTGGGTATATACCCAGTAATAGGATGGCTGGGTCAAATGGTATTTCTAGTTCTAGATCCTTGAGGAATCGCCACACTGTCTTCCACAATGGTTGAACTAGTTTACAGTCCCACCAACAGTGTAAAAGCATTCCTATTTCTCCACATCCTCTCCAGCACCTGTTGTTTCCTGACTTTTTAATGATCGCCATTCTAATTGGCGTGAGATGGTATCTCATTGTGGTTTTGATTTGCATTTCTCTGATGGCCAGTGATGATGAGCATTTTGTCATGTGTCTGTTGGCTGCATAAATGTCTTCTTTTGAGAAGTGTCTGTTCATATCCTTCACCCACTTTTTGATGGGGTTGTTTTTTTTCTTGTAAATTTGTTTGAGTTCTTTGTAGATTCTGGATATTAGCCCTTTGTCAGATGAGTAGATTGCAAAAATTTTCTCCCATTCTGTAGGTCACCTGTTCACTCTGATGATAGTTTCTTTTGCTGTGCAGAAGCTCTTTAGTTTAACTGGATCCCATTTGTCTATTTTGGCTTTTGTTGCCATTGCTTTTGGTGTTTTAGACATGAAGTCCTTGCCCATGCCTATGTCCTGAATGGTATTGCCTAGGTTTTCTTCTAGGATTTTTATGGTTTTAGGTCTAACATTTAAGTCTTTAATCCATCTTGAATTAATTTTTGTATAAGGTGTAAGGAAGGGATCCAGTTTCAGCTTTCTACGTATGGCTAGCCAGTTTTCCCAGCACCATTTACTAAATAGGGAATCCTTTCCCCGTTTCTTGTTTTTGTCAGGTTTGTCAAAGATCAGATGGTTGTAGATGTGTGGTATTATTTCTGAGGGCTCTGTTCTGTTCCATTGGTCTATATCTCTATTTTGGTACCAGTACCATGCTGTTTTGGTACCAGTACCATGCTGTTTTGGTTACTGTAGCCTTGTAGTGTAGTTTGGAGTCAGGTAGCGTGATGCCTCCAGCTTTGTTCTTTTCGCTCAGGATTGTCTTGACAATGCGGGCTCTTTTTTGGTTCCATATGAACTTTAAAGTAGTTTTGTCCAATTCTGTGAAGAAAGTCATTGGTAGCTTGATGGGGATGGCATTGAATCTATAAATTACCTTGGGCAGTATGGCCATTTTCACAATATTGATTCTTCCTATCCATGAGCATGGAATGTTCTTCCATTTGTTTGTATCCTCTTTTATTTAATTGAGCAATGGTTTGTAGTTCTCCTTGAAGAGGTCCTTCACCTCCCTTGTAAGTTAGATTCCTAGGTATTTTATTCTCTTTGAAGCAGTTGTGAATGGGAGTTCACTCATGTTTTGGCTCTTTGTTTGTCTGTTATTGGTGTATAAGAATTCTTGTGATTTTTGCACATTGATTTTGTATCCTGAGACTTTGCTAAAGTTACTTATTGGCTTAAAGAGATGTTGGGCTGAGACAATGGGGTTTTCTAGATATACAATCATGTCATCTGCAAACAGGGACAATTTGACTTCCTCTTTTCCTAATTGAATACCCTTTATTTCTTTCTCCTGCCTGATTGCCCTGGCCAGAACTTCTAACACTATATTGAATAGGAGTGGTGAGAGAGGGCATCCCTGTCTTGTGCCAGTTTTCAAAGAGAATGCTTCCAGTTTTTGTCCATTCAGTATGATGTTGGCTGTGGGTTTGTCATAAATAGCTCTTATTATTTTGAGATACGCCCCATCAATACCTAATTTATTGAGAGTTTTTAGCATGCAGGGCTGTTGAATTTGTCAAAGGCCTTTTCTGCATCTATTGAGATAATCATGTGGTTTTTGTCTTTGGTTCTGTTTATATGCTGGATTACGTTTATTGATTTGTGTATGTTGAACCAGCCTTGCATCCCAGGGATGAAGCCCACTTGATCATGGTGGATAAGCTTTTTGATGTGCTGCTGGATTCAGTTTGCCAGTATTTTATAGAGGATTTTTGCATCGATGTTCATAAGGGATATTGGTTTGAAATTCTCTTTTTTTGTTGACTCTCTGCCAGGCTTTGCTATCAGGATGATGTTGGCCTCATAAAATGAGTTAGGGAGGAATCCCTCTTTTTCTCTTGATTGGAATAGTTTCAGAAGGAATGGTACCAGCTCCTCCTTGTACCTCCGGTAGAATTTGGCTGTGAATCCGTCTGGTCCTGGACTTTTTTTGGTTGGTAGGCTATCAATTATTGCCTCAATTTCAGAGCCTGTTAATTGGTCTATTCAGGGATTCCATTTCTTCCTGGTTTAGTCTTGGGAGAGTGTATGTGTCCGGGAATTTATCCATTTCTTCTAGATTTTCTAGTTTATTTGCATAGAGGTGTTTATAGTATTCTCTGATGGTAGTTTATATCTCTGTGGGATCGGTGGTGATATCCCCTTTATCATTTTTTATTGCATCTATTTGTTTCTTCTCTCTTTTCTTCTTTATTGTATATTTGTTTTTAAGAGGAAAGAACTAGAAAATTAATTGGAAGCTTGGAGCATGTGGACAGGGATTATCAACTGTAGAGTTCACTAGAGTGTAATTTGGCTGGGCTCTTTCTCATTAGGGAACACCTGACATCATTCTATTTAGGTCTTTCCTCTTCAGCTTGTCAAGGATGTTCCAGTCATCCCGCTTTAAAGTACAAGCCGATTGCTTGTTTTCTGGAAGCAGAGTTGGGAAAGAGGACTGAAGGTTTTGGCACTTAGTATGCGTATGTTCACTTAATCACCTTGTTTTCAGTAAAGTGCCTTTGCCCTTAATTGTACCTGACGGTTCCCTCTCCAAGGAATAAAATTCTAGTGTATTTGTCAGGATGGAAAAAGAACTGTTGCCTGGCTCACGGAGTTTGAAAGGAAATCTGGGGATATAATTGTATAACAGATTTTCAACCGGTCTTCCTATTCCCCAACTTTACTGCCAATTCCAGAAGTACCTAGGGCCACCAGTTCTTGAGCCTTTGTGGATTCTCAGATTGCCTCTCAACTTTCCCTACTTCTGGCTTGGAATTCAACTTTTTCAATTCTGCTAAATTTGTTACCACTTATCTATCTGCTTTTTAGCTTGCAAAACATTGTTGCAGTTATATATTTTCCTATTCTTTGTCTTTGTTAAGCTAATTAAGCCATTAAAAAAGCATGTTATTAAATTTACATATGTAAAAAAATTTGTGATATAAATATATGTCTCATATATCATATATTCATATATAAATATATGTCTTATATATCATATATTCATATATAAATATATATTTTTTAATCCCTTGGAGCTGGGTGTGGTATCTCTTGCCTGTAATCCCAATGCTTTGGGAGGCCAAAGTGAAAAGATCATTTGAGGCCAGGAGTTTGAGACCAGCTCGGGCAACATAGTGAGACCCTATCTCTATAAAATATTTTTTAAAAATTAGCTGGGCATGGTGGTGCCCACCTGTAGTTCTGGCTACTTGGGAAGCTGAGGTGGCAAGATTGCTTGAGCCCAATAGTTTAAGGTTGCAGTGAGCTGTGATTACGCCACTGCACTCCAGCCTGGGCAACAGGGCAAGACTCTGTCTCAAAAAAAAAAAAAAAAAAAAAAGCCCTTAGAGGGAGATGCCACCTCTGCTTTTACTGAGTAGCTCCTATCAGATCAACTCTCCCACAGATTAAAAACTGTAAACAAAAATATAATAAAACAATTATATGAAGGCAGTAGAGAATGACCAGGGGAGAGTCAAACCTGGAAGCAGAGGGTAGCACTTGCTAAGTGTCATTTGTGTAGCTTGTAGCCTGAGGGCAGGCCCCAGTCAGAACCATGCAAGGCAGCTAAGATTCTTGTAGACACTCATAGTCTCTCTGGCTTGAAAAACCAGAAAACAAAATAAGGAGACACAAAACAAAGATTCACTGGGGAAACCAAGGATCCCTTCTATGTTGAAATTTATTTAACATGGCTTTTTTGTGGCTTAATAGGATAGAGAATAAAATTGTAACAGAAGTTATTGATAAGCCTGAAAAAATGTATGTTAAATATAAAATTATTCTAGATAAGTTAAAAACGTAAGAGTACGTCCAAGGGAAGGAGATAGCTGTCTTTATATTTGGAGGACTGTCAGGGAGAAGGAAAAAAATTAAACCTTGCTGAGGGACCAACTTAATACAAATAGCTAGAAAGGATAAATTTTTAGCTCACATGAGAAATAACTTTGTTTAACAGATAGAGCTGCCCAACAATGGAATGGAAAGCCTGGGCTAAATTAAGTGTCTAAGTCACTGAAGGTGTGTGTGCGTGCTAAAGTGAGGTCACAGTCAAGGATGCTGTAGAAAAGGAGTCTGCTCTGTGGAACCGTAAAACCCGAATGCCTTTTAAGTTATGCTCTACTCCATAGAATTCTGTGCCTAACCAGGCCTCTTGCTGTCATCTGGGTGGAAATCTTGCATCAGATTTTGCCACCAGAGCCTGTTCCACAAGCAAATACCCTGAGGCGCCCCTTCCTTGAGTCAGCAGTTTCAGCTGGGACCTTAACCCGGGATTTGGAAGTCCTGTTGAATGCAGTGAGACAGGCCTCATCCAAATGAAGCCTTTGCTGCTGCTCCAAGGACCTCAAGGGCATCCTCGCCCAAACTGAGGCCTCCAGACATGTTGAGGCAGAGCTTGTTAGCCCCTTGCAAACTTCCTGGTAGCCATAGCACTCTTTCCTTCTCCTTCCCTTAACTGAAGCGTGCAACCCCTTCTGTTAGAGGCTTGTTTTCTGGCACTCCGCAAGTGCAAGATGGTGATGGAGGTGGAGAGTAGAATAGGAAGTTTCTCCATGTCTCCAGAACATTGCGTTTCCCTCCTTGTGTAAAACCATCATCCTTCTTTGAGCCTGTATAACTGCTCGACCCTCTGTCACACCTCGTCACTGTCATCAGGCATGCTCATGACTTCTCTGGGGCACCTGGAATTCAGAACCTTGCTTAAAATTTTCCTCTCTAGGCTGCTGCTCCTCTAGTAACCTACATTACTCTCTCTCCTCCCTGTCTCCACCAGGCCACACCACGTGCTGTTTCTCACGTTCTCTCGTGCTTCTGGGGATTTGCACATGCAGTTTCCTCTCTCTGGAATACTGTGCCTCCCTGCCCTTTCACTCACTGAAATCCAGCTAGTATGCCACAGTCCAGACAGGTTATCACTTCTTTTCTGAACCTTCTAGTCTCACTGAGACTTAGGTGTTCCTTCTCTGCGTTCCTGTATATTCCTCTGATGTGGTCCTTACTCATTTTTAATGTGTTCTTTACTCGTTTTTACTGTACTTATGTTTCTGATTTTTAAATGTCTTTCTATTATATTATGGAACTGCCTCTTCCTTATCTTTGTTACCTCATAGAAGGGGTTCAATATCTATTGATTGAATGAATATATGCTTCTAGGTGCTTGTCTTCTTTGGGCCTATACAAGACTGAAGGTGGAACAAAAAGAAATAGTGTTGTTACCATAGCTAGTTTATATAGCTAGTTGAAATTCTATTTGAAGTGTATATATTCATTCTGTTAAACATATATATGGATGAACTTAGGTTCAAAATGTAAGTCTACTCCTTACCGCCTATAGTTTTATATCCTCTACCTGATAACCCTGCCACTATCATTCCATTTTTGTTGTTCTATCCATTTTCTAACCCTATTACTTTAATCTACTTTCATCCACAGAAATTTGGCATTTCTTATCTTCAAAACGCTGTGGATCTTATCGTTCATCTCGGATGGTTTTTGTTTGTTTGTTTGTTTTTTTGTTTTTTTGGTGAGTCTTATCTCTTCTAGACACGCTTGAATCAGTTGAGATCCAAAATAGCAACATATAGTCTTAACTGAAAGAAGTTAGAAAGAAAAATTAATAATAAATTAAGTAGAAAAATAAGGTATAGCATTAATGGTTTAGTTTAAGAAACAGTGTCCTTAGGAATAGCTACTGAGGGAAAAGGAAGATAACTAACATTTGTAAGATACTTAGAACTCACAGACTGTGTCGGGAGTTTTCCAAAAATTACTTTAATTAATCCACACAATAATTCTGTCAAGCAGGTGTTGTTATATGAGCCAGAGGCTCAGGCGGGGGTAAGAGACTTGCCCAAGGTCATACAGAGAGTAACTCGCAAACCTAGATGCCAACCAAAGACCCTTTCATTTTGTTGTTCCTTCTCCTGTACCATCTCATATATTTTAAAATGGCTTTTTATTAGATTGTTTTTCAGTCAAGAATTTTTGGAGTTAGCTAGGAAGTTAATGTGTAAGTGGCAGTTTGAAGATAGAAGACCACATCATTGTTTAATAAGTGTGGCACAGTCCTTGGAAAAGCTGATTGATTTGATGGGGGTAGTTTTGTATCATAATGTGCTCAAAGATGAATAGCACAAAGAGTAATATTTAAATACCAAATGGAGCCCTCATTTACCAGATCCTTGATGGAAATTTTAATACACCTAAAACAAATTTATGCTGATTTTTTTCGTACCCCCAACACAGTTGTCCAAAATTGTTCATGCCTGCATAGGTGATTCACACATTATATAAAATTCATTTTCAAAGCACCTTATGCAAACAAAATTGTATTCCTGCTCTGTTGTTCGAAATTAAATAAAATGGTTCCTCAGCCAGTCCACTACTCCCAGACATGCATCCACACACGTTCATCATACATGCTTACCTGCCTCTGAACTTTGCTTAGAGTCTTTCTAAGTCTCCACTCACTGGCCTCCTTTCCCAGTTGTTAATGCATTCAGCTCATCTTCTTTCAGATAATGGCTTAGGTCCTAACACCTCAAGAAAGCTTTTCCAACAAGGATGTATTCATCAAATAAGGAAATGTGGATTTCACCCTTGCAATTTGCAGTGCAGTTCCCCCAAAAAAGTCTATTAACTACCACACACTTGGCATGATATTAGCTGCTGGGCATTTAACAGTAAGTAAAATAAATTCTCTGTCATTGAAGCATTTACAGTCGTCTTGTAGGTCTTGTGTAGGGATCATAGGAGCAAATTATTTTCTTGTTCTGTGCCTCCATTTTTTCATCTGTAATACGAGGAAAATAACAGTACCTGCTTTGTTAGGGTTCTTATGATAATTGAATGAATTAATATTTGTAAAGTACTTAAAACAGGGCCTAATCAATAGAAAATGCTTTATTTACTAAAACAAGACTAAACTTTGGAATAAGTGTTCTAGTTCTAAAAAGATCCTATTTGTATGTTAAGTAGGATTATAGTAAATGTATAGGTTAGTTTGTAGAGAAATGTCATCTTTATAGTAACAGGTCTTCCTATTCAAGAATAGGATATGAGTTTCCACTTACTAATATCTTCTTTTACATCCCTCAATAGAATATTAAAGTTTTCTTCATATAGATCTTGCTATTTTGGTTATGTTTATTTCCAGGTATTTTATCTTTGTTTCTGTTTAAAATAGCACCACGTAATATTCTAATTCATTGTTATTTATATAAAGGAAAATCATTGATTTTTGTTTTTCAATTTTGTATTGAAGTATTTTATTGTTTGTGATGAGTTTTCATTTGGTTTGCATGGACTTTCTAAATGTATAATCATATCTATTAAAAATGATCATTTGCCTCTTATTTTCCAATTTTTATAGCTCTAGACTTTTTTTCTTACCTAATTAGTATTAACTGATTATGGTAGTAGTGAACATCTCTGTCTTATGCTGTGATTTTTGACTTGTGACCATTATACTTGAAATGGATTATTATATATAATGTTACGCATTCCCAATTTGATAAACAAAATCACAATGTGTTTTTTAATTGTCCAGTCTGCTTTCCATAAGCTTAAACATCCAAATTTGGCTCTTACCCTGACAAAAATCTTCCAGAATATTTTAGAGAACTATAATCTATGGAGAACAAAAACTCACACTTCCAAAAGGAGATAAAGTCAGAAATGATTCTTCAGTGTTGCTAACCCTTTCCCCTGAGCACTTAAATTAGCCCCTGGGGAGTGTGTCCTAATATGTTTAATGTTCAAAATATCTGCTAACTAAAAACCTCTATACTATTGTTAAGGACTAACCCCATTGTGCCTGACACATAGTAGATACACAAAAATGTTTATTGGAAGTGTTGATGAAATTCCAGAAACTCTCTCCACTGGCTTACCTCATCTAAATATTACCTGTCCATCAGTGAACTGCTTAGGCCATGTTCTCCCCATGAATTCTCTCCTAATATCTTCAGGTAAAAGGTAGATATAATCTTTTTCACTTGAATTAGTTTTCTGTGCTTTATAACAAATTACCACAAATTTAGCAGTTTAAACAACATTCTTTAAAAGAAAAAACGTTTAGGGGTACATGTGCAGTTTTGTTATATAGGTAAATTCTTGTCACAGGAGTTTGATGTACACATTATTTCATGACCCAAGTATTAAGCCTAGTACCCAATAGTACTTTTTCTGTTCCTCTCCCTCCTTCCACCTTCCATCATCTGGTAGAACCCAGTATCTGTTGTTCCCCTCTTTGTGTCCATGTATTCTCATCATCTAGCTCCCACTTGCAAGTGAGAACATGTGGTATTTGGTTTTCTCATCCTGCGTTAGTTTGCCAAGGATAATGATCTCCAGCTCCATTCATGTGCCTTCAAAGAACATGATCTCATTATTTTTTATGGCGGCATAATATTCCATGGTGTATATGTACCACATTTTCTTTATGCAGTCTTCCACTGATGGACACTTAGGTTGGTTCCATGTTATTGCAGTTATGAACAGTGCTGCAATGAACATACACGTGCATATGTCTTTATGATAAAACGATTTGTATTCCTTTGGATGTATACCCAATAATTGAATTTCTGGGTCGAATGGTACTTTTGTTTTTAGCTCTTTGAGAAATCACCACAATGGTTGAACTAATTTACACTCCTGCCAACAGTGTATAAGCTTTCCTTTTCCCCCTCAACTTTGCCAGCATCTATTTTTTTTTATTTTTAATAATAGCCATTCTGACTGGTATGAGATGGTATCTCACTGTGGTTTTGATTTACATTTCTTAGATATCAGTGATATTGAGCTTTTTTCATATACTTGTTGGTTGCATGTATACTTTTGAACAGACACTTTTAAAAAGTGTCTGTTCATGTCCTTTGCTCTCTTTTAATGGGGTCGTTTGTTTTTCTCTTGCAAATTTGTTTAAGTTCCTTATCAGATGCATACTTTGCAAATATTTTCTCCCATTCTGTAGGTTGTCTGTTTACTCTGTTGACAGTTTATTTTGCTGTGCAGAAGCTCTTTAGTTTAATTTGATCTCATTTGTTAATTTTTGCCTTTGTTGCAGTTGCCTTTGGTGTCTTCGTCATGAAACCTTTGCCAGTTCCTATGTCCAGAATGGTATTGCCTAGGTTATCTTCCAGGGTTTTTATAGTTTTGGGTTGTACATGTAAGTCTTTAATCCATCTTGAATTCATTTTTATGTATGGCATAAGGAAGGGGGTTCAATTTCAGTCTTCTGCATATGGCTAGTCAGTTATCCCAGCACCATTTATTGAATAGGGAGTCCTTTCTCCATTGCTTGTTTTTGTCAGCTTTGTCAAAGAACAGATGGTTGTACGTGTACAGCCTTATTTGGGGGGTCTATTCTATTCCATTGGTCTATGTGTCTGTTTTTGTACCAGTACGATGCTGTTTGGGTTATTGTAGCCCTGTGATATAGTTGTGAAGGTGGACAGCGTGGTGTCTCCTGCTTTGTTATTTTTGCTTAGGATTGCCTTGGCTATTCAGCCTCTTTTTTGGTTCCATATGAATTTTAAAGTAGTTTTTTCTAGTTCTATGAAGAATGTCATTGGTAGTTTGATAGGAATAGCAATTGAATCTATAAATTGCTTTAGGCAATGTGGCCTTTTTAATGATGTTGATTCTTTCAATTCATGAGCATGGAATATTTCTCCATTTGCGTCATCTTGATTTCTTTGAGCAGTGTTTTTTAATTCTCCTACTAGAGATCTTTGACCTGCTTGGTTAGCTATATTCCTAGGCATTTTATTCTTTTGGTGGCAATTGTGAATGGGATTACGTTCCTGATTTAGCTCTTGGTTTGGCTGTTGTTGGGAATGCTAGTGATTTTTGTACGCTGATTTTGTACCCTGAAACTTTGCTGAAGTTGTTTATCAGCTTAAGGAGCTTTGGGGCCAAGACTGGGGGTTTTGGAGATATAAAATCATGTCATCTGCAAACAGGGAGAGTTTGACTTCCTCTCTTCCTGTTAGGATGCCCTTTATTTATTTCTCTTGCCCAGTTGCTCTGGCCAGGACTTCCAATACTATGTCAAATAGGAGTGGTGAGAGAGGGGATCCTTGTCTCCTGCTGGTTTTCATGGGAAATGCCTTCAGCTTTTGCCCATTAAGTATGATGTTGACTGTAGGTTTGTCATAGATGGTTCTTATTATTTTGAGGTATGTTCCTTCAATACCTAGTTTGTTGAGAGTTTTTATCATGAAGGGATGTTGAATTTTATCAAAAGCCTTTTCTGCAACATCCATTTTTATCTCACAGATCTGCAGGTCAGAAGCTGGGTGGGCTCAGCTGGTTTCTCTGCTCAGGGTTTCACAAGGCCAGAATCAACGTGTTGGCCAGGCTGAGCTCTTATCTGGAGTTTCTTGGCAATAATCCACTTCCAAGCTCATCTAAATTGTTGGCAGAATTCAGTTCCTTGCAGCTGTAGGTCTGAAGTTCCCATTTACTTGCTGGCCTTCAGCCAGGGGCCACTCTTTGCTACTAGAAGCTATCCACATTTCTTCTTACATGACCCTCCATCTTCAGACCAATAATGTCCCATCAAGCCCTTCTCATACTTTGAATCTCTCTCTCTGTCTTCTGCTGCCAGCCAGAGAAACCTCTGCTTGTAAAGAGTTTGTGTGATTAGACTGTCCCACCAAAATAATCTCCCTTTGCTGTAAACATAAAATTATCAAGGAATTAACACGAGGGGGTGAAGGTCATGGGGGCCATCTTAAAATTCTGCCTACTACTCCCACCCATCAAACTCTCTCTGCACTGTATGAGGAGGTAACCTCCTTCAGGGTAGTATTCATGGCTGAGTCATTTTGTGATACCCAATCACACCTTTCACGTATATTTATTACATATCTAATGAATTCATTACTTTTTGTTAAATGAATTGTGAGACAAAACAATTATTTACATTATTTGAAAACTGTGAGGAACAGTGTGCACTTGAAAGGTCATTGCTGTTTTGGTTTTTTTTTTTTTTTTTTGAAGCTACATTTATTTATGATCAACCAGAGAGACTAAACAGTGGACTCATGGGTTTGGACTCTATTGCAATTCAAGTGAGGTCAGAGGAATTCCACAGAAAACTTAAAAGGCATGAAGTAGCTATTATAGTAAAATTAATATTTTAGGGGAAAAATCATTAATGAGAGAAAAGAGCATTCTGGAAAACTGTGTTCCATTTAAGGCACCTCATTACCAGATTCTTTAAGGAAAACTGGAGGGAGTTCTGAGACACAAAGAATGATTAAGAGGCTGTAGGGATTAACTTAGAAACAACGATTTTAAAAGACTAAATATGTATAGCTTAGCTGAACAGTAACTAAACAGAGATGTAACTATTGTCAAATTTCTGAAATCAAGAGAAGTAATGGGCTTCTCTGATTAAAAAAAAAAACACTTGAGGGTCTCCTTTATGATTATTGGAGTAAATGAGGAAAAAGAAAACAAAATCTTAAACAACTTATATGCAATATTTAGACTGTGCGCTGCAGTGTAAACTATCAGAGTTGAATTCAAATCCCAACTCCTTTATTTTCCACCTGGGGAATTTCAGGCAACTCCTTCCACCTTTTAAACTTTGTCATATGTAGAGTGGGAATTACACCACCTACCTTTAGGGTTACTATGAAGATTAAATGAGATGACATAAGTAAACAGTCTAGTTCCATGCCTAGCACAGATTGCAGGTTGAGAAAAAGAATAGCTGCTATTGATATCACCATTATCATCATCGTTCTTAAGTGGTTACGAGTTCAAAGTGCTAGGATTCAGACAAACCTAGAATTCAAAGTGCCTGAATTCAGGCACATTCAAACTGTATCATTTAATTCTGTCTCTACCTCACGGTTTCTTTAACCGTGATAGTGTTGTAGTGAGGACTTAATGAAATAATATAACATAAAATGCTTAGCATTGATTCCTGGCACATAACTAATCACTGAATAAACACATTAACAGCTGTAGCACTATTTTCATTATCGTTAGCACCATCATTATTCCATCATAGAACCTGGACAAAAGCCTAACATATATTTAGATTATTTCCAAATTTCCCGTTACAAACAGTGCCATGCATGTATCTCCATTTCTGCCATTATCGTCACCACCACACATATACATGCACACAATTCAGTAATTATTTATTACTTGTTGAATTAAGTAATTTCTTCTAATGATCCTGTCGGGTATTTGTGGTCACTATACGTGGCTGGGGAGGTACCAGAATGCTCCTGTATGTTTCTTATGTAATCCAATTTATAGCAACAGATTTAAGTGCATTTTTTCATTTCAGTAAAACTGATATGTAGATTTATTTGAATTTTTATAAAGAATCCCTGCACTTATAATAATATTTTCATTTGTGTTTTCCATACATAGGAACTCCCTGTAGCTACACATTGCTTATAGGATTGTGTTACTGCAGTAAACAGAATATACTCTAGCTAGATTAGGCAGAAATGGTATCAATTAGAGGGTTGCTAATTAGAAGATATTAAGATTAATCAGAGGGTATAAATCATATGTGTTAAGTATTCATCAGAGCTACCTCACATTTACCATTAGATAGATCACAGAAACTGTGGGAGGGCCAGTAGAGATACAGATGGCAAATAAACATATGAAAAAAGTGCTCAGCTTGGGCGACATTGCCAAACCCCTGTTTCTACTAAAAATACAAAAATTAGCCAGACGTGGTGGTGCACACCTGTAGTCCCAGCTACTTGGGAGGCTGAAGTGGGAGGATAACTTGAGCCCAGGAGGTCAAGGCTGCAGTGAGCTGTGTTTCTGCCACTGCACTCCAGTCTGGATGACAAAGCAATACCTTGTCTTAAAAAAATAAAAAGCTCAATATTATTAGTCATTAGGAACATGCAAATTAAAACCACAATGAGGCCAGGTGCTATGGCTTACACCTGTAATCCCAGCACTTTGGAAGACCAAGGCAGGCAGATGGCTTGAGTCCAGGGATTCAAGACCAGCCTGGGCAACATGGCAAAATGCTGTCTCTACAAAAAAATACAAAAACTTAGCTGGGTGTGGTGGCACACGCCTGTAGTCCCAACTACTCAGGAGGCTGAGATGGGAGGATCACCTGAGCCTGAGGTCAAGACTGCAGTGAGCTGTGGTCACACCACTGCACTCCAGCCTGAGTGATAGAATGACACCCTGTCTCAAAAACAAAAAATAAATAAATAAAATAAAACTTCATTGAGACACTACTATACAACTGCTAGAATGGCTAAAGTTTTAAAACTGACAGTATCAAGTGCTGATAACAGTACACAGCAACTGAAACACTCACTGAAACATTGCTGCTGAGAATGAAAAACTTATATAATCACTTTGGAAAGTAGTTCGCATTTTAAAAATAAAGTTTAAGATATATCTGCCATTCAACCCAGCAATTCCACTCCTAGGTATTGGTCCAAGAGAAACAAAAATATAAGTCCAATTAAAAACCTATGTCCACATACTTATAGCAACTTAATTCTTAATAATAAAAATGAGAAACAACCCAGATGTCCCTCAACTGGCATATAGATAAATCATTTTTGGTACATCCATAGAATAGAATACTACTCAGCAGTAAAAAGGACCAGACTACTCACACATATAGTAACCTGGATGAATCTCATGTGAAAAAAGGCAGACACAACAGGCTAAATACTCTATGATTCCATTTCTACAATGTTCTGGAAAACTGTCTCTGTTCTATTAGACTGTAATCTTGATCTGAGTGTATAGTTCTTTGCACCAAGATTGCATCAAAGTCAATGAATTGGAAGCAGAAATGCCTATTTTTTTTTTTAAGATGGAATCCCGCTCTGTTGCCCAGACTGGAGTGCAGTGGCGTGATCTCAGCTCACTGTAACCTCCGCTTCCCAGGTTCAAGCAATTCTCTCACCTTAGCCTCCCAAGTAGCTGGGATTACAGGCACACACCACCATGCCCGGCTAATTTTTTTGTATTTTTAGTAGAGACAGGGTTTTACCATGTTGGCCAGGCTGGTCTCGAACTCCTGACCTTAGGTGATCCACCTGCCTCGGCCTCCCAAAGTGCTGGGATTACAAGCGTGAGCCACCATACCCAGCCTCAGAAATGTCAAATTTGATCAGTTTAGAGAGTAAGCTTTAGCTGTGAAGGGAATCAAAGATCCAGATTGGGCCAAAGGTCAATACAGGGTATTTTGGGGTAAATCGAGGTACACAGGACTATCAACATGAGGGCAAGGAGCAGAAGTTGGGCCTGCTGGACCTGCTGAACAGCATGAATATCTACATTAATGGATCCTACTCAAGTCTACTGACTCATATAGCCTTTAGCCTCCAGAGAACATAGCCCTTCTTTGATGGGCTGATTAAACTGATTAAAACTGATTGCAGTTGCATCCAAGGTTGTGATTTACCTGCTTTTGACAAATTTGCAGTTTTGCTTTGATTGTTTATTTGCAATGTGCGTTACTAATCCTCCTTAGCAACTCACAAGGATTGGAAGTGATAGAGACTACACTAACAGGTTGACTCCAGAGTTGCATGAGTTTAATAGTGCTTCTAGTTGCTTTCTGGCCAATATAAGATTCCAAAGCAAAGGACCATCTTAATTGAAATATTTTTAATATGGCAGATTTTATAATGGTAAATTTAACTCAGATATAATCTGTGCCTTGTGAATACAATAAAGCAACATATGATATAAAGAAAAGAGCCTGTAAGGGTAGAACTTGGCAGACTTGGATTCTGGTCCCTGGACTCAACCTGTTCAACCTTAGGCCATTTAACCTCTCACTTTCTTCAGAGGTGCCATTCAGCTCTAGTATTAATTCTATGATTCTGAAAGCAGTTGATAGTGTGACTGGAAGGAGAAATGAAAGAAGCTTTTTCAATTACTAGACTTTAAAGCTTCTAGTTTTGACTTCTAGGCTTCAGTCCTCAGAATGGTAGACCTGAGCTGTGTCCAGTGTTTACATTATAACATATCTATTTTGGAAAAGACTGGCACGTGTTTATAGATGGGATTGGAAAAGTACTTAGGTTGTTCTTGCAACCAGAGGCCCATAATCGAGTTTTTATATTTTTCCTTAGAGGTATATATTGCAATGACTCACTGTAAGAAACAATATTATTGCTCATATTAAATATTCTTTAAGTAGCTTTTCCACGTCTTGAAAGAATTACGTTTTCTTCTAGGAAGGCAGATTTTGTTTTTGACATGGTGGTACTCTTTTTTTTCAAGCGCATAATCTAGTTCTTTTCATGTCAGTGAAACTTAGTAGTACTTAAAAATGGATTGAAATAGTGGTAACTAGTTCCACAGAGATGTTTGCCTACATAAGGCAAATCTCTAAAGTTAAATCTTTGATGCATATGTGCATTTTTCATTTCGTATTTTCGGTTCCTCCACACCATTTCTTTGTAGTCAAATTCATTGTAATCCCATCATGAAAGTGTTGATCTTTTAGTAACCTTTTTTGAAGCATTGTATTAATCCACATTCCCTCACGATAACACACGGTTTGTATCAAACATATCATGCAGCTTAGCTCAGGCCACATATGGAACTAATAAGTCAGGCAATAAGTGGCTTTGTGTGAATGAATACAGTTTGGAAGGGTGGGGACATGTGTGTGTGTTGTCTAAACTGCATTTCTCCTGTGCCAAAACCGAAATGACACAATGATTCCTGAATCCCCAGAGGCTTTCCTGGCCTGGAAAAATTGTGTTTAAAAAATAAAAATAAAATTGAGCACTTTGATATTAAATTAAACCTCTCAGCTCAATAGGAGGATGCTTACTGGGTGCAAGAACACAGCATTTATTTCTCAGCAGTAAAATCATACTACGTTTTAAATGTGATCTCCAGAGCTGCAAGTGGTCTTCCCTCATCAATGGAGCAACATTTATCAAGCTGCATGAACTAGTTAATTCCAACTGCAAGAGCTGTGACGTCATAGTTGATCTGTCTTATTTGATGAAACACAAAGTGGATGTATAGTGATTTGAGAAGAAACCAGCATGTGGCTTTGGAAAAACACTATATTTTTATACAAAAAGGGGGTATAGGAGAGGAAAACAGAGAGAACATAGACAGTTAATGGAATTGACATGGCCGTAGTTGTCTGTTGTGGTCTGAATGTACTTGTTGCTTGGGTTTTCTTTCTTTTTGCTTGTTCCGGTAACTATAAAGCCAGATCTTCCTGGGTTTTTTTAGCGTAAGGATTATCTTTTGCTACCAGACAATACAGTTTGTTAATTTTTCCAGGGAAACCACTGAACATTGTTTCTCCCCACTTCCCATCTAACTTATTATCTAAGTGTAATTTTCATCTTGGTTGCCTACTAGCCATAGAGTTGAACAAAATCTTAATTGCCCCCATGGAGTCCTAAATCAATCAAAGTAAAGCTGAAATTCAAACTAATTGAAACCAAAATTCCACTTAAAGACTGCTTAGACTGTTTTGGTGGTGGCGGTGCAGTAGGAAGTTGTTACAAAAGGTGTTTATTTCAGAGGCTAATTTGAGGCAGTTATACAGACCCAAAGCAATATTTTATTTGCCTAGTTTTCTTGGCATCTGCCTTCCCCAATCAAAAATGAGAGCAGAAGGAGCCGTAATGTTTAGGGAAGTGTGGGATTGATAATAGTTGGTGAGGGCAGGTGTTGATGGAACCTGAAGTAAGATTTCTTAGAGACAAGAGTACTTCAGTCTTTTAGCCTGTCCATAGCTGCCTTTGCTGTTGTTTCCCTCGTTCACTCTCTTGCTTAAAACCCTGGAGTAGGTTCTTACTGCTAACCAGCAAGATAAAGTTGAACTCTTCAGCTTAGCACTCTTAGCCCTCAGCAGTTATAATGACTACCCTGTAAAAGTCAGGCCTCAGGAACTTCTATTCTCTGTAAAATTCTAATTGAACTCTTACAACTATCTTATGAGATAAATATTGTTGGTCCTGTTTATAGACAAGGCATAGATTGGTTATGTAACTTGCTCAAAGTTATACACATTATATGGTGAGAATAGGCTGTGAGTCCAGGCCTCTCATTCCAAAGACAGAGAGCTGATTCACATTGCCTAGCTTAGTGGACACTCAATAAATATTTGCTGAATGAATGAATAGAACGTGTGGAGACTTAGTAAATGTAGTTCTTTCTCCCCTTTCCCTATCCTTGTCCTTTCCTCCTCGACCTGGTTCCTTCTTTTCCTTTCTATTTTTACTAATATCTTACCAGGGAGTTAACTTGTTGAAGATTATTGAAATTTTTAAAAGTTTGCCCAAGCAAGGAAGGAGTTTGCGTGACCATACAGCAGAGCTGGGTCTTTCACCAGGTCCCCTGACCACTCACATCATGTATCAGTCTTTCCATTTCACTATATAATTATTTTAAAGATACTGACATGTGTGTGTTTATTCCTGCTTCTCTGGAGTGCATGCAGTCAGAAGCTTAATGAAAATTAGCATTTAAAAAAGTGAACAGTGTACTTAAGATTTTCCCTTTGATTTGAAGTAACTCTTTCCTTCTTCCTTTTCTGCCCCCCATTCTTAGTAGTTAAGTGGTAAGCCATTATTGAACACCAGCTTTATGCCCAGCCTAGTGGTAGATACTGTGATGATGATAATGTGGAGAATATATATATATCTGGTACATATATATATATATATATATGTATTAGTAATGATAACAGGTATTTTATATTGAGCACTTATGATGTACCAGATATTATTTTGGATAGTCTATATACTTTATCTTATTTAAACTTTACAACAGCTCTGCAAGGCAGGCAACATCCCCATTTTACAAGTAAGGAAATGGAATCTCAGAGAAGTGACTTATTCAAAGTCAAACAACTAGTAAGTGACAGTACTGGTATTCAAACCCAGCTCTTCTGCATTTAAGCCTATCCTACTGTGTCGTGATGCCTCTCATTTCTTCCTATACTGTATTAATTTAACTTGTTAATTAACAAGTATTTATCAAGTACCTATCCAGTTGGTTAAGGCTTTCCAAAAAGAACAAATGGAAAAGTGCGTATGGGGAGGAGTTTAGGGTCAAGGGTAAAATGCCCACTTACCTGCAGTAATCAGAGAGCTTCCAGTGGAAAATGGAACTTCTGTTGGTTCTTTGAGAATAGATAAGACATGAGATATAGGATGCCTAGAGAGAGACATAGAGACAAGAAAGAGAGCTTTCTGCCAGAGTAATGAGTACTGTGTAAAAAGCTATCAGAAGAGTTGTTAGCCAGTATTGAAAAGCTGGTTTTTTATATATAAAATCCCATATATATATATGAGACTTTTATTTGTTTGTTTGCTTGGAGTCAGAGTCTCCATTACCCAGGCTGGAGTGCAGTGGCACAATCTCGGCTGACTGCAACCTCCACCTCCCAGGTTCAAGTGATTCTCATGCCTCAGCCTCCCGAGTAGCTGGGAGGCGCACACCACCACACCTGGCTAATTTTTGCATTTTTAGTAGAGATGAGGTCTCACCATGTTGGCTAGGCTGGTCTCAAACTCCTCACCTCAAGCAGTCTACCCGCCTGAATATGTTTGTTTAAGTCACTTCTCTACTAAAATGCTACTAATAAGGTTAAATAATTTTAAAATTTTAAATTCACAAGGATGAAAAGAATAGATAAGACCAAGAAAATTTAGAAAACTTCAAATAAACGAATGAGTGATAAACTGACTTGGCAGAAGCCTTTACGAAGCAATATAATCCAAACCACAGACTCCAGAAGGATGTGGTGGTACCGAGTATCTCATGAAGTTTAGGGATAATATATAGAGCTAAACATAGGAGGGTAGGTTGACAGTCTATAGAAAAAGAAGTAATACTCCCAGTTCACTTTTCCCACTCTGTGTAGCCCAATAACTACGTTCCCACATGCCCTAGTGGGAAAATGAAGGTTTACTTGCTGAAAAAGATTGAGCCCAAGAAGCTCTGAACGTAAACTGCTTGATATACTGGGAACAAGAAGGAAGGTGCCTTACCAAAAGGTGATTACGTGAAAGTGTAACATACCAACACAGAGTTCCCCAACTGCCTTTTCCAACTTTATTCCCCAAATAAGATCCAGATTATGCCTCAAGACAGAGGATTCTTTCTGAGGAAAAAACAGAGGCAGCAATGAAAAGTCCTGGGGCTGTAGTACTAACCTTTCCCCGTGGGAAGGCTGGATTTCCATCCACTCATTCTGCAATGAACCCTCCCCCCACAGCCAGTCATCAAGCACTGCCAATGCACAGACTTCCTTCACAGCTTTTTAGAGTCTCACAGTCTCACCTGTAAAGATAAACTAACGGCCAAAGATTACGAGACATTAGAGGAAAGCCTCTAATATTAAAAAAAAAAGTCTAAAATAAAGTGAAAAAAAAAATCCAGAGGGTAAAGTGAAAAAAAAAAATCCAGAGGGTAAAATGAAGAAGGAGGAGGAGGCAAAATAATAATAATAGGAGAAAATGATCAGAATTAGGCAATAAGAGTATTCATATTGAAAGGATGTACTAAGTGCTTGGCCCAGGGAATGAAAACAGACTGAAAATGATGAATGAAAGACCGAAATGAAGGCTTATCACTATGAAATTTCAGAATACTAAGGTTAAAGAAGAAAGTCCTAAAAGCTTCCAGAGAGAAGAATCAACTTACATTCAAAGGATCAGGAACCAGCATGTTAACGGGTTTCTCAGTCACCACGTGAAAAGCTAAATGACAGTAAAGAAATACTTTGGAACTACCTAAGAAAAAGTATTTGCAGCCATGAGTTCTATACCTAGGCAAACTATCATTCAAGTATAAGAATGGAATAGTTATATTTTCAAATATTCAGGGTGTCATGAAAGTTACCTCCCATGCTATCCTTTCCCAGAAAGATATTATAGGATACACTCCACCAAGATGAGGCAGTAGATCAAGAAAGAAGACAATCTAGGAAATAACAGCTTCAGCACAGAAGAAAAGTAAACAAAATTTCCAGCATGATGGCTAAAGAAGCTTGTAGGAATATAATGCAGCAGGCCTAGCTAGCAGCCAGTTCAGTTGAAGCAGAGAGAGGAGGCTTCAGGAAATATATCTCTAAGAGCAAAATGGACTTGATCAATTTTATGGTGTGTTTAGTTAGATTGAGAAGAGTTTTAAGGTTTTTTATTCTATTTCTTTTTTCTTTTCTTTTTTTTTTTTTGAGACAGGGTCTCACTCTTATCACGCAGGCTGGAGTGCAGTGGCACAATCTCAGCTCACTGCAGCCTCAACCTCCCAGGCTCAAGCAATCCTCCCACCTCAGCCTCCTGAGTAGCTGGGACCATAGGCAAGCACCACCATGCCCGGATAATTTTTTGTACTTTTGGTAGAGACAGTGTTTCACCATGTTGCCCAGACTCGTCTGAAACTCCACCCGCCTCAGCTTCCCAAAGTGCTGGGATTATGGGTGTGAGCCACCACACCTGGCCAGTTTTAAGATTTTTGTTAGAGTTTGGGGAGTATCTAGTGACAAGTACATAGAAAAGCTCAACTGGTGGAAAAAATGGCAGTTATCACTTCCAGTGAAACAAACAAAAAAGTACAAGAAAGGAATAATACATTACATGGCTCAGCAGTGAACAGTGTTTATGTAGGTATAGTGAGGTAAACAGTAAATATTGATTTAATTTAAAATATGATATTGAATGTATTGAGAAGATGAGGAAGGGAACTATGTGTGGGAGAGTAGAGTCAAGTTCTCATATTCTTTAAGAAAAAGCTAGTAGATAATGTATGGGAAAGGGGATAAAGTGTTTGTGTGAGAGCAAAGTGGTATAAGAGTGCTAAATTCTCTTCTTTCATGGTGGGAGCATAGTAGATGATGTCTCTAACTGGAGGGGAAGGGAGAATAAGAAATCTTAATATAAGCATATTATTCAGAAATATGAGGTAAAGAAGAAACAGCTAAAAGGTGTTCTCAGAGTTTGGGGTAGATAGTAGAGCAGAGAACTGCTTTTTTTTTCATTATAAATCTTGTAGTGGTTTAGACTTGTTAAACCATACTTATACTTTATTAATAATAATATATGTGTTATGTATGCATTTATTTTTGAGTTCCCTATGTGGAAAATTAAAAGGGTAATATGGTAGAATTTGGAGCTGTTATTAAGCGGTTCTAGCCTTGGCTTTGTCCCTTATCATCCCTGTGACTTTGGGCAGGATGCTCTTGTCTTCCTGGGCCTTAGTTTCTTCATTTATAAGAGGAAGAAGGTTGGAAAGATGGTCTCCAGGGTCTCTTTAAGCTGTAAAATTCAAAGATTCTATGATTTAAAAAAAAAATAGTACTATGCAGCAAATGGAGAGTTAAGACCCAGACAGAGGCTTGAAATTCCCACATTTTTCTTTTTTTTGGTTAAAATCAGACTTGGAGAGAAATTTTCACTGTGGTCTCTGAAAACAGTTCAACACCCATCTTCCGTTGTGGAACCTGGGGCAGGCAATTGTCTGTGTACTCACTCGGAGACACATAGCTTAGTGTTATTTCAGTAAGTTTTTTTTTTTCCTTGATGTTTAATATTTTTCGGTATGAATCACAGGTAAAATTTCCATGCCATGTGTAAACGATTTCACTTCTTATTGAAACAATGAATTCAGGAACGTCATGTTGGGATATCAGCCATTTTGCTTTTATCAATGTATGGAAAAATGCATTTATATTAATACAAGAAATGATGTCATTTAATATGGGGTAGATCTTATAATTCAAGGTCTGCAAATCTCAGGAGGTGATTTAGGTCACCAAGCTAGGTTTGAAAAAGGAAAAAACTATTTTCCTTCTGCTTTCTCAAGTATTGTTACCAGTTTTCGTCTCAGACTTTGGGGTAGGTGGTAGAGAGTAGCATGGTTTGTGAAAAGGAGGCCCTGGCTGATAATATCTTTGCCATTGAACCATGCGGCCCTGGATAATTTACTTCCCCTTTCTGGGGTTCAGTTTTCCCATCTGCAAAAGAAAAGGATTGGCTGAAATAATATTCAAGATACCTTTTAGTTTTAACATTGTATGTTTCTACATCCTTACTTTATGTGTGTATTCATTCAAACCATTCAGGAGACCCAGTTATGTTTGGAGGTTTTTCTTAAAAAGCCCAGAATCAGTGAGAGTGAACTCTTTCTCTAAGTATCACTCAAGCAGAGAAAAATCAGTTGAATTCTAGAGTCAAACAAAAGAAAACTGACTGTTTTTAGTAGGTGTTTATTTATGCCCCCTGTTGTCTTACTCTGAAGGCCTGCTTTCTATTCACATGATTTGTGGTTTTATTCTTTAAGAGAGGGATATATTTAAAAGTTTGACTTAGCCACTCTTAAATTTAAGTGCTAAAAGAGTTAAACCTTAAGACCGATGCCCCTTCACATTTGTACACAGACATACATTTTATAAAGTCTATAAACTTTCTTCATGTGTAATATGTCATTTGAAAAACACATTTTTGCAGAGCTGTGTTGTCCACTTACTGTGTGTTTGATGTGTGGATGAGCATGTGTGAGAATATGCACATCC
Organism: Homo sapiens; assembly: GCF_000001405.40. Taxonomy (NCBI): domain Eukaryota; kingdom Metazoa; phylum Chordata; class Mammalia; order Primates; family Hominidae; genus Homo; species Homo sapiens. Next base: position 76,115,081 of record NC_000011.10, read on the forward strand.
ACTTACTTCGGCTCTCCTTTATGGTCAGTTACGGAAGCAAATGGTGATACTCAGAGACACAGTGAAAGGAAGTGAAGAACAGACCGATGAAAACCATTAGCAACTTATCCAGAGTACTCAGAAGGACACTTAATTTTAGAAAATTGGCCTCTACCAGAAATAAATCAAACAAAGGGCAGATCTAGCCCACAAACCAGCAGTTTCCCTGTACCACCTCTCCAGCTATGTGCTCTGGTCTGGACAAAGAGGAACGTTAGAGACTCAAGAGAAATACAGAGCACAGCCTCTGTCAAAAGTGAGTTGCAATGTATTTGTTTAATAAGCATTGAATAAGTACCAGCACTATGCCAGACACTATTGGAGTCAGAGATGAATACAAGATGGTCCTTACCCTTGTTTATACAAAGGGGAGGGCTGAATGGAAGCTGGCAATATCTAAAAAGAAACACTGGTTTTCTGGTATATGTCCCTGGAGTTGGTGTTAGCAAACCCTACCAGGGTCTGGGGGTAGAAAAGAAGGCTAGATACAGGGGTCTTTGAAATATCCTCATTCCACAGTTGGTCACTCTTAGTCTTCTCTAAGTTTAGGGGGCAAGAGAACAGTAAGTAGATGAAGAGGCTACCTTAAATACCATCGTAATTTAAGTGGGTGTGCATACTCATACACGTGCTTATCTATATGTCAAATACCCAGTAAGTGGAAAGTACTGTGAGGCTGATAATAGTATCAAACATTTACATTTCCTCTTTTAGAGTTCAAAAAAATAACTTGTTTAGTGGTTCATTTTTCCGAAGCTTATAATCTGCCAAAATATCTTTAATTCTATTTTTTCACCTTCACAGCTAAGATATCAACATGGACTAGGGACTCCAGACTTGCGGCAAACCCTTCCCAACCTGAAAAACTTCATGGAGCATGGACTAATGGTCAGGTGGTGAGTACCTTTATCTCTGATAACCAGAAACTGTAATGTGGATAGGATCCTGAAAATCTTTTCTGACTTCCACATTGCTCCACACCTGCCTCTGAGTTTTCTTCTGTAATGAGATATGGGAGGAAAATGAAAGGCGCCATCACAGTTGGGGAGATCTAAGCTCCCGTCTGGCTAAGGAGGATGTAGCCCCCTTGGAGGGAGGAGGGGCCAAGGGGATATTGCTTGAACTTTGGGAAGGTGGCTGAGCAAGGAGCCCTTGAGGGCATTGCTGAGACAAACTGGAAGACAGCCAGTATGATTCATGGTAAGGGAGACCCAGAGCCCCTTGGACCTTTCCAAAGAACAGGTGAAGGGCCTGATTATAGAATGAGCATCAGGACCATGGCTGTGAGCATTAAAGGAAGAAAGCAGATAAGGAATAGGTCAGGGGGTCAGGACTTAGTTTGAGACCAGTAGGTACATTCTGAAATGTTTCTTGTGTGTGGTGTCAGTACCTGTTGAACCGTGAGGGCAAGCTGCTGCTGAAAGTGCTCCGTCAGGATAGACATGGACCTTTGAAAAGAGAAGGAGAGAGGGGAAGTCTGATAGAAAGAAGACATTAGATTCATTCACTTGACCTAAATGGAAAGTTGTTGGCTGTATCCATTTAGTAATTCTTGAAGTTTGAATCCTTGGGTAGTGGGCAGTAACTTACAAAATCACGTGCCTGGAAAGCAGGCCTGTAGAGTTAGACAGCTGGGGGCAGCACTGGCTTCTGATTCCAGGTATTTTTCTCATCATCTGCTGTGTGGATTTGAAATTCTACCTCTCTGAAATTTGATTTGCTCTGCTGATGTGCCTTCAGAAAAGTAAAAAAACTGTGGTTGGTCTTTACTTTGATTTTCAAAACGGCAAGTTCCAGATGTCTGGTCTTAGATAGGACTCCTGTTAAGCAAATACACAACTGTTTAAAGAATTCCACTCAAAACATCAAAATAATTATTAAAGCTTGGTGTTGATATGGACCCGGATGCCTTCAGGAATATGAGAGAGGAATTAAGTTTTAAAGTAAAGTAATAAGAATAATAAAAGTGAGCTAGCAGGTATTTATTTAGCTTGTCTCTGTGTAAAGCTCTGTGATAGGTGCTTTAGAGAGATGAGAAAGCTCAAGCCCTGTCCCCAAGAGATTTGTGGTCCAGTTGGAAACAAGGCACAGAATTCATGAAGAGGTTTTCTAACACAATGGTAAATAACCTAAAATAATGAGAAAATTGGCAACCTACAACACTAATTAATCACACTAAATGAATCTTGCTCAGTACAGATAGCAGATTGTCCCTGAACCATTTACTGAAGTGTCTGTCTTTTCTCCACTGATGATAATGGCATCTCTTTTGTAAACCAAGTTCGCTTATCCATAGAGATCCATTTCCAGGATCCCTATTCTGTTCTGTTGCTTTATTTGGCTAGCCATCGATTAGTATGACATTTTTAATTATTGTAAGATGTAATTTCTAAAAGTGTTGTTGAGATTTGAGAATGAAATAAAAATCAAAATGTCCATTTTACTATTGATAAAGCTACTTGGAAAATGGGGCTTTAGATCTGAAATAAAACGGGCTTGCAAAGATGTCACTCAAAATTGAACTTATCCTCATAATCACAATGTAAACTGGAGAGCCATAGGCTTTCCCTACAGAGGCAGGCCCTTAACTACATTGGCAGACAGCGATCAGGTGACTTTTCTTCAGGAGCCCAGATAGGGCTGAGCCAAGAATACCCAGTTGCTATTTTGCCCTCTAGATTCACCAATCAGGAAAGTCCCTCCTCCTCTGAGAGAGTGAGAGGATGGAGAGAGCCAAGAGTGTTAACTCCTAAAGCCATGTTCCTTCATAGGAACAGAAAAGGAAAATACCTCCAATTTTCTTGATATCTGTTAGGGAAAAGCTAACCTCCATATCTGTTAGGGAAATATCTGTTAGGGAAGGCTCTTCTTCAAAACTCTTGGCTTTTCTTGACTTGAGTCTTTGAGTGATTTCACAGTTTTATGACATTGGGTCTTCCTAACTATGAACATGTTACATCGCTTGCTTTTTTAAAACATACCTCCATGAGGTTTATAATTTTCTTCATAAAAGTCTATGCATCTTTTATTAGATATACTTAGTCCTATTAGCTTACAGTTTTGGTTGCTGTTGTAAATTTTTTTATTATAATAGTTAACATTTTCTGGCTGATGTACAGGAATAGCACTGATTTTTAGTATTTTGAGAGTGTGTTCTGGCTAACATTAGTTACAATAGTTTGTTTCGATTCTCTTGGATTTTTTGTGTATACAATCATATTTTTAGTGAATAATGGTATTGTTTCTATTTTTATAACTTCGTTACTTTTTCTTGTCTTACTATGTTTTATTACAGAACAGGAGCAGTGATAGTGGGTATCCTTGTCTTCTGACTTCAAAGAGAATGCTTCTAATTTTTCACCATTAAGTATTATATTTATTGTAGATTGGGGTAGATATCCTGCATTAGCAGAAGGAAGAATTTTTCTGTTCTCAGGTTACTAAGAGTTGTTTTTTAATCATGAATATGTGTATTTTGAATTTTACCATGTTTATTCTGAATCTGTTGAGGTAACACTACATTTTTCTAATGTTAAACCATCTTTGCCCCCTGGTCATGTGTATTATTTTTTCCTACATTATTGGATTCCTTGGCTAATATTTTAGAATGTCTCCATCTGCAAACTGAAATGAGACTGGCCTACAGTTTTTCTTTCACATAAAATCCTTGTCTGATTTTGGTTAGAATTGAGCAAACATGATGAGGTTATAAGAGCTTCATAAAATAAATTGAGGATCTTTACCTTCTTTTCTATTCTCCAGAACAGTTCATATAAGATAGGAGGAAGTATCTCTATCTTAAAGGTATGGTAGAACCTAGAAAAAAACTACTGTTTTTTGTTTGTTGCTGGGGAGAGTGTAGATTTTTAACTACTGATTTAATTTCTGTAATGCTTACAGGTCTGTTTCTGTTTCATTTCTCCAATTCCTAGTTAACTCACTCCAGTCTGATTTTTAGTTCTATGAGTATACTGAAATTCCTTTTATCTAGCTTGGTGCCTACCGAATTCTAAACATAGACCCAAACTCAAAGGTCACTTTTCATCCTTATCCTGTTCAGTGGCACCTGGCCTTGCTGGCCATTCCTGCCTTCCTGAAACACTCTTCCTTGTTATCTTCCACAGGACTGCCCTCTCCTGGCTTTCTGCTTCTAGCTTCTCCATGGCCCCATCTTAGGCCCTCTTCCCTTTTTCTCTCTGTACTCTCTTCTCTTTTTTTCTTTCCTCCTCCGCCTCCTCTCTACCCTCTTCTTAAGTGTTCTCACCCATTCCCATCATTTTGAAAGCTGTTATGCTTATGACTCCCAAAGTTTTGTCTTCAGTGTAAACCTCTCCTGCACACTCTGGATAGCCAGGGGCCTACTTGACTCTGCCCCTGGGAGTATTAGAAGCATCTCAGCCTCAACACAGCTAAAACCCTCCTTCCACCAGCATAATTCCTGTCAGCTAATGGGACCCTGTCTACCCAGTTGCTCAAACCAGGGAATCATCCTTGATCCCCTTCTTTTCTCCACTCACATCAGAGCTAATCTTATTCATCAGCAAGCCCTGTCATCACTATCTGCAAAATACATATCAATCTGTTCACTTCCCATCTCTGCTATTGCCACTCCAGTCCAAGCCACCACCTTTTCTTACCCAAACAGCTGCACCAGTGCAATTTGTCTCCTTGTCTTGTCCTGCCTCTGTCCACTCTCCAAAGTAGCCAGGATGATCTTTCTAAATGTTGGCTAGATCTTAATCACTCTTCAGCTTCAGTGGCAAGAGTGAAATCCAAGTTTTCTTCCATAGTCTACTTGGCCTCTGCCTCATCTGATACCACTCCCTTTCCACTCTCACGTCCTGTCGCTGTACTGGCCTCTGTGTAGTCATGTGAATAAGCTCTTTCCTGTCTGAGTGGTTGCACTCACTCTTCCTCTGTGTAGAATGTGCTCTGTCTCTTCCTTCTTTCCTACCACCTTCCTCACCTCATCGCCTCATAGAGAGGGAATAGTTTAAGAAAAGCCGCTTTATGAACACAGCAGCTTTATTGGCAATGAATAGGCACCTTGGCTGGAATGCAAATTCATTTTAAGAATGGGGAGAATCTGGGCTTTGTGGTTCCTTGGCAATCCTTTTTAAGAAAAAGAATACAAAATTACAAATACAAAATTAGAGATGAAAAAGCATTTGGAATGAGAAACAAATCACAACAAATTACTGGAACCTTAGGGATTAGGTCCTTTTCTTCTGAGATGTCTGTAGACAATTTACTCAAATTATTTACATATAAATGCTTCCTCATTGCAACCTGACTGCCCTTCTACTCCTAAAACACTGTAATTTCCAGCAACTCTCAGTTCTAAGGTACGGAGAAATTAATTGACTTTCCAGGCATAATTGACCCATGAACCTGTAGCAATAAAAGTAGAATCTAGGTGTCCTGGCACTGTTGCAGCAAACCCATTAAGCTCCAAGCTCATACATTTATAAATGTAGTGCCCCTCTGTGCCAGCTGTGCCAAGCATATTAACACTGAGTGAACAGGAATGTGTCACTTTATGGTACTGTAACGTAAAATAGGCTACTAAAGTAGATGCAAAGCACTGCAAAATGAATGCTACATATCAGTTCCAAGTAAAGATCACGGCAGGAAGCCAGGCTGGAAGTCACAAAGCTAAACAAAGCCGGAGCAAGCACTTTGAGTCTCAGAGGAAATCTGAGAATTTCCGAGAGCAGCCGTGGAGTGAGGAGTTACCTCTCAAGCCTGTGCTCCTTAGGGCAAAGGGTAAAAAAACTCAGGTTCCTAAGGGAGGCTCTTACATCTTTTGTAAAGCAAAACACTTCCATTTTCTGTGTGGTTGTTACCATTCACAGATTGGTCCCTGTGGAGGCAGATTGCTGTATGTTCTTTTGGTGTTGAGGATTTCATACTGGCTGAGGATCAGTGCATTCACTGAATTCCTCCTTATGGTAAGCTTCAAAGTTATGTGACAGCTTGTTTTGTTTTATTTTGTAAAGAAAAGCTGTGATAAAAATCCTCTTAATAAAGTAATTCTTTTTCTTGCACAGTATGGAATTCTTAGCTAATATGAGAATGATCGACCTGATTAATCCTAAAATGAACCCCCATTTTTTATGAACACAGTTGCACAGGGCACAGCTCTCAGTGATTTATGCCAGGTCTTTCCAAAAGGAGTGCCCATTTTTTCATCCTAAGATTATAACCTAGTCGTAACTGCCAAGCAACACAATTTTGAAAAGCAGAATTTCAGCTTAGAATCTGTGCTCTTTTGAATACTGTGATTGAAAGTCACCAGAATGTCATTTAAACATCCTAGTTTTCTTTTACTATTGCCTGCATAGTGATCTGAGACTCAGATTGACATGCACAGGCACCACTGATGTGGGTGCTGAAGAATGTGCACCTAAGCTGCAGCCTAATGGCTGCCTGTAAGACAACAAGTTTAGAACTGAGTTGAAGAGATTATGTGCGAGGTTGCTGTGAGTGGGCTGTGTGATGGGGCCCCAGCATCCAGGTCCTCAGGCAGTGCCTCGATTTTGTCTCTCCACCACTCTCCCACCCTTTCTCAACAGACCCCCAGGCATAGCACTCTCATTTGTGACCTCCGTTCTTTACTTAGGCAAGTTCCCACTACCCAGAATAGCCTGCCCCTTCCTCTGCCCTATCCAGATGTTGCTCTCACTTCAAGACCCAGCTCATATCCTATCTCATTCATTCACTCACTCAACACCACAGTGGCAGCTACAGAGATAAGTGTGTATTCCCTCAGTAGCTTAGAGTCACTTCTTTGCCGAGTCTTACCCACTAGGCTTTTGAGCAGCTTGGGTCTGGGGACCACGTCTTACTCATCTCTGTGGTCCCAGCCTGGCATTACAGAAGCCAGGGAGGCTAGAGAAGGGAATGAAGAAGCCATCTGAGCTGTTCTACTCATGGAATATGCTCCTTGAGCTTGTGTTCAAGGAGCTTACAGTCTAATTAAGGTGGTGAAATAGGAACAAAACAACATGTACTGAAAAAAGTAAAAAGTACGACATGCTATAAGGGAGAGTTATTTTGAACATTCAGAGGAAGCCCTTTAGTTCCCGGTGTGAGGGGTGTAGACAAACCTTCACTAAGGAGATAACATTTCAGTGGAGAGTGGATCTGGAGCAAAAGAAGAATTTGGCCACATGAGGTTTGGGGTATAGGACAGAGTAGGTTAAGAAACAGTGGCCCAGTTAGGTGGAAAGACTAGGACTATGAATTTGAATACCAGCACCACTATTTACTGTCTCTGTGACCTCAAACAGGTTTAAGCTGCCTGCCTCAATCCCTTTCCCTATAAAATGAGGGTAATAGTGCGTACTTAATAGTGTGGTCAGAAGAATTAAATAGGTAAGTACCTAGCATACTGCCTGGCACTTAGTAATAAATAAGCGGTAGCTTTTATAATGAGTAAATGAATCGTAGTTACTGTCTATATCTTTTTAAAATCAAATGCATCCTTTGCTGTAGGTGTTTTTACTTTGACATCTATAGTCATCTTACAGCTAGGTATAGAATATGGCTCTTGTTCATATTTTGGCTCATGCTCTCTTGTACATTAATGGTACGGAAGATTTACCATCTGTCTACCTCTCACTTTCCCCAAGTCCTTTATAAGACCACTCTGAGGCCTTAGAGATAAGTACCCTAAAACCTGTTTGCCTACAAACTTTTTTTGGTACCTGCCTTCTTAGGTAACTCTCACCCATAGTTAGAAGTTACGAATAATAAAATCTCTTACTTGCAAAACTTTCTATGTTTTTACTTAAGCTTGCAAGAACCTTGTGAGAGTAGCTGGGCAAGAAGAATGACCACTGTTTTACAAACCAAAAAACTGAGACTCAGTGTGCCAAGCGCCTTGCCAAGATCACGTGATACTAAATGATGGAACTGGGACCAGAAACCCAGATTATCTGACTCCTGATCCCATATTCTTTTTACCATATCACAGTGCCCATTATTGGGTAATGGCCATTCTCTTCCTTCTCTGCCCTTCCCCTGCCCTCCTGTCTCTGTGCCACCTCTATTCTAGTGCCTCCTACCTTCCTCAGGGAAACCCACCAGAGTCAAATCCAGAGCGCTGGAAAGATACACTGCGAAATCAGGCAGCAGGCCTGGTGGAAACATTCCTGGTTGTTTATTCTACCTCATTTACCTCCAAGAGGGAGGAAACTAAAAGTAATAAAACTTTGGGAAGAATTTAAGAACTTTAAGACTGAAAGAAACAAAAATGATCACGTTTCAACTTCATTGGTTAAGAAACAGGAACACTGAAGAAGGAAGCACGTGGGTCGGGTGAGTAGCCTAAAGCATATTTGCCCGTAGTGTTTGTGGAATGCTTCCTGGAATGGCATGCTCTTTTTTTCTGAATAAGAAAAAGGAAGAATAAGAATAAGATGAAAGCAAGATTTCAAAGCCATCTGTCCTGTTTTTTTCATAGGATTTTTTTATTCTAAGTTTAATTTTTCCTGATTATAGAGCTTAAACTATGTAACATCTTCATGCAAGGTAGTATAACACAGAGGAAGGAGCACTAGATTTGGGAATCAGAAAATATGGGTTCCAGTTTCAACGCTATCACTTAATTTTCATAAGTTGTTTTTGAGTATCAGTTGTTTTGTTTTGTTTTGTTTTGTTGAGATGGAGTCTCGCTCTGTCACTCAGGCTGGAGTGCAGTGGCTCGATCTCAGCTCATTGCAACCCCCACCTCCCAGGTTCAAGCAGTTCTCTTGCCTCAGCCTCCCCAGTAGCTGGGATTATAGGCACGCACCACCACGCCCAGCTAATTTTTGTATTTTTAGTAGAGACAGGGTTTCACCATGTTGGCCAGGCTGGTCTCGAACTCCTGACCTCGTGATCCACCCGCCTCGGCCTCCCAAAGTGCTGGGATTACAGGCATGAGCCACCACGCCCAGCTGAGTATCAGTTCTTTAAATGGAGTTAATACCACCAGTTATTGGGAAACTATTTCCCAAGCATAGTTTTTGTAGGCCAAATGAGATAATGTTCATCAAAGTGGTTTATAAACTAAAATGAACTGTGCAAAGTATTATTAAGTATTGTTTTTGATTATTATTAAGTATTAAAGAATTTGACAATTCATTAAGTGTCTATTCTGCGTATAGCATTGTTCAGGAGACAAAGAAAGATTCAAAAGTGTAAGATTTTCCCTGCCATTGCTTAGTTGACAGTCGTTTAGTTTATAATCTAAATTATTAGATAAGACAAATATTTTGAAGGACATGACTTGCAGGAATATTCCTATACATTGTTCACTCTCGCTGTCATGTGGGACTTACAACCTGAGGCCCATCATTAGTGTGTAGTCTGCTACAATGATGGAGGGCAACGTTGGGCCAACTTATTTTGTTTTAGGGCCAAGCAAGCCATTTTTAAAGAGACAGAATCAATCTCAGTGACCTTAGTAAGGATAGAGCACTGAGAAGTATCCTTGGCTGTTCAACAGCAAGCTAGAATATTTCTCCAGAGTACTTTAGTGTTTAACAAACACCGGTGTTTAATGTTGGGAGAAGTAACTAGTGGCTTTATGTGAGGCCATCCCATTTTAGTGGTAAAATCTCCAGATAGTCCTTCTGCTGACCTATTTCTAATGTAGTCTTCCATTCCTTTTGGAAAATAGAATCAAGCTATAGCTTTAAATAAAAGTATTAGAAGAAGAAAATACCTAAGAACTTTGACACATTTTAGGAAAATGTTTTTTCAGTAAACTGAGAATAATGAAAATTTAGAATAAGTGAGCCAATCTACTTTCCTTAAAATTGAGTAATGATATGGTAGTTCTGCTTTTACACCAAACCACTTAACTCTTGAAAATGAGGCAGTATCCAGTATTTAAATCTTTACAAAGCCTCACTTTTTAGAAACAGATCTACTCTCTTCCTTTCTGTCCATCATCCTTATGCTGAATTCAGAACTGAAATCTGGCAGATGACCCTCTAGGGAAATGAAAAACATGTTGTCTAGCTGACGTTGGTTTTTAAATTTAGATCAAATAACATTGTCTTTGAAGTCTCAAGAGTCCTACTTAAGGTAGCTGTATCAGATAGGCTCGCCTTTGAGAGCATTTCTTGCAGGCCGGCACCCCTAATATGAAAAGTTAAGCCTAGTCAAAAATAAGTGAAAAAGAAAGTTTTATTGGAGTTATTTTCTCTAAGATAGCTGTTTCAGAAGAACCTTGACGAGTCATCTCCTTGTCTCTAGACAGGAACACACAAGGCATATGGGTATCTGTAGTATTTTAAAAGACCTTAGGGGACCAGGCTTCTTCCATAACTCATTCCAGAGTTTAAACACCCTCACTTCAGGAAATTCTTCCCTATATTTAACTAACAGGCCCCCTCCTGCGGTTAACACCCATTTCCACTTTTTTCTGCCTCCAGTCAGGATGGAGAACAGCTGGCCAACATCCTTTGTGCACTAACCCTCCACTGGTGACAGAAAGGCACTTGGGTATCCCGGCGCCGCCTCTCCCCTACTCCAGCAACCAAGTCTCTGAACCAAATTGAGAGCTCTTTTCCCATTGTTTTTACTTGGGTCTTCTTTATTTCTATTTACTCCTTTTGATTATAAAATAGTATGGGCTCAATGAATAAAATTTGGAAGTTGTAAAAATATGCAGAAGGGAAACAATAGCCCCATAATTCAGGCACAAAAAAATCACTATTGTATTAGCCAGTTTTCCTTGTATTTCTTTTCTAATTCAGATCTTACCATCTGTACCAACACTTTTCAATAGAAATATAATATGAGCCATACATATAAATTTAAATATTCTGGCAGTCACTTTTTTTTTTTTTTTTTTAGACAGAGTCTCGCTCTGTCACCCAGGCTGGAGTGCAGTGGTGCGATCTCAGCTCACTGCAAGCTCCGCCTCCCGGGTTCACGCCATTCCCCTGCCTCAGCCTCCCGGGCAGCTGGGACCACAGGCGCATGCCACCTCACCCGGCTAATTTTTTAGTAGAGACGGGGTTTCACCATGTTAGCCAGGATGGTCTCGATCTCCTGACCTCGTGATCCACCTGCCTCGGCCTCCCAAAGTGCTGGGATTACAGGCGTGAGCCACCATGCCCGGCCTGGCAGTCACATTTTTAAAAAGCTAAAAATAAACAGGTAAGCTAATTTTAATAATATATTTTATTTAATTCAAATAAAATCCAAGTTATATATCCAAAATATCTTGTAGACATGTAATAAACATTTTAAAGATTATTAATAAATATTTTACATTCTCTTTTTTCATACTAAGCCTTCTAAATCCAGTTTACTCTTGTAGCACATCTCAAGTCAGACTAACCACATTTCAAGTTCCAGCAACCAGTTCCTAGTGGTCATGGTGGACAGCACAGTCCTTACAGCTTTTTTGTATAACGTAATGTCTTAAGTATTTTATCAGTGCCCTTTAAAACTTTTTAGCATCATTTTTAATGGCTACGTAGTATTTCATCATTTAGATTTACTATAACAATATATTGAGGTAGTTGTGTTTTTCTCAACACATTGCCAAAAAACATCACCTAAATGTTTCCTTTTGCACACAACTAATTAAATTCATTTATACATAAAACAAGTATATTCACTGAATATCTGTGTGCTCTGTACTAAGTTATATTGGAAAGCGGAAGAGGGGGTTTCCAGAAATAAAGACTAGATCCCTCCCATATGCTGTTTACAAGACTTGGCTCCACAGTTGGACTGCACACAAATACCGTATTTTATTCTGCCTTAAATGCCCTTCCCTTCATTTCTTGCTCTACCTCACCCCCAACACACACGTACACTGCCTGGTTAGCTTCCACTTATCCTTCAAGGTGCCAATCAAATACAACCTCCTCTGATGAGTCTTCCCACTGATTACTTGATTCCCTTCTTCACTGTAATATACAAAGTGTGTATTGTATTCAGAGCACCATGGTGTTCTGGTTATTGGTTAACTCTCTGTCTTCTCTACTAGAGTGGGAACTCCTTAATGATAGGAATCTTATTTTATACATCTCTTTATTTCCAGAGCCTCAAAAACTGTCAGGCAATGAAATGTGGATTTCGGTAATGTCTGAAAGATGTGTTGAAAATGCAAGTGATCACATTAAGCATCAGTTGGATGGTAACATAAGTACTACCTTCAGAGTTCAAAGAGATCACTTAGATTGGCATGGTTAAAGAAGACAGAATGAAGGAGTTAAAGAAATGAGTTAAAGAATGAATGAGGGCCGGGCACGGTGGCTCACGCCTGTAATCCCAGCACTTTGGGAGGCCGAGGTGGGTGGATCACCTGAGGTCAGGAGTTCGAGACCAGCTGACCAACATGGTGAAAACCCGTCTCTATTAATACAGAAAGTTAGCCGGGTGTGGTGGTACACGCCTGTAATCCAAGCTACTTGAATCGCTTGAACCCAGGAGGTGGAGGTTGCAGTGAGCCAAGACTGTGCCATTGCACTCCAGCCTGGGCAACAAGAACAAAACTCCGTCTCAAAAAAAAAAAAAAAAATGAATGAATGAATGAATCAATGAGGCCTGGCGTGGTAGCTCACACCTGTAATCCCAGCACTTTAGGAGGCCAAGGTGGGCGGATCACTTGAGGTCAGGAGTTCAAGACCAGCCTGACCAACATGGTGAAACCCCATCTGTACTAAAAATACAAAAATTAGCCGGACGTGGTAGTGTATGCCTGTAATCCCAGCTACTTGGGAGGCTGAGGCACAAGAATCACTTGAACATGGGAGGCAGAGGTTGCAGTGAGCCAAGATTGCACCACTGCACTCAAGCCTGGGCAAAAAGAGCGAGACCCCATCTCAAAAAAAAAAAGGACTTGAATTGGGTTTTAGAAGATGGGCATACTTAAATGAATTGGAGAGGGAATTAGTACAAAAGCCACTGAGATAGGCACACTAAAAAAGCAGTGCTTTTCAGTAGGCATTCATTAGCACTGGGGTCCCCAACCCTCGGCCATGTACCAGTAGCAGTCCATGTCCTGTTAGGAACCAGGCCTCACAGCAGGAGGTGAGTAGAGGATGAGCGAGTGTTACCCCTGAGCTCCGCCTCCTGTCAGATCAGCAGCAGCATTAGATCCTCATAGGAGTGCAAACCCTACTGTGAACTACTCACGCGGGGGATCTAGGTTGTGTGCTCCTTGTGAGAAGCTAATGCCTGATGATCTGAGATGGAATCGTTTCATCCTGAAACCAGCCCCCCTGCCCACGGCCCATGGAAAAATTGTCTTCCATGAAACCGGTCCCTGCTGCCAAAAAGGTTGGGGGCCACTGCTTTAGCATATGTTGATAAGTGTCAGTAAATAAGTATCCTTCTGGATCGAATGCACTGTCCTAAGTTTCAAGAAGGCTTAGCAATATGGTCTTTGCCCATCAAAAGCTGGTAAGTGTCAGCAGCATTAGAAATGAGCACTGGCTGTTTCAGTATGACCTTGGGTGCCAGGCATGGGAGGTATTTTTTGTTTGTTTGTTTGTTTGTTTTGAGACAGTGTCTCGCTCTGTTGCTCAGGCTGAAGTGCAGTGGCGCCATCATAGCTCACTGCAACCTCGAACTCCTGGGCTCAAGTGATTCCCCCCACCTCTGCCTCCCAAAGTGCTGGGACTGCAGGCATGAGCCACCCCGCCCAGCTGTGACCTTTGGGTTTAAGCTCGATTTAGATATAATTCCCTGTGTTTTGTTTTGTTTTATTTTGTTTTAGCCTCTGGATCCATCTGAGGAAATGCCTTGTGTTTTAATTTTAAAGAGTTTAAATATCATTTTATATGATGTTTATTCTATAATTCTTCTCTTAATGGATAGCAATCTATAATAATAGTTAATATCATTGTAGCTAATATCAAGTGACTATTACTGCAAACCAGGCACTCTTCCAAAGCACTTTGAACATAGTATTCAGTTAACTCATTTACTCCTCACACAGCCCTGTGAATTAGGACCTACTAACCTCTCCCATCTTAGAAATGAGGAAACTGAGGAACTGAGGGGTTACATAACTTAATGTGACACAGCCATCAAGTGGAAGAGCTAAGATTTGAGCCCAGGCAGAGCAGTTTTAGAAGTCCTGCTTTAACCATTACATGGACAACCTCTCCTATAACTATGTTAAGAATAAAGTGTTTTACACAAGGGATCATTTAGCATCTGGTGATTCCAGAAAAGGAATCTTGTTATTACAGCCTTCTCCTGGTTTTCTTCATTCCTCTCTGAATGCTCCTTCTTATCTCATTCGGAGGGTCCTCTTCCTCTACCTCATCACGAAAAGCTGGAGCTCCTAAAGGCTTAGTCCTAGGCCCTTTTTTCTCTCACTTTATTCTAAGTGGAGATAAGTTCTGATATCAGAAATTGCCTCCTGTACATTTTCACAGCACATTCTAAGTGCCCATGCGTTTTTCTACCAGTCTTCCATCCCAGTCACGATAAGCTCTTTGCTTTCTGCGAATGAAACCACTTTTCACTCTTTTACACTAGCCAGGAAGCCAGGCAAAAACCTTTGTTCCTCCTTTTCTTCCTCACCCTTATATCCAACTCTGGCAATTCCTGCCAATTTCTCCTGCTATTTCTGTTTGTCTATGTCTGTACATTTCCATTCTGATCCATGCCTCCATTACCTTTCACCTGTACTACTGCACAGCCTGCAGTCTCCCACCATCCACTCTGGACCCCTCCATTCTGCTCTCCCAACTGCAGCCAGAGTGCACTTTCCAAAGTATAAATGTCTCTCTCTCTCTCTCTCTCTGCACCTCTGACACACACACTCACTCACTCTCACACTCTCTCTCGCTCTCTCTCTCTCTCGCTTTCTCTCTCTCTCTTCTTTGCCTGAAAGTTCTAAACATGGCTTGTGGCTTCTGCATGGTCCAGACTTTGTTTTCCTCCTCAGTTTTATCTTCTACCATAGAACTCTTCACTCATTGACCTTTTGGGTCCTCAAACATTGTTATCTTTCTTGATAAAAGGTCTTAGCAAATGCTGTTCCTGCTACCTGGAAGATACTCTTCCCCACCAACCCATTCTTTACCTGGTGAAGAACTCTACTAGCCCTTCTAATCTTGTCCTTTTCTGTCTGGGTCAGATCTCTGCTACAAGCTCTTTGAGCCCGTGTCCTCTCCTGCATAGCTTGGGTCAGAGGTGGTTGTTTGACATTGATGTATGTGATGTATGTGTACTTGTCTGTCCTCTCTCACTAGACAATAAATTCCATTAAAACATGAACCATGGCTTTTTTCCAATTATTATAGCCCCAGAGTCTAGCGCAGCTAGATACTCAATACATATTTGAATAAGGGGGTAAATCAATTAATTTGTTTTATACTCTGCCTCCTTTAGGAGTATAGGGGACTACAAAAGATAAGGTTACCAAGATGTCATCTCTAGAGTCCCAGTCTCTTACTAAACAGTAATTAAATTGCGGCAAATTGCAACTCAAACACTTCTGCCCAAGGCCTCCAGCATCTCTGAAAATGGTGGCAGAGCTATCCATTTTTCTTTTAAAGTAACAAACAACTAAACCCTCACAGTTTGGTTCAGTGAGAGTTTATTAGAGAGCTGATGGTAGGTCAGTGTTAGTAGTATCTTTCAAAGACTTCATCTCACAGATTCTGTCACTGGCCCTGGGAGTCTAATGCATCCTTTAGCTCCCTTCCAAGTCTAGTTTTTAAACTCTGAAAGCATTCTCTGACCAGGGTTTTAATTTCCCTATCGAGTTCCTTCTGGGGGCTGGGTTCTGTGAGATTGTTGTTCCTCTGGTTTCCCTGGCAAAGGCAGAGGTTTTGGGTTTTTTTGTTTTTTTTTTTCATTTTTTCCCTGGTTTTCAGCATAAACAGTTTATTATTCCCAAGTATCAAGTGTTGTCCAGATACTCCGAGGGGTCCCCAGGTATCATTCCTGGCATCTCTTTCCTGTTCTTTCCATGTTCTCGTGTAGGATGTTACTTAAGCCCTATATAAATGACATCAAGATGGGCTATGTCTGTTTCTACAGACCATTTTACAGTCCTCATAATGTTGGTTGCCTGACTGTGATTTTACTACATTAATTTGTATGATGATTTCTTAAAGTGAAAGCTGATGAGTGAAGTGGTTGACTTGACCCCTCCCAGGACCTCTCTTTATCTCCGTGGAGGATCACTGTGTATTCCCTGATCCCATGGAGCTCAGCCTGGAGCCTGAGCTGGCCTCCAGATGGGCTCTCGGCAATAGGCACCCCCTCATCCTCTGTCCACTGGCCCAAGCTGGGCCATGGAGGCCTGATGGCCAAGACCTCACATCACAAAGCCTGGTGAACTGGATTTCTTCAGCTTGCTTATTTTGTCTTTTGCCTGTGGAACTTTCTCTTTCACCAATTCATCTTTCCATCACTACTTGGTTTAAATAAAATCCAAAGGCTGCCTTGTTCAGTTATACCTTTTTATACTCTGTTTTTATTTAGACAGACTTTGGTAGGAAACCTTCCAAGCAAAGCCCCGGGGGAAAAGTGACCATTGGCACAGATTTCAGCCTGTGCTTTTGGCCCAATATTGTTTCTATTTTTATTTTGTTTCATGTTTTTGTTAACATCCAGGGCAAAGATTAAGTACTTACACTTATCTGGTAATGGTGAGAGGCCTTTGGATTGCTTGCCTGTGGCCTGGAGAATGCATGCTTAAAACTATTAACCCCCAGCTACCTCCTGGGAGATAAGATCTAGCTGTTAAATTTGGCTTTCCCTAAAGGAGGTTCTGAGCTCCTACTTGATCTGAGAGAGGGAAAGAAGAAGGATAAATCCCAACCTTTGCTGAATTTTGAAAAAAGGATAGTAGCTTAATTTATGAAGGTTGTTTTTTTGAAAAAACTAACTTTATGTCATAATTTCTTAGCTGCCAAAAGACGTAATTCTACCTCAGCTTTGCCTTGGCAACCCGCTTTTGGCACTCTGTGCAAGCCTGTCGTTGCTCTGCATTATTTAAGCAGTAATCTTTAAGAAGGTGAGAAACTATTATTGCTTTTTAACACAGTTGACATGATATTGGCGCAGACTAGTACCTAGAGCTTCAAACATTTCTGGTGGCCGTAAACCAACTTAAACACCTCCATGTAGAGGTCTCACTGCCATGAGGTCATAGATTGCTACAAGGAGGGAGAAAGAAGAAGATCAAATGTTGTTTAAAAGTCTTTTTTTTTCTTTTTAAATATTCTTATTCCACTGAGTTGTAGCTGTAGATTTTGGCCGGGAGCCAGACAATCAAGATTTAGTATTTTGACCAGCTGTGATCTAGTAATGTCCCTCAGAGGAAACATTTTGTAGGGAGGGAAAGACACATATTTGAGACTGTGAATTGTACTCTGTCCTCATACTTTACAGTGTGGGACCTGGTTGTAGACAGATAAAACAAGTACAAGTGAATCTGAAAGAGAATTAGGAAAAAAAAAAGTGTTTCAAATTGTTAAAGCCTCACCCCAGCTTCAAGAACTCTCTTGATGTGGTAAATCTTTACATGCTTTCTTTATTTCATTTTTCCTGTAAGTTTCCACATTTACATCAGTTCGTGGCAGAATTTATTTCTGCTCATAGCTGATGCTTAGAATGCCTAACAGTATAAGTCTTAGAAAGTCAAAAGAGCAACACAAACTTAATGTAGGCAGGAAGAGAAGAGAAGGAAAATATACCAATCCACTTAACCTAAAAATTTTTCTCATTCTCACCCCATCCTCAAGTAGAAGTAGAGATCAAATGTAGATGTTTTGGTGACAACAAAAAACTTAAGATCCTAGGGACTGGGAGAGAGAAGGAAATTAACAATTAGGTAGACCGGCTTGGTTAAATCACATCTTTCTACCTAGTGGCTTCATGACCTTTGGTCAAGTTACCTAACCTCTGTGCTTCAGTTTCTTCATCTGTAAAATGAGGATGATGTTTGTAATACTTCACAGAGATGTCATAAGGATTAAATGAGACCATGTATAAAGCTGTTAACAGAGTGCTTAATCCATAGCGCTTTATAAATTTTAGTTGCCGTTTTATTATTATTAATAATTTATTGGGTACTTATTCATTGTACTAGGAATTTTACTTGTATATCTCATTTAATCCTTACTGCAGTAACTATTGGTAGCTATAACCATTTCACAGAAGAGGACACCTAGGTTGGGAGCAGTGAGGTGCATCATCAGTGTCTCGTGTTTCCTAACGATGGAGCTACATGTGGAGCTCTGGAATATTACCTATGGGAGATGTGGAAATGGGAATCACATTTTGGACTGGTGCTTTCTTAACTTGTTTTCTCTTTCCCAATCTCTTTTCTGTAAAAGGAGGCTACAGCTTCAGGCAGTAAAACCAAGAGGAAGAGGAGGGAAATGATGGGGGCAAGGATGGTGGAGTAGAGGAAACTGGGCTCTACCAGTTCCTGGGTTGGCTTCATGGCAAGGTATTTGCATGGCAAGGTATTTATATAATGGTTATAAAAGTGCTGAATATGGTCTTCTTCATTTTAGTCAGAGAAATAGAGAATTTCTCCCTCTTAAAAAATTCTCTCTTCCTGAAGCTAAATTCATGCAGAACAAGGATGCATCAGGGGTTTGGGGACAATTGGAATGTACCTCAAAGGATTCTGGGAAGTTCTTCTAGTCCCTAAGCAGTAGGTAGATCATGAAAACAGAGGAATTTTGAGCATTTTGACTTTATTCAAAGCTTTCCCCACCTCATGTCCCCAAGAAAAAAAGAAAAAAACCTAAGATTGTGTTTCACATTGAACAGATTAAATCTGTTGATTGATTTGGGTCTTTTTCTCCAAATCTCTTTTATACTTTTTTTTTTCTTTTTTTCTTTTCTTTTTTTTTTTTTGAGACGGAGTCTCACTCTGTTGCCCAGGCTGGAGTGCAGTACTGCAATCTCGGTTCACGCAACCTCCACCTCCTGGGTTCAAGAGATTCTCCTGCTCTCCTGCCTCAGCCTCCCGTGCAGCTGGGATTACAGGTGCCCACCACTACACCGGGCTAATTTTTGTATTTTTAGTAGAGATGGGGTTTTGCCATGTTGGCCAGGCTGATCTCGAACTCCTGACCTCAGGTGATCCACCCACCTTGGCCTCCCAAAGTGCTGGGATTACAGGCATGAGCCACCACACCTGGCCTTTTTTTTTTTTTTTTTTGGTGGGCGGGGGAGTCTTACTTTCATCCAAGCTGGAATGCAGTAGCATGATCATAGCTCACTGCAAGCTCAACCTCCTGGGCTCCAGTGATCCTCCCACCTCAGCCTCCCTAAGTGCTGGGACTACAGACATAAGCCACCACGCCTGGCACTGTACTTCTTTATTTCCTTCTTGCAGCTAGCTCCCTGATGTACAGAAGTGGAGGTGTGGGAAGGTAGGTGGTAGGAGTTTCGTTTGTTCCTGCTTGAAACAGTATGCTGTATAAGAGAAACAGTAAAGGGAAGGAGATTTAGATTCCAGTCCTTCTTCTACCTATTACCCTGTGTTCCTGTGCAAGACATGAATATGTCTGAGTCTCAGTTGCGCCTTCTGTAAAATGAGAATAATACTTGGAATTTGAAGCCTACTGAAACGAATCATAATGACAACCACCACAATTACAACTACTACTGACGCTAGTGTCTATGCCAGGCATCCTGCCAACGATTTTAAGCACATTATTTTATTTATTACTTACTGTAGTCGATCTATTTTATAAATAGTCATTAAATATGCCCACAGTCATATAACTCAGGGGTGCCCAACCCCCGGGCCACAGACTTTTACCCGTCTGTGGCCTGTTAAGAACCGGGCCGCACAGCAGGAGGCGATGGAGGGTGAGCGAGCATTACCCCCTGAGCTCCGCCTCCCATCAGATCAGCCATGGTATTAGACTCTCATAGGAGCACGAATCCTGTTGTGAATTGTACATTTGAGGGATCTAGGTTGTGTGCTCCTTATGAGAATCTAACTAACGCCTGATGATCTGAGGTGGAGGTTTCATATCCCCACCCCCAAATCCATAGGAAAATTGTCTTCCACAAAACGGGTACCTGGTGCCAAAAAGATTGAGGAGCACTGATATAACTAATAAACGAATGTAACCTTAAGTTGTAACTCCATATAGGTGGGATCATAGTGGCAGAGCTAAGAGTAGAATCCAGGTCTTTGAACAGTCCTTCTTGTCGCCACTGTCTCTAGAGCTGAAGAGATAAGAAAAGATAGTTGATTGCAATAAATAAGGACTCACAGAATGAGAAACAAATTAATCATCTTAATTTAGAGAGCTCAGAGAAAACTTGATCCAAGGAAGCCAAACTGACTTCCTCCTTGACATCTAAACTCCAGGCCAGTTGGCTTCTCCCTCATCGTGCCATTGTTTGTGACCCCAGGAAATACTTTTTTACTTATGGCAAAAGGTTAACAGTCCCTGGTGTGGTTCAGTTATTCAACAAGCTACACTGTGTTTCACTAAACCATAGCCTAGTAAATTTGCAATTATGATATCTTTGGGTTGTTGTTTTTTAATAAATTCCTTTTAATTGCAGCATTAAACCACAGATGTCATGTTTCCAGTTTGGAGCTAAGCCCAGCTGGAAGAGACAGCCACTTACGGGAAATGGCTGGTGAGGAGAATGTGTGCAGTGAACTGGTAGACTCGGTCCAGTTGCTTGAACCTCAGGCTCTGCACCCGCAATTCTAGTGCCTCCGAACACACGGGGCCCCTTGGTGGGAGCAGAGAATAAAGAAAAGCTACTGTGTTTCCTAATATGTCCACTCCTCCCAAAACACACACATTTTTGCTTTTGGTTGTCTAAGGGTTGAGGCTCCCTGTAAGTTTTTCATCACAATATAAATAATGTACTAATTGCATATGATGAGTAAATTGTCAACAGCCTTTAAAAATTGGTCATATAATTAGTAAATCTATGAGTTTCAACCTCTTCATCTAGATGAAATAGTCATGAAGCCAGACTGTAATCAAAGAATCTTGAAACCTCCTGAATATTCTGTTTTGAACTATTATTTGCCTTTTCAATTCCTCCCTTTCTCTCTTTAGGCAAGAGTAGAGATAAAAATACTCTTTTATTTCTTTACCTTATACTAAAATATGAATGAAGGGTCTTTCTGAAAACCTTCCATTAAATATAAAATCAAAATTATTTTATTAAAAATCTATGCATTATGTTTTTATACGAGATGCTCACAGCAGTTTGTTTTTTAATAGCAAAGGTTCAGAAACATCCTAAATCTACAAAAGTAAGGGAATAATTAAGTAAATTATGATAGTCCATTCAGTGAAGCAACCATTTAGAATTCTGCTTACCAGGAGGTTTTAATAGCATCCAACAGCAGGATGTAGCATTCTGTATATACCAGAAACACAGCTTTAGTGTTTCTTTCTTGTTTCCTTTTTTTTTTTTTTTTTGAGACAGGGTCTTGCTCTGTCGTCCAGGCTAAAGTGCAGTGGTATGATCACAGCTCACTGCAACCCAGGCTCACGCAATCCTCCCACCTCAGCCCACAGTTGCTGGGACTACAAGCGCTCACCACCATACCCAGCTAATTTTTTAATTTTTTATAGAGACAGGGTCTCCCTATGTGGCCCAGGCTGGTCCCAAACTCCTGGGTTCAAGCAGTCCTCCCACCTTGGCCTCCCAAAGTGCTGGGATCACAGGTGTTAGCCGCCACACCTGGCCCATAGGGTTTCTTTAAAAATTAAACACATATATTTAAAATCAAAGTCTGAAAGGAAAATACCCAAAATTAATAGCAGTTATTTGATGGGTAATAGACTTGTGAGTTTTTATTTTTTTATATAGTTAACATAGTTTTAGTTTTCCTGTAAAACTATTGTAATAATTAAAAATACATGTGTGTTTAATGTTATCATTTGATACTTCAACTGTTTGGAGCTTGGCTATCTTAAAAATCTGGAATGTAGCTGGGATCCTGGAAGTAATAAAAAAATCAATTCTGAACAGCTAAAACTAATGTTACCAAACTCATATAATAAATACAGCATATTGTGCCCAGGACAGCTCCTGGCCCGCCACGCAAATCCTGTTTACTCATACTTTGCACACAATTTTCAGGACATCTGCTTTACAAGAACACAGCAAACTAAGAAAGGGTATAGTGGCCACTGCGGGCAGGGGCACTGATTCAACCACCCACAGCGCCAGAGGGGACTCGAAGAACCCACGCCAGGCTTACCTCCAGACCTGCGTCCTACAGAACAGACACCACTGAACATCCTGTAGTCCCCTTATTGTGTCATCGCTCAGTAATGTTCATATCAGTGGCCCAGAGGCAACGAGAAAATGCCTTTTCTTGTTCAACTTTTTTAAGATGGTAAGAAAAGCTGTAATAAAAATTTTTGAAAGGTTAAATCTCATAGAACTAAAAATGGAGGGAAAAAATGTGGTGATAAAAAGGTAAACCTTAGATATGTAGACTTCTTTATTATCTCTCCAAAAATAACTAATTTCCTTACCATTCTTAAGAGAGACCATTTTGGCTGGGACCTGTGGCTCACACCTGTAATCCCAATATTTTGGGAGGCCAAGGCAAGAGGATCACTTGAGCCCAGGAGTTTGAGACCAGTGTGTGCAAGATGATGAGATCCTGTCTCTAAAAAAAAATTAAAAATAAAAAACATTAGCCGGGCATCGTGGCACACACCTGTAGTCCCAGCTACTTGGGAGACTGAGGTGGGAGGATCCCTTAAGGCCAGGAGTTGAGGCTGCAGTGAGCTGTGATCACACCAGTGTACTCTAGCCTGAGCAACAGAGTGAGACTTTGTCTCTAAAAAAATTTTTTTTTAAATTAAAAAATAAAAAGAGAGAGAACCTTTTACTGGTACTTGGATTTTCCAGTTTGAATCTGATACTACCATTACTTGAGTTTTCATACAAATCCAAGGGAACTGGAGAAGAATGTCACAAAATCAGGATGTCAGAAAATACCAAAGTTCCCACCTCTCAAAGCCTTGGAGTCCATCCATGAAAAGAGGAATAACATTACCATCTTAGAGTTTGTGGGCAAATGAGAAGGCATTTAGCTTGATGTGTACTATGTCTTTGGCACTTAGCAAATGTTACTTGAATTTGAATGTCGTGTTCCCTTGTGGGACACAATAGATAGGATGGGCTCTGGAGTCAGACAGAATCTAGTTCAGATGTGGTTCTTCAGCCTTGAACAAACCACATGACCCACCACCTGCCTATCTTCCTCACAGGACACTCGAGGGCTCTGTGTGGGCAGCTCATCTTCCACGGGGCTCAGAACATTATTGACAGTCGGGAAAATGGTCGTTCCCTTCACATTGTAGTTGGCAAGGTGGGGCAGTGGGGGTTGTCGCGCCTCATTAGTTTTCTGTTGTACAAAGTTGAGAACTTTTAGAGTTCTCAAACTCAACGAGGGCTACAAACACCCTGTTCCTCTTGTGCGGCAAGCACTGCTGGGTGTGCCCCAGGCCTGTTTCTCATGCCCTGCCTTTTATCAGCCCACTGGGAGCCCCACAAAACAGCAGAGCAGGATTTCTGGGGTGGGAGGATGGCAGCGCAGGGTCACAGCATGAGGGGTTAAGCACCTGGCTCTAGCCACACACCAACAAGTCACCTTCAGTGTTCCGGGCTGTTTCACCTGGTGCTTCCACCCCTCGTGGGCTGGGCTGGCAAATGAAAGCTTGGCTTTTCTGCACAGAATAGACTGTCTGAGGTGGTGCTGATGTTCTCTTTTGGTTTGAGTACCTAGTCAACCTGCAAGATGATTTAGAGAGGGACACTGTTAGCAAATGGTAGAGTAAAAACAAGGCTTGCAAAAATGTGTAGCTTACCCAATTATTGTGAATTTGGGCAACATATTAACTATAAACCTAGATCGAGGCCAGCAGATTTTGCCCTGTTTTGTTTTGTTTTTCTGGAGAACTAAACACTGTAATTTACTAGTCTACTTGCCTAGTTCTATATGTACCCCAGTGACCACGCCTAATTATGAAATCTCTCCTGGCACCAGTACTCACAGCCAGGCAGAGGAGTCTGACAGACCCAAGGATTAGAAGCCGTGTGGTTGCCCCTTCCCAAGAATAACCCTTGCTTGGGTGTCTGAGACTGCAAGTATAATCCTGCATCAGAGGAGAGAGAGCAGGGAGCTGGGGCCAGGGCTTGTGGCTGTAGACACAAGTGGAAGAAACCCCAGATCTCTTTTCTTTTCTAGGGCACTTCTTGCTATTGTAATTTGAAAATGTATTATTTGAATAATGAGGGATGTCTTTCTCCTGCAGGACTGGTAGCTCCTTGGAGGAAGGGCCTACTGGTCTTGCATCTGTCTCCCTACCCCAAGGCCAGGCACATATGGGAACTATTTGTTGGGTGTGTGTAGTTTCAAGTTCTGCCTCTACCCCTGCCTAGTGGTTGCCCTTCTGCAAGCCACTTAACCCTCTATGCGTGTTTCCTCATCTGAAGCACGCAAGTCAAATGATCTGTGTGTGCCTCCCTCTGCCTCTGGACCCAATCTGTTCATATGGTTGTATTGAAGCTAATTTCATCCACATACAAGAATGTCTAGAGCTAGCATAGTGTATAACATAGCCATCATTTCCAGGATGTAGATACTCTATTTCCATTAACTGATTATTATTTATTATTTCAGACTTTACCCTGCTTTCTCTATAGGGTTTTTGTAAAGACTAAGTGAAATGATGTATAGGAAATTACTTCAGAAATTATAAAGTTTGTATAACTGAACAATGATTGTTATTGCTGGCCCAAAGATACCCTCCTGAGAAGAAACTCAGACCCAAAAGACAGCATTGCAGACCAAGTATTGTAAAACATATGTGTGGCTAGCCCCATCAAAGAATGTATTTCCCAAGTTAGTTTTTCATTTTAAAAAAAAAAAAGGAACCCCTCAAAAATTTTTTTTAATTTTTAAAATATAACCTTGACTCTCTCTCTCTCCCTCCCTCCCTCCCTCCCTCCCCCTCTCCCCCTCCCTCCCTCCCTCCCTCCCTCTCTCTCTCTCTCTCTCTCTCTCTCTCTCTCTCTCCCTCCCTCCTCTGCCAGTCCTCTAATGCAAGGTGGTTAGCATTTGGGTGTTGGCAAGGTTGTTGGTCATGAAATCCTTCTCACTGCCTCACTGAGCATGGGCAAGTCATGTAAATTCTCTGCCAGATGAGGATGCCTGCTTTTCAAAGCTAAAATAAGAATTGAATTGAATACTAAAACAAGAATGAGATTATGGATAGCCCTTCAGAAATATGAAGTTAGTTATATCCTTCACATGTTTTTCTTGCTAGATCCAGCCTGTCCAGTTACTTCACCTCTTCCCCATAGGACAGGGTTTCTGTTCCCTGCCCTGCCTTGGGCCCTCTTCTCTAAATATATTGCAGTGTGTCTGTATCCTGCTGGAAGGAAGCTCCCAAAGTTGGACCCACATACCTCATGTTGTTTTTTGCATTGAGACACTGCAATAACTATTGTCTAAGATTGATTCTTATCTATTTTTATTAGCTCAGACCTAAGTATGCTGTTCCCTGTCTCTGGATCCAGAAGGCTTACACTGAGTTCTGAAGTCCAAAGTAACTTCTTGTTTTTGTTTCTCTTCTAGTGACAGACATCACACCTCCAGTGCAATCCCTGTTCCTAAGAGACAAAGCTCCATATTTGGGGGTGCAGATGTAGGCTTCTCTGGGGGGATCCCTTCACCAGACAAAGGACATCGAAAACGGGCCAGCTCTGAGAATGAGAGACTTCAGTACAAAACCCCTCCTCCCAGTTACAACTCAGCATTAGCCCAGCCTGTGACCACCGTCCCCTCCATGGGAGAGACCGAGAGAAAGATAACATCTCTATCCTCCTCCTTGGATACCTCCTTGGACTTCTCCAAAGAAAACAAGAAAAAAGGAGAGGATCTAGTTGGCAGCTTAAACGGAGGCCACGCGAATGTGCACCCTAGCCAAGAACAAGGAGAAGCCCTCTCCGGGCACCGGGCCACAGTCAATGGCACTCTCCTACCCAGCGAGCAGGCCGGGTCCGCCAGTGTCCAGCTTCCAGGCGAGTTCCACCCAGTCTCAGAAGCTGAGCTCTGCTGTACTGTGGAGCAAGCAGAAGAAATCATCGGGCTGGAAGCCACAGGTTTCGCCTCAGGTGATCAGCTAGAAGCATTTAACTGCATCCCAGTGGACAGTGCTGTGGCAGTAGAGTGTGACGAACAAGTTCTGGGAGAATTTGAAGAGTTCTCCCGAAGGATCTATGCACTGAATGAAAACGTATCCAGCTTCCGCCGGCCGCGCAGGAGTTCCGATAAGTGAAGTGAGCAGGTCAACAGTAGGACTGGGGCAGAAGCTCTGCCTAAAATGAAGTGAAAGCTGCACTTAACCCTTTGTGATAATGATGACACAAAATGAATATTAATGGAGGATATTCCTCGGAAAAACAGACTTTGGGAATGAAGGAGGGACTCAGGATCATTGTTATCAGTGGGCCAAAGTTAGATTTTGCTTTCAAGATTTGCTTTTCGGGCCTGATGATTTTAAAGCAAAAATCACCCTCTAGTTGAAAGAGCTTACAGCTCGAGTCACCTTTTAGCTATTTGTCTGCTTTTTATTTACCCTTGTATGTTATCCTCAGAGGGAAGATGATAATATATAAATAATATAATGAACACACCCTTAGTTTCTCATAAGCATTTGCCCTCACCATGGTTTATAAAACTTTGGGAAAACGGAATATTCAGAAATAGGTTTCCGCCATGTACTGAAAGGTCTGTGGCCATCTGTGAGGTAGATGAAGAAGCAGCATAGTGGTCTCCTTACATCTAGGCCTAACTGTCCCTCTTCCTGCCCCCGGGTACCACAGTCCACCTTTAGACCCTACTGTCGCCCCATCTTCTCCGTGGATGGGCCATGCGTCCTGAAAACAGGACATCAGATTCACTGGTTCTGTAACCCAGTAGCTGTGACGTTCCATCTCTTCTAACCAGCCATGGCCTTCCCCTCCTCTGCCATACCCTTAATGCGGCCCTCAGATTAGATGAAAAACTTGCTCCTGGTGGATCCCAAGGGACCCTCAAGGACCTCGAGGTTACTGCAGTCAGATGCCATCTCATCCCCTGTGGGGGCCAAAGTTTTTATGTGGGCAGATGCTGTGGTCAGGAACTAGGCATGCTTTCTGGCAATGCACTCACCAGACAAAAATCCCTTGATGTAAATCCCATGTTAATTTATTAAATTTCAGTCAGAAGGTCAGCATTTACATGACAGAATGTATGTAGAGAGTTGGGGTGTCTGGTAGGCAAACTGCAAGGCAGTTGAGATAGTTGGATTAAGAGGCTAGACGAGACATAGAATACTATTGGTATGTGTGCAATTTCATGAATATTAAATTATGTTTCGAAGTCCAGTTGTCATTCCCGCATTCAGATTTCATTTGCTGTTGCTTTATACGTTACGTACCCAAGGACATTGCCTCAGGGTTGCAAACTCTTTAAAGGAAAATTTATCCATATATCCATGTATTATATAGAAGAATAAAAATTGAGTTTACTTCACCCGACCTGATTTTTTTTTACCAGCTTGGAAATTCCTCTTGAACCTACGTCTCCATATGTCACATCATGACAGGACTAGCCTGAACAAAAGCCATGTCTATCTAAGCGGAGGCTGTTGACTTCATTCAGTTTGCATATTGTATATAGCAACACAAACACTTGACAGGTATATACTCCAGTCGCCACATTTGTCCTGCATAACAGCTTCACTCACAGGCCTCACCGTCACTTTATTTTGTGTCCAAGCATTCCTGGGCTCAAGTTTAATGTATAGCTACATTGTTGTTTTCCATGTAGAGAAC
This sequence comes from Homo sapiens, assembly GCF_000001405.40. Taxonomy (NCBI): domain Eukaryota; kingdom Metazoa; phylum Chordata; class Mammalia; order Primates; family Hominidae; genus Homo; species Homo sapiens. Next base: position 76,142,954 of record NC_000011.10, read on the forward strand.
TCACAGGATGACTACATCACAAATAAACCCAACTCTCAGGCAGTCGAAAGCTTTAACTGGATCTGCAGAAGCCCATCTTCCTCCACATGAAGAAGTGGGGCTCCTTCACCTAGAGCAGGAGCTTCTCTGCAGTGTACTGTCTGTCGCTCATTTTGGAGTCAGTGTGGGTGGAGACAGCATCGTGGATATGCACGTGCTGCGGGGCCCTCCAGGGAAGTAACATTTACCAAAAAAAAAGAAAAGTTCTGAAGGGCAGTGTTAGGATTGCAGAATGGAAGGTCAACCCCGTGGGACTTACGATTGCCCCAGGTGCGGGATGGACTTAAATGTCACACCAAACTCAAAGTAGGTACACTGGGTTGCAGGGCATCCAGCCTGGCGCTGGCACCACCAAGGAGCAGGACTCCTCATGATTACAGTGTCCATCTCAGGCCCACACAACCATGAGAGCCTGGACTCTGGGGTCTACCCGTCAGTGCCCCCCACCGCTGTGCAGACTCCCTGGTTGATCCTGGGCTTGTGGCTTTTCACCGCACGGCGGGGAGCCCTGCTCTTGAATGTCATCGGGCTGCTCAGAGCTGATTGCTAGGTGCCTACACATTTGCCTCGACCCACACAGCCCCGTGGTGATGCCTCAAAACACCACTTAGGTTTGGGTTCGTTTAGTTCGAGTTTGGGGTTTTCATTTGAACTTGTTTGATGTCTGCAGTTTCTGCCATGACCTGGGTAGAACCTATGGGATTACCCGTCTCCTGGAATAACTGTTTGACGTTTTCCAAAGTTGTAGAGTTAGTATGGCCTCTGTTTAAAGTGGCTGGGGCCAAAATAAGGGATGAGTTATTATCTCCTACTAACCTTTTAGTTTTGTAAATCACTAAGAAAATTGTTTGCTTGGAAGATATAAGTTGAATTGGAAACTCATTACTATCTATTTCTGAACTGCTAAGAACCCTTTCAGTTTTCTTACAGCTGAGACACTTTTAAACAGCGGGCAAATGTTATCAAATGAATATTTGATTGTGTTTTTTCTCTTCACTTCCCCTTAACCACTTTAGAAATTCCAGAGATTTTTTTCCCCTCAGAATATTAGTTTTGGAAGATTGTGCCCAGCTATATATTTTTTAGCAGTTCTAATGGTGCCCATTTATCCTGACCTAACCAGTTATTTAAATAATTTTTTAAACCACCACGAATAATAAATGGCATGTGAAACTGATCTGTTGGTAACTGGAAGAAAACTCAGCATCTGTATTTATACAATAAAATTGATTAGTATTTATTTTGAGAGTTAAAAGTGTATATTATTTCCCTGCTATGTTTGAGTCCTGTCTTCATTGTTTTGAATTTCATATTGAAGCTGGGTTAACCACGAAAACCTTGTTCTTAAAGAGTCAGCCAGCATTTATCTAGCACACTTGCTCTCACACGCTCACACACACTCTCTCTGCACATGTGTGTAAGGGACTGGGCTAAACAAGGTTAAGAGATGAGTAAACCTTGACCTCTGCCACGTTCTCTAGTGGGGCTCACAGGTATGTTAGCTATTAATGATAATTCCGTGTGCTAAATTCTGTGATGGAGAGATGTATAGCCATTCTACGGAATGCAGACAAAGCTATTAATTGTCACTCAAGGGTCAGGAAAGATCCATGGAAGTAATGCAGATTAAAGATATGTAAGATTTCACATTGTGGAACAGCATGGGCACAGGCCCAGAGGCAAGGCCTTGGGTGTGAGCTTGGAAAACAGCAGGGAGTGTGCTGTGCTTGGGGCCTGAATGGGTGTGAAGAAGGGCAAAAGGGGAAACTGAGTTATAGGCCAATTGGAAAAACTTAAGGTGCCAAATAAAGAGATTTGGATGAATCCGGTAGGCAACTGGTAGGTACCCTTTCCAGACTTGAAGCAAAAGAGTAACTTGGTTAGATCTGACTTACGACTTGCAGCTAGTTTCAGGCTGGACTCCAGTGATACTTGCTTGAGTCTATTTAATCATCTTTCCTTTCTGTTTGGGAAAGAAAAATCTGTATCTGAAAAAGAGATGCATCCCTCTGTCCCTAGTATTTTCAGGGAACGATATGGTTTGGATGTTTGTCTCCTCCAAATCTCATGTTGAAATGTGATTCCCCATGTTGGAGGTGGGACCTGGTGGGATGTGATTGGATCATGGAGGCAGACCCTCATGAATGGCTTAGCACCATCCGTTTGATGATAAGTGAGTTCTCAGTTCACCCAGGATCTTGTTGCTTAAGAGAGTCTGGGATCTCCCTCGAGACCATCCTGGCTAACACAGTGAAACCCCATCTATACTAAAATACAAAAAATTAGCCAGGCATGGTGGCAGGTGCCTGTAGTCCCAGCTATTCAGGAGGCTGAGGCAAAAGAATCGCTTGAACTGCGGAGGTGGAAGTTGCAGTGAGCCGAGATCGCGCCACTGCATTCCAGCCAGGGCAACAGAGTGAGACTCCATCTCAAAAAAAAAAAAAAAAAAAAAAAAAGGAAGAGTCTGGGATCTCCCTTTTGTCTCTTGCTATCGCTCTTGCCATGTGACATGCTGGCACCCCATCGACTTCTGCCATGATTGTAAGCTTTCTGAAGCCTGCCCAGAAGCTGAGCAAATGTTGGCACCATGCTTATATAGCCTGCAGAATCGTGAGCCAATTAAACATCTTTCCTGTATAAATCACCCAGCCTCTGGTATTCCTTTATCGCAACACAAAAATGGACTAATACAGGTACATATTGAATAAATCTGGGTTTTTACTGTGTAGTACAGAGTGCAGCCAGCATCTCTTCTTTAGAAGCTAGATTCTGAATGCTCTGTGGCACCTGTTCACTTCTCTGCAACTCTGCTGCTTTGAAGCTATGACCCTGGAAGTCACTGAGCTTTTGAGAACCTCCATTTCATCTGTAAAGAAGTAGAAAGGACTCTGCCCTTCCCAATTACGTTTGCAGGGGACCCACCACATCATAGGTGCTCCATCAATGTTGGTTACCTTGGGTCCCAGAGGAAGCCACTTTGCCAGGATAGAAGGGATGCCTAGGACTCAGCAGGTTTCCTGTTCTAGCACTTGGAGCACAGCCACTTAACCTCTCTGGATTTGGCTCCTAATCTGTGAAGTAGGGATAATACCCCACCCCTGAGGACTGATAGAATGTTAGAAGAGATAAACATCTTCGTGAAAGCACTGAATGATCTTTACAAAGCACCATGCACATCGGGAGGAATTAGTCACTCAACGAGGATTTCTTGCGTTCTATGTTTCAGGCTTTGGTGGGATTGTTGAAATACAGATACTCATTCTATACACATTGAGAATGTGTACTAGGGCTGAAACTAGTCTTTTGAAAACCTGAGCTCTGCAGGTGCAGTGGCTTATGCCTGTAATCCCAGCACTTTGGGAGGCAAAGGCGGGTGGATCACTTGAGGTCAGGAGTTCGAGACCGGCCTGGCCAACATGGTGAAACCCCGTCTCCACTAAAAATACAAAAATCAGCCAGGCGTGGTGGTGCGCACCTGTAATCCCAGCTACTCCAGAGGCTGAAGCAGGAGAATCACTTGAACTTGGGAGGGGGAGGTTGCAGTGAGCCGAGATCACGCTTCTGCACTCCAGCCTGGGCGACAGAGCGAGACTCTGTCTCAAAAAAAAGAAAAAAAGAAGAAAATCCAGGCTCTAAACAAATGGGAAGTATTTCAAAGTGCTTTAGTGGTAGATGGCACCAACGAGGTGTAGAGACATGGCCTCTCAGCCTTAATTTCCAGTTTCTAGCCCCTGGCAGATGAGCTGCCTTAGGCCCACTCTCGCTCGTGAATGTTCTCTAACACGGCTTCTGGCGGCCTCAGTGAATGAGTTGGTGCCCAGAGCTCTTGATTCTGCTTGAAGTAGATAGCTCTCTTTTTCTTTTTTTCCCCCCTTAGCACATCTAATTATAGTTTTGTAGGTAGACAGCTCAGCCTTGTGGATTTTAAATGAATAAAAAAAGACAAGTCTTTAAAACAATTCCACACTTTTTAAAGGCCAGCACTGTCAGCAATCCAGAACAAGAACGAGTATGAGTCTAGATATGAAAGAGACAGCCAGTTGGTGAAATAGCTGTAGCCAAGCCCAGGCACAGAACTACAAGGGGGAGAGTGGCAGGCGCAGGTCATTTTGGCTGTGTGTACAAAACACAGTTCTAGGGCGCCTCAGATGAGAAAGTCTCGGAGGGTGAGGGGGCAGGACTAATGGACCGCCTGAAGCTAAGGAGAGGACAGGAGCACTTGGGAAGGAAGCGGTCTGGGGGGCCTAACTGAGCAGCACCCTGCCTCACAGGAGAGCAAGTCACAGACGTTTCAGCCCCAACGCTGCCGCTCACTGGCTATGTGACCCCGGCGAGGCGCTTGACTTCTCTGAGCCCACGTGCTGGTCTGTAAAGTGAAGTCAGCCCCTTGTTCTGTATTTCCTTTGATCCTGGATGGAGGCTTCTCTTGCCCTAAGAGCAAATTTGTATTCTTTCTTCAAAACCTGTCTCCAATTGCTTTGGGGCCCAGAGCACGACACGACAGGAGAGGCCTCTCACCTGCCACTATGCCTATTTGTGAAGAACTTGGCACAGTTCATGACAGCCTGCTTCTGATCAGGGTGGTTTGTATGTAGCAGAACAGCTTCCACCCTGCCATCGGTTCAAAGTCCATGGCACAAGAGCTTGTAAAATGTGTAGTAAAAATTAATAAAACAGCCAGCTTAAAAAATTCAGCCTCAGTGTGACTTTTACTGTTGCTAAGGATAGACCCCAGTCATCACAAAAAGGATACATTGATTTTAGTTTGATAGGAAAATGCATAAAATAGTTTAAGGAAGTATATTATTCAAAATGGTTAAAATAAGTTGATGCTTTAAGGGACAAACTTGTTCTCTCAAAAGTTTACTTGCAAAAACTTTTTTAGAAAATTTTAGGCCGGGCGCGGTGGCTCATGCCTGTAATCCCAGCACTTTGGGAGGCAGAGGTGGGCGGATCACGAGGTCAGGAGATCAAGACCATCCTGGCTAACACGGTGAAACCCCGTCTCTACTAAAAAAAAAAAAATACAAAAAAATTAGCCGGGCGTGGTGGCAGGCGCCTGCAGTCCCAGCTACTCAGGAGGCTGAGGCAGGAGAATGGCGGAACCCAGGAGGCGGAGGTTGGAGTGAGCCGAGATCGTGCCACTGCACTCCAGCCTGGGCGACAGAGCGAGACTCCATCTCGGAAAAAAAAAAAAATTTTTTTAGTTATGCAGAACACCTTATCCCTCAAAGAAACCAGCCTCACTGTGTATTTCCACAGATTACTCACTCTTTGGGTCAAGGGTCAGGCACACTTGATGTGAGAAGACTCCAGGCTTCTTTGTGTGCAGGTGATATGTGACCTTTTGTTCATGCAGCACACGTCTCCAGAGCCTGCTGACCTCAGCACAGGCCCTTTGCTGCCAAAAACCTGCTGGCCACCTGGACTTCTCAGCCCCAACCTGTGCCTAAGCGTTGCCTTCAGTGGCATACAGTAGGTGCTCCTGAGGTGTGCGTGTCGGTATGGGGCGGGGCAGTGTGAGTGAGGAAGAGCACAGGCTGAGTTTGGTAAGTCACACCTGTGTCTGTCTCTTGGTCCCCTGGGAGCTCTGTGAAGGCCCAGTGTTCCCAGAATGAGCATCGGAAACCTTTAGAAGCAGAGCTGTCCCAGGATCATAGAAGACTGTGGAACTGTGTTATTGTAAACAGTAAGTCACACTGATTCTCAGTAAATATTCTGAGTGCTAATGAGCCACCACCAGCTGGGAAACCAGAACAGGAGCTGAGGCCCTGGTGCCCTGTCCTGCCCTGCGCACATCTATACGGCGACGCCTGCTTTCTCTCCATGGTGATGCAGTGATCCCTCAAACAGGCACAGTGTTTTTCCTGTCTCAACGCTCCCCCCAAATAATTGCATTTGATCCCAAGGCCAGCCTGCAGAGTGTGTGGGCAAGGTGTTCCCATCACTACTTGACCCAGGAACCCACAGGAAACCCCCAAAGAAGGATGACCTGCTGAAGATCACACAGATCCCAAGGCCACACTGGGGCCGGACCAGGCCCTGACCTCTCCCCCAGGGCTCTTTCTTCCGCACCCCAAGCCCTGTGGAGGCCCCACAGCCTCTCCTTCTGTCCCACCCATCTGAACATCCTGCCCTCTGCCGAGAGTCCTCCCGACTCCGCAGCCCCAGTTAAGAGGGAGGAGCAAATCCGGGGGACATCTCTGTGCAGGGAGTGGAAAAACTGAGCACCTCACAGCATTGTGCTATGGGGTGTGGAGCAACTTTAAGGGGGAAAAATGTGTATTTATAACTGCCGGAAATGCGATATAACTGTCAAAAGTCCATGAGGTCGGCCGTGTACATAATGACTCACAGGCATAAAAGGGGCGGGGGTAAGAGGGGCAGGAGGTGCTTCTTTGAGGACTCCCCTTAGCTGTGTCTGACAGGCAGGTCGAGGGGGTGAAACGGGGCCAGGGCTACCAGCCAGGGTAAGAAGCAAGAACAAAGGCGTTGCTGGGAACCTGCATTACTCGTGCGTTTAATGGTTACTGACTGCACACTGCACACCAAGCGCTGGACTAGGCTCCAGGGTGAGAAATGCACAAGGCAGACACAGTGCCTGCCCTCAGGAAGCTGCCAGGCCTGTGGCTGAGACAGGAAAGTACAGAGGGCACAGAGCTGCGCTGGAGCTGGGTGTAAGGCAGGTAGTTGGGGAGGGGAGGACTGAGCCTGTGTCTGAGGGCCGGGGGCAGGGGATATGGCTGGGTGGGGGGAAGGAGGGGGATCTGTGCACAGGGTTAGCAGAAGAGCGGCCAGAACAGAGGCCCAAGGAGCTTCCCCCAAGGCTGAGCGTGGAAGACTGTGGGACTAGACACAGGACAGAAACCATGGAGATGGGGAAGGGTCAACAGGGCCAAAGACCCAGGAGCCATGGGAGGTGAGGGCAGGCACAGCCTGAAGCCCTTGGTGACCTCCATGGGAGCTGTTTCAGGGTTGGGGAGCAGCAAGGAAGCAAGGGGCAGTGGGCGTGCACAGTGGGGAAGTAGAGACAGTGAGTGTAGACAACTCTTGCGAGTTTAGCTATAAAGTGCTGGAGAAAAATATGGGTGGGAGTTGGAGGGGACTGTGAGACCGAAGGAAGATTTCCTGTAAATGCGAGTGGGATGGAGCCAGTAGCAGGGAGAAGGCAAAGGTTCAGGAAGAAGACGGGACAATGAAAGGAGCAAGGCCCCAGAGAAAATTTGGGGTGACAGGGGAGAAGGGGGAGCCCCAGGGCATGGTGAGGACAGCAAGGAAGGGTGGCCGGGCAGGAGTGGGCTGAGCTGTCCATCTGCATGGGTGGGAGGCTGCAGGCGAATTTCCCGCCTGGCCCCTGAAGAGGGACAGCCTGGGATGGGGGCCTGACTGGAGTGACTATTCCAGGGTACAGGCCAGGGCAGAAGGGGCACCATGAAGGTGGCTTGGAGCTTCTTGGGCCTTTTGAAGGAGATTCCTGAGGTTTATGGGAAGGGGTGGTTTGCTGCCCCTGAGTTCAGCATGCCTGGATTATAATCACCTCCTCCCCAGGCGCTCTTCAGCTACTCTTGTGCCCTCTAGCCCACTCTCCACATGGCAAGCACCTGACCTGTCCTAAACACAGCTCTCACCCTATGAGAACTGTTACATAAAAGAAAGCAACATTTACTTACCTTTGCTATATGCATTGTACACACTAGTTAACTGGATAGTTGGTGAAGGGAAGTTTCTCTTATATAAATATTCCAAGTAAAAAGATTCAGAAGGGATCATAGAATTAGGCTGTCAGCTCTTCGCAACTCCTAAATAATGAGCACGTCTAAGACAATGCTCATCAATGGCACAGAAAGGCAGGCAACCAGACACCTGATGCCTCCTGATGGAAAAGCACACACCTTTGAAATAGCCTTGGCATAAGTTTGACCCTGAATATAATGAAGCATCTATCCGTGCTGTCCAAAGACAGCAGACACCAGCCACATGGAGTTCTGAAGTCATTGAACAGTGGCTAATCCACATTGAGATGTGCTATGAACACAATCCACACTGAACTGCAGAGACTTTGTACAAAAAAGAATGTAAATTCTTTTGTATTAATTTTTATATTGATGACGTTAGAATGATAATATTTTGAATATATTGAGTTAAGTAAGATACAATTAATTTCATCCATTTCTTTTTGCTTTTTAAAATGTTACTACCTGAAAATCTAAAATTACATATGTGACTTGCACTTGTGGCTCACATGATTTACTATTGGGTGGTACTGCTCTGGATCTAACTACCAGTTTATGGGAAATTCAAAGGGCAGATGAGCCTTTAACACCAGGAAAATGCAATCAGAAAAATCCAGACGGTTGGAAACCCCGCAGGACGAGCCACCTGGTTTCTCCAATAAATATATTGAAAGAAAAAATACATAGAAGAAGGGAAAACCTATTAACAAGAGACTCAAGAGACATATAAATCAATCCCATTATGAACCGTGCTTGGTTCCTGTAAACTAAACAAACTGAAAAAAAGAAATTAAGGGACAATCAAAATGGAAGCACTGACTAAATATGATATGAAGGACTTGTTATTTGTTTAGGTGTGATAATAGCATTGTGGTTTTGGTTTTTTAAGTCTTTGTTGCTTAGATGCATAGAGAAATATTTACAGATGAGATGCATCTGTCTGGGATTGGGGATAGGGTGTGAATGGGGTGTGGAGGAAACAAGATTGGCTATGGATGATGGATGACAGGTGACTGGAGTCCGCTGTGCCTTGTGGCACACACCCTGCCCTCCAGCCAGGTGGATGCACTTGCCATTCCCAGAACGCCCTGCTCCTGCAGCCCTGGGGCCTTTGCCGCCATGATGTCTCTGCCTAGAATCTTCCCCCCTAACCCACAGCAAACCTCTGTCCACCTGTATGCCAGAGCTCAGCTACCCTCTTCTCCTCTTTGAAGTCCTCTCTGACGTCTTCCCCACTCTCCACCCACCCACTCTCCCTCCTTTGTGTTCCCCCACTACCTGTGTGTGCTTCCAGCACAGCCCTTCCTACATGTCCCTACGTGTATGTTTCCCTATCTGTCACCTTCAGTAGCCCATGAGCTCCCACGGGGCAGGCGCGGGATTTTAAGGCACAGCTTGTGCTCAGGAAAACTGGATAGATTCGTCTTGGTGTGTTGAGTGTCCATTTTACAGAGGAAGCAGTTGGGACCCGGAGAAGTTAGTCTTGGCTAAGTTCACAGAGCTAAAAAGTGACAGAGCTAGGACTTGAAATCAGGACCTTTGAGTCACGTCTCTGCCTGACCTCAGCCCTGCGGGCCCCGTTCCCGCCATTCCTTCCTGCCTCTCACGTTGACTGGGCTCCCCCTGTCGGTCGGCACTGGCTGAACAGCCATGGAGTGGCGCTTTGGGGAAACCACGGGCGACCAGGAAAGATCTCAGGCAAGCCTCGGGTAAGTGAGCTGTAAACTGAGACCTGAACCCAGACACAGCCCATGCCAGGCCGAGCGAAGAGCCTGTGCAGGGGCTTGGAGTAGAGAAGAGCACGGCTCCTGTGAAGGATTCAGAGGCTGGAGCTGGGCGATGGGCCACCGCGCGGAGGAGGCGCGGGCGGTGGTCCGAGTTCCTCAAGGGATCTACAGACGGCGCCCCTCCTACCCAGGGTGTTTCCTGATGATTGTATTTTGTATTTCAGCGTTGATGATTTTTTTTTTCACTACTTCACCCCCTCCCAAACGCCCAAAACTGCCTGGTGATTTTTTTTTTTTTTTTCAAAGTGCATCCTGACCCCTCTGGCTGCCTCCATAGACTCAGCTTTAGTCCCGGCCCATCCTGCTGGCACAAGGAAGCCACCGCATGTGATGGGGTGTAATTTACAGCCACAACCCTAATGTGCAGAAATATCACTTTATTTCCCCGTAACTGTCCTCACCCGAACCTGTTTTGGCCGCTGGCAGCAAAACGCTTATCTGACCACTTCAAGGCAACTCATTCATCTCTAGTTAAAGATTATCCCCTAGGGGGTAAATGCTCAAATTCCCCAAATTTCCTGACCTCACCCCTTCTGGCCCCAGGGACCAGGCTTCAGGCAAGTGTCTCCTGACCTGCCCGTGGTGTGGCTCATCTGGGTGTCAGGGGCCGGCCCCACTGCAGAGGCCCTTCCTTGGTTCTCACCCTGGGACCCTGTGCCCCAGGGCAAGGCCCACTCGGCTCCCTTGGGGCTCAGCCACCTAGCCCACTTTCCCTCACTGCTGAGATCAGGCCACCTGCATGGACTTCTCTACTCTGCTGGTTGGCTGTCCTGCACCCTGAGGAACACGGAGGACTTCTATGAAGGCTTGCCTGGCTCTTCCTGGCAGGCCTTGGGCAGTCAGGTCCCTGTTTCCCATTTAGAACCCAGAAGGGGACAGGGACCGGAGAGGAAGTGCTTCTCTCCAGCTCCACGAATCTTTTGACTTTGGGCTTCCTGCCTTCCAAATAGCCCCCACTGCAGCTGTTCACACCTTCACTTCCTCTTTCAAAGGTGAGAAGACTCCTACATCATCACCAGCGTGTATTTTTCTCTCCTCTATGGCTTTTGTTTGTTTGCTTGTTTTGATGGTTGTACATTCAAAGTCCTCCAGGCTCTGTCTGGTCAGAAGTCACACATCCTCTCCTTGCTCAACAAAGCCTGGCCTTGTGGGGAAAGCTTGGCTTTCCAGACAGGCAGCATTTCAACTCCCTTTATCGTTCTGGGCTGTATCCACTCTGCCCTGGAGGCAGTAAATGGGGGAATTGGTGAAGGAGTCAAAGGAATGACTAACACCCCAGCCTCGGCTGCTGCTCTCACTGCCACAGAGCAGGGACAGAGCAGGCGACTGGACGCACGAAGCATTCCTGCTGAGTGAAGTCCCAGGGATGTTGGGGCCTGCAGCCCAGACAAAGGAGCCCTAGAGATTCGGAGGGAGAGAAATAAGTTGTCATTGACCTGTAGTGTGGGCATGTTAAAGGCTGAGGAACTGGCAGTGTGGCATGTGGCAGGATTGCCAGGGTCACAGGATAGACAGTGATTTAGTTTCAGCAAAATATCATCCACCACGTTAATATTGCTAATATGAATTTAATTGGCTTAGTAGTTTTGTGTGGTTTTAATTTGTAAACTTGTTTTGGTTTAATGGTTGTGGGAGAGCTATAGACCTTAGTTTATATTTAGTTTTTAGTTTGTAAAATGTTCTCGAGAGTGAAAATGGAAGAATGGAACAGTCTATAATAATTCTTCCTTGCAATTCATCATCCGTCCTCCACACCACCCGGAAAAAACAGGACCCAGGAGGACATGGAAACAGTCTTTATTTCAGGGTTGTGCCATAGCTGCCCACCCTATGAGAGGAGGTGGGAAGCCCTGGGAGGGCTGGCTTCACCCGTCCCCAACCTGGGTCTTCCTTCTAGATCCTTGGGTGCCCTTTGTGGCTAGGCCCTCTCCTCTAGACTCTCTGGCCCCTGAACTATTTCCCCTGATGCCTTTAACCCCTGGGTTTCCCTCCCTCTTTGAGTTCAACCTTTTCTTTTCTTTTCTTCAGCCCCTGGAGGGTCCAGGCTGTGGAAGGGGCTGTGGCTCCTGTTGGCAGCGCATCCACCAGACAGACTCTGACCATTTGCAGCGCCAAGTGGGGTCCCTCCTGGCCTCACTGTGCCCAAAGTGTTTCTGTCTCTCACTCCACCACGGCTGCATTCCCAAATGCCCCCTCTGACTTCTGGGTTCAGTGTGTGCCAGGCTTCAGGAAAGAGGGGGAGAAGGAAAAGATCCCACCTTGGCACAGACTTCTTTAGGCGATATTACAAAGAAAAATCAGGTTTCAACCTTAGGGGGTCTCTACAGGAATTTTTAACCTTGAAATAATCCCTACATTATTTATTGTATGGTGTTGTAGGCCTCACTAGGGAATTTTTACTTGATCTTCAGTGCAATGGGAAACTTTGGAAGGGCTGTCAGCATGGAGAGTGACATGCTCTAGCATAGGTTTTCTTTTCTTTTTTTTTTTTTGAGACGGAGTGTTGCTTCGTCGCCCAGGCTGGAGTGCAGTGGCACCATCTCAGCTCACTGCAACCTCCGCCTCCCAGGTTCAAGTGATTCTCCTGCCTCAGCCTCCCCAGTAGCTGGGATTACAGGGCACGTGCCACCACACCCAGCTAATTTTTGTATTTTTAGTAGAGACGGGGTTTCACCATGTTGGCCAGACTGGTCTCAAACTCCTGACTTCAAGTGATCCACTTGCCTCAACCTCCAAAAGTGTTGGAATTGCAGGTGTGAGCCACCGCCTGTGGCCAGCCTAGGTTTTCAAAAGAGTGCAGTGGGAGAAACTTCCTGTAATGGCAGTGGTATGACGTGGCTGCATGAATTGTCCTGCAGATAGCAATTATGGAATCTAGACAAAGTATTAAAAAAAAAAAAAAGTATGTAAAGCCCCTGGAAAGTGTCTTAGAAAGACAAAAGCCGGAAAAAAAGTTTACTCTTGAAAAATGGCAAAGAGAAGAGGTAAGAATCATGGCAGCACTCTCACACCCCCGAGGCTGGAGCAGGTGGTAGAGAGTAGAGTTCAGAACTGTAAGGGCAGCTGGAGCATCAAAGGGGACATCCTGGCAGTGAGATAACTGCAGGAGGCCTCAGGCCCGAAACCCGAGCACAGATTCTGTCCAAATATTCCAATGCTAGAGGGCCTGGTGAAAAAAAACAGGCAGGAACTGGAGATAAGTTACCCTCGAAAGACAGAGCAGCTCTGGACTGGGTAAAATATGTGAGTGTCCTGCTTTTTGAACAGTGAGTGAATTTCCCAACCTGTATACAGCGCAGCCAGCAGAAAGTGAAAAGTCTTACTGCCTTGAGGTATCAGAGAACAGAGTCCAAGCCTGGTAGAGCAGCTGAAAATTTAGGGGAAAATCCACAGAAGCAAGGGAACCATCGAAAAGTGAGCACCAAAATCTGAATGTAAACTTCCCAATCCTTGGATGACTGCCCAGTGATAGCTGCAGGGGACCCCTGGGAGCCACACTGAGAAAAGCCATGAGTGGGAGCTGTGGGAGCGGAGCAGAGGTTTCTGCTGCTCGGCACTGTGGAGGAGACAGAATGTGCGGCTGAAACAGGCAAACGACCCCCCAGCAGAATAAATACAGCAATCATCAGAGGAGCACGAAAAAAACCCAGTTTCCAAGCTGCACCAAAACAGGAAAATGTGACTTACACTCAGGAAAACAAAAAAGGCAAACAACAGCAACTGACTCAGTGGCATGCATGTTGGCATGTTGGATTTAGCAAAGACTTCGGAAACAGTGGCTTTTTTTTTTTTTTTTTTGAGTTGGAGTCTTACTCTGTCACCCAGGTTGGAGTGTGGTGGTGCGATCTCAGCTCACTGCAACCTCCGCCTCCCAGATTCAAGTGATTCTCTCACCTCAGCCTCCCGAGTAGCTAAGACGACAGGTGCCCACCACCACACCCAGCTAATTTTTATATTTTTAGTAGAGACGGGGTTTCACCATGTTGGCCAGATTGGTCTCGAACTCCTGATCTCAAGTGATCCACCCACCTTGGCCTCTCAGAGTGCTGGGATTACAGGCATGAGCCACTGCACCTGGCCAAAAAAGTGGTCTTAATGAGTGAAAAGAAAGGGATTCTCAACAGAGAAATATAAATGCACACACACATACTTGATGTATAATTGAAATGGAAAATTCACTGGCTAGGCTAGACAATAGATTGGAGATGGCAGAAAAAAGACTACCTGACCCTGAAGACAGATTAACAGAAATTATCTGGTCTGAAAATAGATAGGGAGAATAGATTAGAGAAAAATGGCTGACTGCACTGCCCCATGTGGGAGCTCCTGAACTTTGGAAGTGAGATGGGAGCAGGGAAAACCTCAAAGGGCAATGATGTTTGGCCTGGGCTGTGAAGGACGAGTGGGAGCAGGGGTTTTCTAGATGCTGAAAGGGAGGCTGAGTTTGTCCTGCTTGATCCAAGGGTAGACCCCAGACCTGTGGGCAGAGGCCACCCAGAGGCAGATGCTCCCTCCACGCAAGGCTTCTTACGGCTCTGGCTGGACAGGGTGCAAGGGACTCCCCGGAGAGGGGGTGAGCACCTCATCCGTGGGGTGTGGAGAGGGAAGCCAGCAGAGGCTGAGCACCTTGGAGCAGGAAGGCTGCAGAGGGTCCAACCAGGCAAACTCCCCTCCCTGCGAGACAGGTCCTGGACGTGCAGGCTGGCCAGATTCCTTTCCTAAACAGGCTGCGCGTCTGGCGATTTGATCAGCCACGTGCAGCCCAGCTGCAGAGGCCTGGCAGGGGCTGGGGCCCAGCATCTGCTCCTTCAGAGCCCCTGTTCTTCTGGCCCCCGCCCAGCCACTGAGGTGCTACCTGCCAAAATGCGTCCCCAATGTGGGAGGCCTGGGAAGGGGAGGTTTTCAGACTCTGAAATGGGGGGGCTTGGGGGAAATATGCCGATGCGGGTTCCAAGAGTACAGGTGAGGCCTGGGGGTGCCTGGGTCTGGGGGAATCCCTGGTTATGGTCACACAATTTACAGCCAGAGAAAGAGTGTTGCAGAGGTTGAGCAAGGCTGGGAGGCCTCTTGGTAGACCAGGGCAGGTCGAGTTTTGAGAGGCTGAGGCTTGTACGATGTGGAAGCCCTTGTTGAGGAAAAAAAAAAGTTGCCTGCTATTTCATCTGGAGCAGCCGGACTGCAGTAGGATGGGATAAGCTGGTATTCTAACTTGTGGTTCCATCACCTGGGATGCGTAAAACATATAGCTTAATGCACAGATGTATCTGTTGTTTGTAATACTGCTACACGTTTGCCAAAAACACGGGAATTCTGAGAAGTTGAATTCTGTATGATTGTCATAAGGAAAGAGAATAAAACGAACGGTGCCTTTAGAGTTAAACCTGCAGCTTCACTGAGTGCCCCTGACAGGAGGAAACTTCCACGTGGAGTACACATCGAAGAGAACCAAATCTTCCACTTGCAACTTTGCACAGTCTGGTGATCGGAAGTGTTTTCCACGTATCAGCATCTGGCTCTGTCCATTTCATTCCTGGCTTCTTCACCACTGTCCACATGCCGCCAGTGCCAAGGTCTGCTGGACACGTTGATGTCCCTCATGACCTCGGGCTCTGCCTCACAGTGTCATGGTGCTGGTGGGTGGTGGGAGTGTTCCTGGAAGCCACTGCACACCATGATGGCCAGCAAGAACAGAACAGACATGCAAGTGACTGCAGCCCCATACATACATCCCCAAACCCAAGCTACAGGATCCTCCACTTCCCTCAGCCAGATCCCCCAAATACAGCTGTTCCAGGGAAGAAGGGCAGTGGAAGTCAGAGAGGAGCGAGACTGAGGTCTTAACCAATTGCAATTAAAACATTCTATTTTTGCAGATTTTACAAAAACATAATTGTGTGGACATGCCGCTGGGCCCTGCCCTCTCGCCCCCACCCCCAGGCTCAAGGGGATGCAGATGAGTGCGGGGTCTGGAGCTCAAGGTCGCCAGCTTCTCAGGGTCTTCTCCAGCCTGGCTCCACCCTGTCTCCTCCTGCTCAACACCCTCCCAGACTCCCCGCCATCCTCAGGATAAAGCTGCGCGTGGTCCCAGTGCGTGCATGCGCCCCACTTGTGCCTGAGGAGCTGGAGAAGATGGGCTTTTTCAGGGAGAACAAAGCTGGGGGGTCAATGGGCAAACTCCGACGACAGCAGGATGACAGACCTTAGGGGGCACTCACCCCTGGATGCCTGAGGAAGAGGCTCCGTTGCTCTCCAAGGAAGCCTCTGGCACTAACCCGAGAGATGGGGGCCCATGGGTTGGGGCAATGCCCACATTCCCGACAGCAGCATCTTCCCTGCTGAGGCCAACTCAAGGAGGGAGTGCTAAGGGCAGGGCCCCATTCTCCGGTGAAGTTGCTCTCTGGACCATGGGGGTGTGGGATCGGAGTGGGGATCGGCGATGAAATGGTGGGGCAGTGGAAAGGACCCCCGACCTGAAATCCACAGACCTGAGTTCAAGGTCCTATTCTGTCTTTTGTTGGCTGTGTGACCTTGGGCAGGTGACTTAACTGCTCTGAATCTCAGTGTCCTCATCGGTAGATCAGGAAATACTTGTTTCCTCGCAGGGCTTTTGTGAGGAGTCAACGAAACAAGGGTCATGAAGGTACCAGTAGATAGTAGGGTAGCTCCCTGGCCGGCAGAGGACACAGAACTTGTTTGCTGGTCTTGATCCTGAATGACTCCTGGACCTCCTCAGTAGGTAAAGCAATCATGTTGACTATTTATTCGCCTCACAAACTCTTATGAGGGGTAAATGTCACTCAGCCCCTTCTAAAGTATCACAAAATCCCCACTTTCCAGCACCGTCTGCCTACACGCCTCTGCAGTGGGGACCATTCAGTGTGTGGGGAGCACTGGGCAGGGGCCAAGGAGCCAGCAGGGACTCTGCTCCAGGCCAGGCCTCCATCTCCCCGGCTGAGCGGTCAGGGGCGAGCGGGCCTGAGCCCAGAGCAGCCCCAGAAGCTGAGCCAGCTGGCGAGACCCTGCCCTTACCCTCTGAGTGGCCACGCAACTGTGGTTGGTTTCTTTCCTTGCTGAGCCTCTGTTTTCTAAGAGGTTAGAGGGGCTGCTGAGAAGTTCACAGGAAAGGGCCTTGTCTGCCCTCAGAGAAGGGGCCCTGGGTGAGTCTGCCTTGAGAAGGTGCCAGTCAGCGTGCCCCCCACAGAGGTCCCGCTCCCTTCAGAATGAGGTGGCCCCATGACCCGGCCCTCCCAGTGTGGCGTCACTAGCCCCAGGACCCCCCAAGGTGCTCCACCTCTAGGCCTTAGCACAGGAAGGCCCTCCCCCATCTCCACGTGGCCCTGGAAATCACTACCAAGTTCTCCCCTATGTTTCATATGCGTTTTGAACAGCATTTTACAATCTGCAAAGTACATTCCCTCTCCTTTCCTCAGAGCCCTGCAGCACCACACATCCTCTGAGGGGTGAATCACCATCCCGTTTTTCAAATGAAGAAACCGAGGCTGAGAGAAGGGTGGTGGGTGAGCCAAAGATACCCGGGGGGTAGGGGGCATAATCTGAAGCCGGGGCCTTCTCCACACTTCATGGGGCCTGGCAGGGGACCTGGGATGGTTCAGGGAACCCAGAGTTTGAGTGGGTGATTTGGAGTGCAGATGAGGTGGGAGTGAGCGAACAGAGCCACACGTCGAAGGGGCATTTTCAGACTCCAGAACAAGAGGTATGTTGAGCGGGCATCCGGTCTGGAGCAGCTGAGGCTACAGGTGTTGGAGGTTGCTCCCAGTGTGTGGCAAAGGCCTCCCGTTGCTGTCTGGCACAGAGTCAGGGCCTCAGCACTGCAGGGGGTGGCTGGCAGCAGGTGGGAATGCTGCAGAGGCCAGCAGGGGCTGGGGGATGAGGGGCTCAAATGCCAGGCACAGGACAGAAACAGGGAAGGATTTTAAGCTGGAGAGAGACCTGGGGCCCGGCCTCCATGGCAACGCTCTTGAGGGCACTGACTGGGCAGAGACCCTTAGCTCCTGCAACAGGCACACAGCAGGCTGGGCCCGGCCTGGACAGGGCCAGGCTGGGAGCTGGACACCTGTGCTCCTGCCCTGGCTGGCTTTCTTTAGTGCCCAGTGTTGCCCCTCCCTGGACCTGGATGCCTCATCTACCGAGTAGATGGGCAGGTTGACATTTCCTGCCCTGTTTGCAGTTCGGGGGCTCCTGGGAGCTCAGAGACAGAGGGCATGGAAGCCTTCAGGGAGACTGCCTGGTGCTGAGCCCAGCTGGACCTTCCTGTCTTAGTCTCCGCATGCGCTGTAGGGGCATCAAGCCCTCCTTGTCCTCCCTCCCAGGGTCAAGGGAGCGAGTGTAGATGCCCTTTGTAAACGGAACTGCAAGGCTCCTGAGTACCATTGCTGAGCGGGGAAACAGATGCTTTTCTTTGGACCTGGTCCCCAGGTGTCCTCGGGTTGCAGGGTTTGTGGGTCCTCTACTCGTTCTTGTTTGTCATTCATCCATCCCTCCATCCCTCCAACAGCAGCCAAGCCCGCCCCTGGAGCTGCATGACCCAGTACGGGCACTGTGAGGCTTAGAGACCCTTAGAGGTGACGGGGGCACCACCCCTCCATGTCCACATATGAGAACTGAGGTCCAGAAAGGGGCAGGAGGGAGCCCTAGGATGATCTGAGACAGCCCCAGAGCCTCAAACTGCTCAGGGTGACCTCTGCCCCTGCCCTGGGTCTGCCGGGGTCTCTCAGGCTTGGGGTGAGTCCAGTGGGATGGGGTCCAGGCCACCTTACAGGCTGGGAGTAACCCAGCTCCTGCCGTATAGCTCCCATTCAGGGCCCAGGGTGGGGCGCCCAAGCAGGGACAGCGTGGGGAGGGGGTGGGGTGTGGAGGAGGTGGGGGGTTGTCCGGGGGTGGCGAGGCTCCGCCCCATGGCGCTGCAGCGCACATGATATTATCTCTGGCCTGGGCTCAGCCTCCAGCAGGATGCGGCTTTCAACACCTTCCTCCCCTCGGACAGGCCGGGGCTTTTTGAGTTTCTCACACATGGATGGAGGGGCTGGGCCTGGGCAGAGGAGGCCCCCAGCTGAGGCGCCCCCACCCTGAGCCCCCGTCATCAGTCACAGCCCCTCGAGTGAGAGAGGGAAGGGCCGTGGTGCGTGAGAGGCAGAGGGTTGCATGCATGGTTCCCCTGAGCGTCTCCCCCACCCCCTCCCCTCTGCTCTGTTGTCCATAATCCTGGGCGCCTGTTCAAGGAATTCTCCACCCGTGTGTTAGTGATTTATTTAGACTCGGCTCATCCCGCCAGCCTGCCCGGCGGGTGACAGGCCCCCACTCCCCACCCCCACCACAGACCCTGGGACCATTTTCATCTCCAGCACGGCAGGCCTGGCTCTGCTCCAGGCCACTCCAGATGGTAGGGGCTCTGCTTGAGTCTGCAGGCTTTCATGGGACCCTGGAATCTCACTTTTGGGGGCCCAGGTAACCGCTTCATGTTCGTGAACCCTCCTCCTCAGTCGTGTTGAGAGCGGCCTATCTGTGTTGGTGATTGTTATTGCTGGGATTTGTTATTAACCCCTCTGGCCCCCCTGTCCAGCTGGGAAGGTGACAGGTGACTTTTAAGAGCAAGAGAATCTTCGACTCCATCTCCCCATTGAACAAATGGGTGGCTACAGGCCAAGACACAGCAAGGCCCTGGGAGGTGGTGGGGAGACCCCAGCCCCATGTCTGGCCTTAAGATTCTTGATTCTCTGTCCCCCACACATGATCTCATCTAAGCCTCAGTCAAACCCTCCCACCAACAAAGGGTACATAGCTCCATCTGACACATGAAGACATGAGGCTGAGAATGGGAGAGGGACCCCTGGTACCCAAACCATCAGGCTAGGAGCAGAGCACAAGCTTGAATCTGCCTCCATCTCCCTGGGCCTCTCCCTGTCTCCCTAGGTGTAGCCTCCGGCTCTCAGGGCTGGGTTCACTGCTCTGTGTGACCAGGACTCTGTCCCAGCTGCAGGGCTCTCCTGCCCAGTGGCAGCTGGGCGTGCCTGTGGACACGCATGCTGCACTGTGGGGGCAGGGAGCATACTCCTGTTCCAAGCCTTCAGGCAGCCCCACCTGCCCTCCTTCTCCAGGGAGCACCAGGCTCATGAGCACTGCGGGTTGGTGCCCACCCCTGCCTCTTTCCCCTCAGCCCCTCCACCAGGCCTGGTGAGTGTGAGGAAGGGGCTGGATCGCCTGGGGTGGGTGGCAACCCCTTGTGCCATGGCCTGAGATGCTTACCCGCTGCCCTGGCCTGTGGTTCCAAAGGGGAGCGGTGAGAAGCCTCCATGTTTCCAGCTCTTCTCTGAAGTACCCATCCCAGATGACCTCCTGCTGGGTCCCCTCTGTCTGCTGGGAAGCGCTTTCTGCCCTACAGAGGCTGCTGCAGCCTGGGAGTCTCTGCCTCCATGTGGGCCTGTAGAGGCTGCAGAGCAGGCCAATCTGGGGACCTTTGGGGTCAGGTGCATCTGGGTTGAGTCTTGCCTGTGACAGATTATAACGGATTAGGCTCTGGCTGTCACAGGGCCTGACTCAAACCCAAGCACTACACTTTAGAAGTTCTGTGGCTGTAGACAAATCCCTTCGCCTCTCTCGGCCTTGGTTTCCTCCTGGGTGGAGTGAGGTGATAACGGGTTAAGCTTATGGGGGTGTACTGCAGAGGGCGTGGCCTGGCTGATGGACTGTTGAGAATGGCCCGTCTGTGTTGGCGATTGTTATTGCTGGGATTCCTTATTAGCCCCTCTGGGCCATGGGCTCCTCTTCATGGGGTGAGATTCCTGATTTAGGCTTCACGAGGCCCTTTGTCCTGGAAGTGGAAGGGAGCCTGGCTATGCCTCTCCTTCCCACAGTCCCTCGGGGCTATTCCATGAAGGCTAATCTGTCAAACTACAGGGATAACCAGTCACAAACTGGAAGCCCAGGCAGAGGCACGTGCCTGTTAGATCAGGGGGAGGCCCCTTGGAGGCTGAGCTGTCCACTGGCAACTTCAGCCACCAGCCTTCCACCCTCTCCCTGCATGATGACTTGGGGCAGGCGGTGCAGGCGTCCCGGAGGAGTACTGGGCTCCCCCAGAGCGGAGGGCACTCTGGACGGAGGTGCTGGGGCCCAGCCAGCTCACTAGCGGGGCCAGCACCCACATGCATTGAGCCTCTGTCTCCAGCCTCTGCGTGCCAGTGCCTCCCTCACCAAGGCCCCTGGCGGGGGTGCTCCCTGCTCCCCACCTTCTCTAGGGCAGACATGCCCTGGGTGGTGTAGGTTTGGGGAAGGCTGGGGTCTTGTCTGACCCTCCCTGTCTGGGCCAGGTGCTAGGATCCAGAGGAGGATCCCACCCAAACTGTGCCAGGAGGTGCCCTCCATCTGGGGTCAGGGAGAGCAGGGATAGTCCAAGGTGGGCCTGTACCTGGTGAGTTTGAGTCCTCTCAGGTCCCCAGAGCCCAATGAAGCGCTTGTTAAGGGAACGAGTGAGCAACTGAGGCAGTACCCACTGACCCACCGTGTTTTTAAGGCCCCTGCAATTGCAAACTCACCTCCTGGAGCTTCATCCACCTGAGTGGGGAGGCAGGGGGAGTCCCCTCTCTCCTCCTCCAAGCCAGCTTTGCTGTTGGGAGTTAGGGGTTGGGAGAAAGCAGGAGATGCACGATGGGAGTGGGGAAGGGCGTGGGTGCTGTTTCCAACACCAGACTGACCGCTCACAGAGGGCCCGAGGGAGCGAAGGCAGGAGGAGCCAGAGTGGTCCAGGTGGTGAGATAAACCTGTTTGCAAGGACAAGTCCCTTTCCCAGGGTCACAAGGGAAAGAGAGTCCCCCTGCCCCCAGGGACACCTCTGTGCAACCTGAGCCTGTAGCCCCAAGGGAGGAAACGACACGCACAAGGGGACACACACGCAGGGGGGACACATGCACACGGGGACACACGCACGGGGGACACATGCACACGGGGACACACGCACGGGGGACACATGCACACGGGGACACACGCACGGGGGACACATGCACAGAGGGGACACACGCACGGGGGGACACATGTGTAGCCCCAAAGGGAGGAAACGACACACGCACAGAGAGGACATACGCACAGGGGGGACGCACGCACAGGGGGGACACACGCGTAGTCCCAAAGGGAGGAAGCGACACACGCACAGAGGGGACACACGCACAGGGGGGACACAAGCACAGGGGGGACACACGCGTAGTCCCAAAGGGAGGAAGCGACACACGCACAGAGGGGACATACGCACAGGGGGGACACACGCACAGGGGGGACACAAGCACAGGGGGGACACACGCGTAGTCCCAAAGGGAGGAAGCGACACACGCACAGAGGGGACATACGCACAGGGGGCACACACGCACAGGGGGGACACAAGCACAGGGGGGACACACGCGTAGTCCCAAAGGGAGGAAGCGACACACGCACAGAGGGGACACACGCACAGGGGGGACACAGGCACGGGGGAATGCACGCAGAGGGGGGATGCACGCACAAGGGCAACGCACGCACGGGAGGACACAGGCACAGGGGGGACACACACAGCAGGGACTCATGCACAAGGGGAACGCACGCACAGGGAGGACACAGGCACGGAGGGGACACAGGCACGGGGGGACGCATGCACGGGAGGACACACGCACGGAAGGGACATGCGCACAGGGGTGACAAATGCACAGGGTTGACTCACGCACGGGGGGCCGCACGCATGGGGAGACATAGGCACGGGGGGGACACAGGCACGGGGGGGACATAGGCACGGGGGGGACGTAGGCACAGCGGGGACATACACACAGGGGAGATGCAGGCACAGGGAGGACGCATGCAAGGTGGGACACATGCACAAGGGGGACGCACGCACAAGGAGGACATGTGCACGGGGGGGATGCATGCACGGGGGGACGTACGCATGGGGAGAGACATGCTTGGGAGGACGCACGCACAGGGAGGACACACGCACGGGGGGATGCACGCACAGTGGGGACACACGCACACGGAGGACACATGCATAGGGTCGTGGGAAGTGGAGCTGCTGCCAAAGACAGGCCCGGGGAGTGGAGATGGGTTCTCCCTCCACGCTTGCCCGCCCTCTCTCTTCATCCTTCTGCTGCTCTTGTTCATCCATGTATTCAGAGAATGTTGTCAGGGTCCCCGAGGGCTGTCTGGGACCTCTTCATCCTTGGTTTGAGCCCACTAGAGCTCAGAAGCAAAACCAGTATCTCAGAACCCGAACTCCAAACTCAAGTGTGCAGCCCAGAATGAGGACTGGCGGGCAGGGGAGGCTGGCAGCCACTACCCTCACAAGGCTTCCACAACTCTAAAAATCCATGCTCCCTTTCGGTGGCCATACAAATTTCATGCCTCATTTTATTTTATTATTTTATTTTATTTTGAGATGGAGTAGGGCTGGAGTGCAGTGGCACCGTCTTGGCTCACTGCAACCTCTGCCTCTTGAATTCAAGCGATTCTTGTGCCTCAGCCTCCTGAGTAGCTGGGAACACAGGCAGGTGCCACCATGCCCGGGTAATTTTTATATTTTTAGTAGAGATAGGGTTTCTCCATGTTGCCCAGGCTGGTCTCTAAGTCCTGAGCTCAGGCAATCCACCTGCCTCAGCCTCTGAAAGTGCTGGGATTGCAGGCGTGGGCACCACTCCTGGCCTCATGCCATCTTTTAATATTCTCTTAATATTTGAAAATCAAAGCGAATTCAATCCTGTGACAAAATGTGAATGAGAGCAAGGGGACTTGGCTGTGCCCCCGTGTTGGGGGGAACATCCTGGCCTCCCCACCTATAGAGAATCACTGCAGGCAGATTGGCAGCAGGATAGAGCCCCCAGACCTGCAGCACACAAGGGCTGCTAGTGTCCCTTACACTCACGCAGGAGGGTACCTGCAGGAGGCCAGCCCTGTCTTCCGACAGCTCAGCCAGTTAGGCTCCTCGCGCTGGTCAGTGCCCTTTCAAATGCAAGCTCTCCTCTGGGGGATGGAACCCAGTCCCTCAGTCCTTAGCGTGAGAGGGCAGCTGATGCATGCCTATTGCCAACCACATCTTGACATTTTCTGTGGCTTTTAGGGGTTTTGTTTTGAAGCAAAAAGGGTGACTCAGAGGCCCAGAGAACTCCAAGGTTGTAACCCTAGAGACCAGGGCGAGCATCCTACCAAGATCAGGTGGATCATCTCAGTTCCCCAACAGGCAGGGAGGGAGAATCACCTGGAACCCTTGTGTTTTTTAAATTTATGTTTTATAGAGATAGGATCTGGGTCTCACTCTATTGCCCAGGCTGGCCTGGAACTCCAGGGCTCAAACAATCCTCCTATCTCGTGGGATTACAGGTGTGAGCCACCTTACCTGACCTGGAACCCTTGCTAAAATGCAGACTCCCAGACCCAGCCCACCCTATTGAGTCGAAATCTCTCTATTTTTTGTTTTAGGCAGGTCCTGACAAAGTTGTGTGTATGTGCATGCCGTGCAGGGGTCTTTCAGCCCAGCCCTCACCTCTGCTAGGCACAGCCCCTTGGCTTTGCGGGCACCTCCCATAGGGTCAGCATACACAGAGTCACGGGCAACCCATGGAACTGAAGGAAGATGTCACCGCGCTGCTAACACAGCCTCACTAGTCAAAACCTGGTTCTGCGCTTCCTCCTTTCTTTCTTTTTCTTTCTTTTTTTTGAGACGGAGTTTTGCTTTTGTTGCCCAGGCTGTAGTGGAATGGTGCAATCTCGCTCACTGCAACCTCCACCTCCCACGTTCAAGAGATACTCCTGCCTCAGCCTCCCGAGTAGCTGGGATTACAGGCAAGTGCTGCCACGCCCGGCTAATTTTGTATTTTTAGTAGAGACAGGGTTTCTCCATGTTGGTCAGGCTGGTCTCAAACTCCCGAACTCAGGTGATCTGCCCGCCTCGGCCTCCCAAAGTGCTGCCTCTTCTCTTTTATGAACAGGAAGAACAATTAAGGAAGAGGTGCTGACACTCCAGGACCCCTGAGAGGCGTCGAGGAGCCTGAGGAGGGCGGCTGCCTCCATTACAGTTCTTCGAAGGTTTGTTGACTGCATGAATGAAGGAGATAACAGGGCCAGACTCCCAGGCATGTGGGCCCTGTGGGGTCCAGCTGGCAGCCCTCACCACTGTGACCACGGGACAGGTGGGCGGCCCACTGAGCCAACGCCCATCTGCCACGGGCTGATGCGGTGAGAGCACAGCTGGAGGCCTGGCCGGGGGTCTCCTTCCTTCCGGCCCCCCGGTCAAGTTCACTGTGAAGAGAGGAGGTGAGACGTCCAGCCCGCCCTGGGATCCCCGTGGGAGCCCAGTTATTTACTGGAAACAGTGAGGGATGAATTCTTGGCAGCTTCACTCCATGCGAAGCAGAGACACGGCTCAGCACCAGTCTGGTTTTGATCAGTTCCAACCAAACAGACAGCTTGTTAAACCTGAGCTGAAGGCCTCCCTTCTGGAACCCTTGCCCTGCCCTCCCCTCCCACCCCAGGGCTGTAAGGCCCCCTTGAAGAGCAGTGGGTCCAGCCCGCCCATTTTACAGATGGAGAGACCAGGCTGGAGTGCAATGGCATGATTTTTGGCTCACTGCAGCCTCCGCCTCCTAGGTTCAAGTGATTCTCCTGCCTCAGCCTCCCCAGTAGCTGGGATTACAGGCACCCGCTACCACGCCCAGCTAATTTTTGTATTTTTAGTAGAGACGGGGTTTCACCATGTTGGCCAGGCTGGTCTCAAACTCCTGACCTCGTGATCCGCCCGCCTCGGCCTCCCAAAGTGCTGGGATTACAGGCGTGAGCCACCGCCCCTGGCCACCCTCAAGGCCCTTTGATCTTCCGCCACTTCCAGTAGCTGGAGCCTGGGCTGGCAGGGCCCCAGCAGTGATGGATGTGCCCTCCTGGCATCCCGTTGGGAAACACGTGTCCACTCACGCAGGTCCTGGGGCTTCTGCCCGGCATTCAAGCCCCCAGCCCTGGCTCCCATGGCTCATTTGCCCACACGCAGCCCTTATGTCCACTCAGTGCCTTTATCTCCCCCAGCCACATTGTCTCTGCCCCCACCGTCTCGTCCTGTAGAGCCGTCCAGGCCAGAGTCAAGTTTATGAGTTCCTGATCTAGTTCACACATGGCTTTCACGTGTGGCCCCTCACTTTATCCCCACCATTACTTGTGAAGCAGGTGCCACTGTGATGGTCCCCATTTTACAGAGGGAGCCACTGAGGCTTGGAGATGCAAAGTCACTGCCTGCTGTTGGTGAGCAGGGATTGAGGTTCTGATCTGTATGTTCACTTGCTGCAGGGCTTGGCCAAGAGGCTCAAAAAATCCTGGAGTCAGGGCTAGAAGGAGTCTGGGGAGGGAGTGGCATTTAATCCAAACTCAGGAGATCACTAACACTCAGAATCTTGGAAACTCTGTGCCTGGAAGGACTCTTGCTGGTCACTGAAACCACCCACCCCACTCAGCAGTAGCCTCCAGCCCTTGCTTGGACACTCCCAGGGATCGGAAGCGCACTTCTTCCCACTTGGGTCAGCGCCTGCCCTTGTGGGACTGCTGTGACTGGAGGAACACCTTTTCTCCCACAGAGCCAAGAGCTGTGTGCCTCCCAGGCCAATCAGAGTCTGGAGGCCACCACAGAGGGCCCCTGGGTCCTCTTCCTTCCAGGCAGGCAACAAGGGAGGAATGGGGTGAGGTGGACCTCTGGGGCTGGGCTGGAGAGGGGGGAGGTTCCCAGCTCAGGCCACAAGGGCAGAGCAGGAAGTTCAACCCCACCTGCCACTGATGTGTGGCCCCCACGAAGTCTCTGCCCATCTCCGAGTCCTATTTCTCCATCTGGAAATGAGAGAGGGCAGCTGAGAGGCTGACAAGCTCCCAGTTCGCAGTGTGGGCATCATCAAGGGCTGTGGGAATCTCAGGTGACCTTTGACTGCCCTCATCTCCCCAAGGTTGTGGGGGTGCCGCACCAGCAGCTCCTTCCAAGCATTGATTCACAGCTGGGGAGCACCTGGTGGGCAGATGTGGGCTCCCGTCACCCTGCTGGATCCTGCTTGTGTGCAGGCATGAGTGTTCGTGTGTGTGCGTGTTGTGCACATACGTGTCTGAGAGTGCATTGGGAAGTGAGGGCAGCACCCAGTGGGGTCAGGGGAAGGTGCTGGGTCTGCTGACTCACAGTGGGACCCTGGGAAGTCCCTGGCCCATCGCGCCCAGCCCCTCACGGGCCCTGAGTAGTGCCCTTCTGAGCAGAGCCTCCGCTGCAGCTCAGGGCCCTGGGGCTGTGGGGGCGTGAATGTGCCTTCTCCGCCCCAACCTCCGCCCGTGCCAGACACCGAGGCAGCGAGTGAGTCTGCCTCAGGCAACGAGTGTCTCAGGAGGATGCAGCCATGCAGGGCATTTTCTGAGAGCAAAGAGAGCCTGGTGTCAAGGTTGGGTGGAGGGGGTGAGGCCTTGCTCCACCTCCCAGAGTCTGGTTGGAGGTGCAGGGAGAGGGGTCACTGGCTCCCCCAGAGTCGGCCCCCAGAGTCGGCCCAAGCGATCTCAATGGCCCTGTGAGGTCAAGGATGAATTCCCCCTTCCACAGAGGAAGAAACCAGGGGGACCTAGCCAAGGTCACTCCCTCAGGGCTGACTTTTTATTTTACTTTATTTTACTTTACATTATTTTACTTTTTATTTTATTTTATTTTATTTTTGAGATGGAGTCTTGCTCTGTCGCCCAGGCTGGAGTGCAGTGGCGCCATCTCGGCTCACTGCAAGCTCTGCCTCCCGGGTTCACACCATTCTCCTGCCTCAGCCTCCCGAGTAGCTGGGACTACAGGCGCCCGTCAACACACCCGGCTAATTTTTTGTATTTTTTTAGTAGAGACAGGGTTTCACCGTGTTAGCCAGGATGGTCTCGATCTCCTGACCTCGTGATCTGCCCACCTCGGCCTCCCAAAGTGCTGGGATTACAGGCGTGAGCCACCGCACCCGGCCAGGGCTGACTCCTCAGCCAGCAGTTGCCCCACACAGGACTCAGGGGAGGATTCTGCTGGGCCTGGGTGGCAGGTGGGGCTGGAGTGCTCTTTGGCCTCCCAAGAATATGGGAGTGAGAGAGGCTCTGGGCAGGACCCTGCTGCCCTGCAAACTAGCATCCACACCTCAGGGCAGGGCTTGGTGTTTTCCAGCTGGGAGGAGGTCAGGCTGCAGGAGGGGATCTGGGAACGATTTGGTAATTAGGCAAGAGGCCTTGACAAGCAGCCTCCGGGGGGTCCATTCAGGGGGGGCCCTGTGGCCTGTGGTGAGGCTGGCCACTTGCCAGCCCCATCCTCACTGGTCCCCCAAGGCCCCTCTGCTCACTGCCAGCACTCCCAGTGCACCAATAGCTCTGACTGAGCAAGGAGTGGCTGAGGGCTTCATCCCGCTCCAGCCTCAGTCACCGTGGATGGACTCCACAGCCCTGTGAGGCCGGCCCTTCTACTGGCCAAAGGGAAAATGAGGCCCAGAGAGGGGCTGCACTTTGTCCAAATCCACACAGTGAGGCTGGCTTGGGCCAGCCCTCTCTGCAGCCCCAGAGAGGCCACAGGGCAGCTCTGCAGGTGAGGGGTACCCGGGTTGCAACCTGCCATGCCCCTTGCTGAGAGGCCAGGGGGTGTGAAGAAACAAGCTACAGAAAAAAGCTGAGGGACCCAGTCAGGACAGGAGAGGGCGTGGGGAACAGGTGAATGTTGGGGGTCGGTCTCATTGTCCTCAGCTCTGGGAGGGAAAGGACTGAGGTGGGTTATAAGAGGTGGGCAGACATCATCCCACCGTCCCTGAATGCTAGAGCCCTGGAAGGGCCCGATGGAGCAGGGAGCTCTTGGCCTCAGCTTCCTGAGTCCTGACCAGCCGCCTGGCATCCCTCATCCCGGTACCGCCTCACCCCTCCCCTGAGCAGCCCTGGCTCTGAGCTGCCATCCACCCTGGTCTTGAACAGAAAAGAGGTGTGTGGGCTACCCCGACTCCTCCCAGTGCCCAGGGAGGGCCCCTCCTCAGGCGTCCCACCCTGGCAGTGGGGATGGCAGGCGGGAGGTTCTGCAGGGGGTGGTTGTCAGGGCCTGCACACTTGGGCTGGACCCACTGACACTGCGCTGACCGCCAGTGGTGCCAGGTCCTGTGCTGAACCCTCACAGGCATTCTCATATAATCACCCTAAATGGAGGCACAAGATGTGGCAACCAGTATCCCCGTCTCAGTCTTGACTCAGAGAAGCTTCGAGACAGAGACATACCCAGGAAGTCATCTGGTAGGTGGCAGGGCCAGATGGTCAGTAGGCCCCTCTGACCCCAAAGCCATGATTCCTCCCTACCCCCAATCCCCATCCTGCACTGCCTCCCATGGTGTGGCATGACCTGGAAATGAGGTATGATGTGGGTGGGTGCCCACAGACAAGCCAGGACAGGGGATTCAATCCATTCTGAAGAGGAGTCGGCCTAAGCGAAGGGAGTGGCTTCCATGCCCAAGGCAGGTGTGGAAAACAAGGCGTGGGGGGTGGCAGTGGGAGGAGGAAGAGGAAGAGGAGGAGAGGGGCCAGACCTCGAATGCCAGGGTGAGAAGTGGGTTGCACTCCAGACCAGCAGCTCCTCGAGGCCAGGGTGCCATGTCGTGACGCTGCCCCACACCGCTCAGAGCCCCACACAGGACAGGTGCTCCCCAAATCCCTGAGGTTTGTCCAGAGAACAGCCATTTCTCCAGGGGGCCCTGCGAAGTCACGAGGCCAAAAGGCCCCCAGCCCGCTTCCCGGTGAAAGCATTTGGTGGTGCCTGTGCTGGCGCCCTACCGGTCGGGGTGGTTGGGTGGGAGGCAGTCGGGGTTGAAGGGGATCTTCCCTCTCAAGCACCCCTGTCTTGTGCCTGCCTCTGCTCCCGTGCCAGCTCCAAAACAATCCCAGATGCTTCTGGCATCACCAGAGCCTTCAGAGTAAGGGAGGGCCTCCTCTCTCCCCTGGAGCCTCTGGCCACAGCATGCCCTCTGTACCCACCCGTGGTCAGACCCAGGTCTCGCCCAGATCTTTGAGCAGCCGATTTGTGTTCTCCCAACCCTTCATCTGGTAGCCAGATCCTCTGGCCTGGGTGGCGGCGGGGGTGGGGGGTCCTCCCCTTTCTCCTGAACCCCTTCTTGGCCCAGGGAAAGCACGACTCCCCTGGTGTCTGAGCCCGGCATTTGGAGCCCTGGGCTGGGCAGCCAGCATCCAGAGCCAAGAACCACAGGCTCACCGGAGTGCAGGGCCTGGGAACCGCTCACCCACGGAGGTGATGTGGAATCCGTCCGTGCCCCCCTCGTTGTGTGTCAGAGTGATTTATGGGCAGATGCTGAGAGAAGAGGCTGAGGAAAATAAGCCTTGCCAGCTGCCAACCTGTCACAGATCGGGAGAGAGGGAAAGGGCCGAGCTGCTTCATGACCTCCAGCAGGCTCCTTCCTTCTCTGGGCCTCTTCTGCCTCTGAAATCGGGGTCTGAAAGCCAGCCCCAAATCACAGACTTGCCAGAAGGATCAAGTGAGAAGTTGGCCGTCAAGCCCCTAGCGCAGAGCCTGGCACAAAACAGGTTGCACCCCTGCTCCAAACCTGCAGTGGCTCCCACGCTCCCTCAGTCTGACCCTCGTCCCTCACTGACATCATCTCCGGCCCCCATGGCTCTGGGGTTTACAAGAGCCGCCATCTGCATTGCGAGGTCTTCCTGGACCACTGAAATAGACTAGAATCCTTCCGACCAGTACTCTCTACCCTGTTAAGGCTGTTTTTATTAAGTTTTTCCTTAATATTGGCCACCACTTGATTAAAAAAAAAGTCCCAAGTGTTACTTATTTGTTATTATTCTTCTCAAATAGAGTTTCATTTCCGGGGGGGGCAGAGGATTTTATCTCATTTATTTACTGCGGAATCCCTAGAACAGAGCCTAGAACAAAGTAGATGTCCCAGAAACGTGTAGATAGGCAAGAAGAAGGGAGAGGCATTGGGACTTCAGAAAGGGAATGTGTGAGTGGCAAAGCCAGGGATTGTCCAGGGGGAGTGGCACCTGGACGGGGGTTTGGTATCTACCAGGTGCAGGAAATGCTCTCTAGTCTGGGCGTAGCCAAGCGCCTGAGGACAGGCATGGCCCGAGTGGACACAGGAAGGTGGAGGCTGGGCTGGTGAAGAGGAGACAGAGCAGGCCCGGAGGGGGTACACGCCAGGTTGGGGCTACACAGCAGACAGCTGGCTATGGCAGGCAGGGCCGAAAACTACAATGTATTCCCCATGTAATTTTTAAAAGATTATGGGTCGCTTAAAAGAAAGGATGCTACAGCGGTCTTAAATAATACTCCTAGAAAGAGCAGGAAGTGGCTCGACCACCACACAGTCACCTGTGTAATGGCTGTGATTAAGATGAAGTTTAGCTCTGAACTTCCTGGAAAGCACAGCAATAAAAGAAATAATGATGCATCACATACTTGGCATTGTCTGACGGAAGAAGGCATGCCAGCTCTTTAGGAAACCCTTCCCCAGAGCCCCGCCTGCCACCCCAATGCTAAATTCTAAGTGTAATTTATCAAGTGGTTTAGCTGGTAGAGAGGGAAGAGGGGAAGGCACTGAAGGAGACTCTGAGAGTCAAGGGCTGTTCTAGAACCATCATTTGTCCATCACTGTACACTTTGGCGATGGGTCCTGTGTTACTGTGGATGTATCAGCAAGATGTGGACTTAGAGATGTGAAGTCACTGGACAAGGCCACGCAGCTAGTAAGGGGAGTTTCTCCGATTCAAACTGAGGACCGTCTATCTTGAAGGCTGAGGAAAGTGGTAGCCATGGTGGTGTGCCCAGGGCTGAAGGAGGGGAAGTGAGGGGATGGGGTGATGAACAAGCACCCTTGGTCTGGGCGAAGGGAATCTGTGCAGGAGACTCCTGGAGCCATCCACTCATCCATCCATCCACCCATTCCTCCATTCATCCGTCCATCTGTCAGGCTGTCCATCTGTCCATCCATCCATCTAACCATCCGTCCATCCATTCATCCATCCATCCATCCATCCATCCATCCATCCATCCATCCATCCATCTATCCAACCATTCATCTATCCATCCATTCATCCACCCATCCATACATGGAAGCATTAATTTTTCCCTGCGTCAGTGTGTTCATCCACCTACCCATCCATGTTTATCCATGCATTATTCATCCAGTAGTTCAGCCACACATACCTCAAGTGATTTGGGAAAATTAGGCACGAACCCTCCAGCCCAGCAGTTCATCTTCAAGACCAGAAAGGATGACAGAGGTCATGTGGTCAGGCAGGTGACCACTGAAATCCCAGAGGAAATGAGCCCCTTCAAGAATCTCCCTGCCCCCCCTGGCTTGGCCCCTCCCGCCTGTGGACCATCTGGATGGCCACACCGCAGGTGAGAGGTTGGAGGAGAGTGGGACCTCACAGGGAGCGATCAGGGTCAGGCCTGGCCGTGTGCACAGACCAGGGGCAGCTGGGAAGAGCAGGGTGGGCCTGGGTCCACTAAGGAGGGGCTCTGGGGAGTCTCCCAGGGAACCCGCAGTTCTTCCAGGCAAGAGCCTGGCTCCAGTGGGAGCAGCTGTGAGGGTGGAGTCCCAGGGAAGGACCCTCAAGCCTGGGTGCAGGAGGGGTTCCTAGAGCCCTCAGATCACACCGGGGGTTGGGGGGTGTTGAACCTCTTTGCAGACAGAGCAGAAAGGAGCAACTGGAACACCGGTAATGTTGGGGAGAACGGGCCCCTTGGCTGGGAGGGCATCTGCTGTCTCCAGCACCCTGGCACAGAGCGGATCACAGTCTGGGGTGCTGGTGGAGAAGACAGACGGCCCTGCTGTCACTTCACGTCTGGTGTCTCATCTGCCCCTCACCCACAAGGTGTGCTTGGCTATGGCCATGTGAGAGGAGAGGAGACAGAGGTGCAGAGGGGCTCAGGAGTGCGCCTGTTTCCCAGGATCCCCCCCAGGTCGACCCGGCCCCTGTGAGCACCAGATGCTGGTGAGGAGCTGGCTCCCCTCCTCCCAGCCAGCCCAGTGAGGGGTGACTTGGACCCCCCGCAGATTCAGCTGTTACCCCAGCCTCATTTTCCACCCCATAAAATGGACCATGGGGCTGGGGGTGTAGGGCACACCTGGAGCTAGGCTTGATCCTGCAGGCAGTGGGGAGCCACAGAGGGTGTCGGGCAGGAGGGTGGTGAGGCCGGGGCCTGTGCTCCAGCAGTGCCGCTCAGTCTCTAGCCTGCTCCCCAGAGTTTCCAATTCGGTAGGTCTGGGGTGGGGCCTGAGGGACTTAAGCAGGTGCTGGGGTCACCATTCCTGGGGTGGTGGTGGGAGAGGCAAGTGGACAGAACGGGAGCCCTGGAGTGAAGGGCACTGTGACCTTGACCCAGGGGCCCCTGAGCTGCAGCAAGGGGCTGCCTCTGCCCCCTCCGGCCACATGGAGAAACAGAAGCCCACGGGGCAGGAAGGCCCACAGTGAAGCAGGGGTGGGAGGACCCAGAGATGATCTAAACCAGCTGGGCTCAGTTTAGAAGATGTAGCCCCTTGTCTCTGCAGCCAGACTCTCTTGTTCTTTCCATCTCAGCATTTACTGAGGCCTTCCCTGGGCCAGCCCTTGTATGAAACTGAAACAAGCAGGACCACACAGGGTGACTAGAGCTGTCCCAGAGGGAGCCCAGGGTGCCGTGGGTACTAATTTGGGGCCTCTGCCTGGAGAAGTCAGGGAGGACTTGCCACAGACGGTGGTGAAGGATCATCGACGTTTCCAGGCTGCCCAGGGACAGGCAGGAGGGATGGAGACACGCAAGAAGACAGCCACGTGGGGAGTGTGGGCTACAGGGCGGTGGCTGGGAAGGAGTGCAGGGCGCTTGGGTGCAGAGAGGAGCAGGCTAGGAGGGGAGAGTCCAGAGCAGGTTGGTGGCCAGACCGGGGGGCTCCATGCCAGCCTGGAGCTAGGCTTGATCCTGCAGGTAGTGGGGAGCCACAGAGGGTGTCGGGCAGGAGGGTGGCGAGGCCGGGGCCTGTGCTCCAGCAGTGCCACTCAGTCTCCAGCCTGCTCCCCAGAGTTTCCAATTCGGTAGGTCTGGGGTGGGGCCTGAGGATTTGCATAATGCGGGGGCAGGGGGGAGACGCTAAAGCAGGTGGGGAACGATAGCACTTCCCATTCATGGAGATAGGAACCCAGAGGGGCTCAGGACTGGGGGATGAGGAGAGGAGGTTAAATCTGAGGCCCTCAGCAGGAATCAGATCCCTGTGGTGTCAAACTTCCGCCAGGTTTGAGACTGGAGAGATGTCTGGCTGTAGAGGAAAAGGCGAGGAACCTGGGATACAACTGGTCCCTGCCCCAACCCAGGAGGGGGCCCCTTGCAGGCCTGCGGCCGAGGATGGCTCCCTCCTCCAGGAACCCAAAGGCACCACCACCTCAAGCTGCCATTGCCTAGGGGGACCAAGATTGAGACCAGGACTCTGCAGTCAGACCTGGACCTGAGTCTAGTCGCCTACTGCTCTCTGTGACCCTGGGCAAGTCCCACCACCCCTCTGAGTCCTGGTTTCCCGTCCAAAATAGCTAAAACAGTACCTGCCTTACCGAGCTGTTATGAGGGTGGGGGATGGGAAAGTCCTGGGTTAACTGTACACCCCTGGACATGCACATGTTGCTATTATTGTTATTATTATTATTGGAAAAGGGAGCCTAGTGGGAAGATATGATGTCTCACCCCCAAGGAATTATAAATGGTGGAATTTCTGGCACCATAACAGGTTTGTGCAAAAAATCATTTGTGATGGGGGCCCTAGGACACTGGGGGGCTCATGGTCCTCTGTGATGTGGCTCCTGGCACAGGGCCTGAGGCAGGGCCACTGGGCCAAGATCTGAGCTTTGCTCCCTTCCACACAGACTAAATATTTGTGTTGCTCCTCCCCCAGCTTGCCAGGACCCAGGCCCCTCTCTGGTAGGGAGAGGGGAAGACCATGCTTCAGAGGGCAAAGCAGGCGAGGGTGGCGGGATTGATTACAACAGGCCCTGCTCGGCCCAGACCCCACAGCCCCCCAGCCCCTCGGAGGCCGGAGCACAGCCAGGGAATCTGCCTCTGACACACAGCGGGACTGGGGGCAGCCCTGCCCCTCTGGGCCTTAGTTTCCCCATCTGTAGAGTGGGGTTGAGGCCAGGAGAGTTGGAGAAGCTGACTTCCAAGGTCTTTCTGGTTCTCTCTCCAGTGACTGAGGCTTCCCTGAGCCTCCAGCCCTTAGTGAGCAGAGGCGAAGGGGACCTGTAAAATGGGACAATCCCTCTCGAGCTGAGAGGTGGGAGGACCCAGCAACGACAAGGATGGATGCCCTAGGGAGATGGGAGGCCTTGGAGTGGTGGCGTCAGGCTTACATGGAAGCACCCTCAAATGCCACTAATTCTCCCTCCTCCCCAACATAATACACACTGCGGCCATTTGTAAGCACCTGGTCTGTGCCTAGCATCATGGCAGGGGCTATCACAGGAGGCCAGGCCTCCAGCTCCCCAGGCAGTGGGGGTCCCATGGAAACAGCCTGATGGGACCAGCCACGAGGGTAGGCAGAGCAGTGCCTGAAGAGGAGCCCAGGTGCCAAATCCTGGCATCAGGATCTTCATGCTGATCATTTACAAGACCTCGACTCTGCCACAGGCCATCCCAAGCCCTTAACCTTACCTGCTTCTCTCAACATCCCAGAGAAGGGAGGACTGGCCTGGTCCCTATTTTAAAGATGAAAAAACAAAGGCACCGGTCACCCAGGGATTAAATGGTAGAGCTGGGCCTGGTCTGGCTCCGGAGTCACCCACAGTACCTGTTTCTTCAGTAGTAATGATGCCACGTCCTACTCACAGGATATGTGAGTGGCTATGCCAGCAGGAGCCGTGTGTGCCCTGTGCGTAGGGCCTCGGAAGTTCTCAGTAAGGGCTGGTTGTGTGCTTGTTACCACAGCAGGGGCTCAGCTGCAGGCCAAGGGCGAGGCTTCCATAATCCCAGGCAGGTGAGTCTGGGGCTGCTGCTGTGAATGTTTCTTAATCAAGGTGCCTTCCAGTAGTGCCCCTTTGCAAGCTCCTTCCAGAGATCAGCCGTCCTGCCTCCAGCAGCCAGGCCCTTGCAGGGAGCCAGGTCCCCAGGCAGAGGTGTGGGGCTGTGGCCTTTGCAACGCGTGCTGCAACCCTTCCATGGGACCAGGGCCTGGAGAGCTCTGAGTGAGACCCCCCAGTGCACCCTTGCACCAAGGGCAGCCCCCAGCACACAAGAGGTGCTCAGGAAACATGGATGTCGTGAGAGGGCAGGAAGGCCTTCAGCACAGGGCCAGGCATCTCTGCGGGCCTCTGAAGTCGGAACCACTGGGAGCCAGCACCCATCAGGAGCAGGCTTCTTGTCCCAGTTCCCTTGTCTGTAAGTCGGGGTTAGCCTGGGGAAAGATGGGGTCTGGGGGCCCACCACTCACCAGTGAGCAGCATCCTTCAAGAGGCACACATGTCCCACCTAGAGCCTGGACCTGAGCCCCAGCCTCGGGCCTGGGGGTCCACCAGCCCCTCTGGTATGGGCCCTTGCTGCCTTGGGCTTCTGCTGTGTCTGTGGACCAGGCCTGGGTCGGGTTTTTGGGGGACAGCAGGAACAGATGGTGTCCTCGCAGGCCCTGGTCCACCAGCATCTGCAGTCCCAGGACCACACGAGGTACGGGTAGGGTGCTGTAAGGGGCTGGGGGACTCGATGGTGGGGCCGGGCCCTCTCAGAGGCCCACAGTCTCCTGGGAGAAGGGCTGCAGGGCTGCAGGGCTTCGTCAGGAAGGGCAAAGCCTCCCTCTGCTCGCGCTCCATTCCGGCCTTCAGAGGAGCCCTGTGTGAGGGCAGGGCTGCGCTTCACCCCTGCAGAGCCCTCCTGTGCAGGTCCCCTGGGATCCCACAGAGCTGGGCTTTTCCAGAAACCGGAAGGCCCCTGCGAGTGTGTCTCCTGAAGAGCCCTTGCTCTCCTCACCCCGACCTTGGCCACACTGTCCTCTGCCTCGGTGTCCCCCTCCAGTCCAGCCAGGCACTGCTCTTCCTCCTTCTGTATCCAGCTGCAGCACCCATGGGGCCTTCCCTGGGAGGGCTACCCTGACTCTATCCCCTTGCCCCTGGCCCTGGGCCCCCAGCCCACTTTGCTCACCCCTCAATTACAGTCTCTTACCCAGACTCTTGGGGCTTTGGGGCCCTGAGGGCTGGAGCCATTTAGCCTCAGCTCTTACACCCCAGCATCTGCAGAGGCTGTCTCGGTGGAGGTTTGTTGACTGACTGTGTCACTGAATTATTCTTTAATCACAGTGGCTACCAGTGGATAACTCTTACTATCTATCTGCTGAGTGCTTGATGTGCATTACCTACTTTGAGCCTTACAACAAGACAAAGAGGTGGGTCCTGCCATTCATCCTGCTTCACAGATGAGCAAACAGGGACTCAGAAAGCTGAAGTAACTCACGGCCAGCAAGGGCAGAACCAGGAGCCACAGTCAGGCCTGTGCCTGTAACACATGGTCCTCCCCAGCCCCTCCCGCAGCAGAGTCATCTCTCCTTGGTGCTCTTGGATCAGAGGGTGCCCAGGTTACCTGTCCCTCACCCACAGCAGGTGTGTAGTCTAGGAGCTGGAGCTGGCTTACCTGTGTCCCCAGCCTGCAGCACAGGGCAGGGCATGGAGCCCAAGTTCAGGGGAGCTTTGGGGAAGGAATGGCAGGTTGTATAACAGGCACAACCCACCTAGCTCTGGCTGGGCCTGGTCAGCCAGGCAGGGTGCTGGAGACTTTACACACTTGACCTCTCCCGAGTGTCAGGACAAGCTGTGTTCACCCTCATTTTACAGCCAAGGA
Source organism: Homo sapiens (assembly GCF_000001405.40). Taxonomy (NCBI): domain Eukaryota; kingdom Metazoa; phylum Chordata; class Mammalia; order Primates; family Hominidae; genus Homo; species Homo sapiens. The sequence continues at coordinate 76,180,342 of NC_000011.10, forward strand.
AAGGGAATTGGGGGTGCTGTGATGTGTTCAGGGTGACTCAGCTTGGAAGGGGCAGTGCAGGGTTAAAACCCTGTCTGTGTGGCTCTGACAGGCCGTGCTCCTGCCTGCTACCCAGGACAGCCTCCCGCAGAGTTCCTGCATTTCATGTGTGTTCTGGAGAGAGAGAGAGGGTGGGGTGGGTGGGTGTGGGGGTGTTGGCATGGGAGGTACGCTGTGTATGTGCAGGAGGTGGTGGGGTCTGTTTTTCTTTGCTCCTAAATGGATTTTACACCATGCCTGGGCTTTGGCCTACACAGGAAGTGTTGATCATCATTCCGGAGAATCTGGATCAGCCCCTGGTGCCGATGGAGTCTCTGTTTGCTGCGAGAGAAGCCCCCAGGGGCTTGCAGGTCCACCCAGCAAGACAGCAGGAGGGAAGGACAGCAACTGCCAGGAGGGAACAGCCTCCAAACCGACCCAGATGTCACCTGGAGCACGGAGCCCCATCACAGGCCTGCAGGAAGACCATCCAGGATGAAGAGCCAGGCCCCAGGAGCTGGCTTTGGATCAGAGGGTGCCCCGGTTACCCATCTCTCACCTGGGATGTCTAGGGAAAGGCCAGGGCTGAAGAGAGCCAGGGTCTGCCTGCAGTGGCCTCCTGCCTGCTGCTCCCACTCTGCCTTGGGTCAGATGGGACTGGAAGAGAGGGCAACCTCCGGGGGAGGGGACGTGGGGAGGCAAGGATGGTGTAGATGCAAGAAAAGAGAAATCTTGCACTTCAGGTGCAGAAAGCCATGGCAGACAGTTCTGGAGTCTTCAAGTACTAGGCATGATGGACTCGTAGTGTCTCGAGTCCAGTGTCCTGAGATCGCAGGGCCGTGGAATGGTTCGGAATGGAGGACCAGACTCTAGGAAAAATGGACTCTGGGAATCTTGAGTGTGAAGGAGGCTCCGAGGTAATGACATCTAACGGGCTATTGTCCCTGCAGCCCTCAGGCAGCCTCCTACTCCACCACCTTCTTGAGGACCGCATGCTTTTGTGGATGCGCAGACAGTGGAGACATAAAATAAATACTCCGATTTGAACGGCATCTGTGCCCAGGCGCACTGGAGGCTGGGCCTCTGGCAAGCTCTTGCCTTCACCTGCCAGCCTGAATGGGGGTGTCTGGGATGATTGTCCTGATCAGCCACGTCCTCCTCTTGCTCCTCCCCCATCACCCACCCCGGGCTCCCTGCCCCAGCGCTCCAGCCCCTCTGCTGGCGCCCAGCAGGTAAGACAATGTGGACCAAGGGGCCGGTAAGGAGACTGTCTTCAGCAGCCACAAGCCTGGGGAGCAGAGCGGATATTGATTTGGTATATGGGAGCAAAGGGACCATTAAACGTGCGGCTGTTAAATTGCTCTGCCTGGAGCCAGCCAGCTCTGCGGGCGGGCGGGTGGCCTGGCGGGCAGGCGGCGGTCAGACCAGTCGGCTGCTAGTGCCCTGTTGGGGGTGGTCTTGGATACCTGGCAGGACCCAAGGCAGCCTGGCTTGGATCCTTGCTGCCCTGGTGCCCACAGGCCCCTGAGCTCCAGCCATACCCACCTCTTGGCCTCCTCTGAGCATACTTTGCTGCCATGGCTGTTCTCACACAGACCCCTCCACATCACCTTCTTCTCCATCTCTTAAAATCCTGCCCCACTTTCCAGACCCAATGCAAATGGCACCTCTTCCATGAAATCTTCCTGATTTCCCACTCCTTACTCCCAGTACCCAGAAAGGAGTAGGCCTTCCCTCTCCAAATCCCCAAAGCCCCAGGGCTCTGCCTGTCTTCGGCCTCCTGTCTTCTCTGCTATAATAACTAAGAGTTGTGGGCCCACTGAAGAGGACACCTGAGCTTCATGTGCTCCCCCGTCCCTCGCGCCAACACACACACAGGTGAGGCCTGGGCGGCCAGGCACACAGGCGATGCTGAGCAGCTCACCTGAGGAGGGCAGGGCGGGAACGTGTTAGTTGAGCTGTGGCCTGATCCTGATGGGCAGCTCCTTCCTGGCACCTGCGCCTGGACTGCGCTTCCCAGGCCCTGCAACAGATGTCAGGAACTGCTCAGTCTTGAATTGTTCCCTGTTCCTCTCTTGCAATGCCCTCCAGCGGCTCCCAGTCAAAACCCCCACTCAGTCACAGACCACCTTCATCCCTGGGATGCATGTTGTGGAGGCTGAGACAAGCCCAACAGTTGGAGCCAAGCAGTCCGAGGTTTGAATCTCAGCTCCTCCACTAATTATTCTCTAACATTGGGCCAGTCACTTCCCTCTCTGAGCCTTAGTTTCCTCATCAATAAAACAGAGATACTGGGTCATATCCCTTAGATTGGGTGTAAGAATTGGACAAAACAACTGCCGAAGAGGCCCAGAGAGGGCCAGTGGTTGCCTAGAGTCACACAGCAAGAAGCTAGAAAAGATGCAGGATTCCTACCTCCTAGCCCTAAACTCCCCTTACCCCGTCCAGCCTCTCTGGGTCTGGGGTTCCGGACTGGAGACTGCATCATGCTGGGGCCTGGTTTGTGTAACCCAGTGGCTGGTCTCCACAGCCTCAGGAACCACAGACCAGTGGCTTGCTCAGGGCTGGGCTTGGGCCCCTTGGTTGTTCCTCTGGCCTGGCCTGGCCTCCTCACGGGGTCTTATCTGTCCACTCTCCCCTTTCCCACCAAACTAATCTCTCCCTCTTTTCAGGAGTTCCTGTTTCCTCTCTGCCGCCTTCTTGTCTCCCTCCTCAGACCCTGTCTCTCCCAGGTCTCCAGCCAGCCTCCCACACTTGGTTCAGAGCCGCCTCAGAGCGGCTGGTGCTGTCATCACTGGGGAGTCTCCATCTTTCGGGGGCTCTCCAAGCCTCACACAGCCCTGTCTGTGACTGCTGCCCCTTACACAGGAGGGAGATGGAGCAAGTCCTGGGAAGGGAAATCTGCTGGGGACAAGAATTCTGACACCCTCAGATCAGTATGCAGCCTTCAAAATCCTTTGGGTTGGCCATTGGCCTGGGGGCCTCTACAGGGCTGGCAAGGCAGTGGTTTGGGGTTTCTACTCCACAATTCCTGAGTACCAAGATCTCACGTTTCCAAATCTCTGAACACAATGAGATCCTGAGCTACCAGAGCTCCGAGGTCCTGGGAGCCTCCACACCCCTGTGATGCACCTGGCAGAGGCCCCAGCATCCACCTCCCCGGAGTGGGGCTCAGCCTGGTTGCATTCTTAGAGCCTTGACCTGGGGGTGAGGGGAAGCACCGGGACCAGCTCCCACTGCCCTTCGGTTGTCCAGCTCCTGGCCAGCCAGAAAGGTTAAGTGCTTTGTCACAGATGTGGGGACGGGCCAGTAGCCCGCTGAGTCAGGGACCCCCCCCCAGGGTCTCCTGTCCTGAGCTTGAGGACTCCCCTCCCAGCCCTCCAGCTCAGCCCAGGAAACGGTCTTCAGCTCTCCATGCAGCTCCCCCGAGCCTGCTGGGAGTGCGGACATGTGAGCAGGAACGCACCTGCGCTCAGAGCCCTGCTGTGCTGGGAGTTTTCCTGAGGTCTGGAGCGAGCCGCCTTTTCTTGCAGAGCCTCAGTTTCCTCCTCTGTCAATGGTAACAATACTCACTTCGGAGGGCTGCTGTGATGACTTGGGCCACTGTGTTTAGAAGGTCACACAGCAGGTGCACAATAAATGGTAGCAGTTATATCATGTGGCCACCCTTTCTGAGAGCCATTCTGGGTCCTTGGTCTGGTTTCCCCATTTACTTGTCCTGACAGAGGTCCAAAGGACACTCCCAAATCCAACATTTTGGAGGTATGTTTTATACCCAGCCCTGTTGTGCTGCCCCCCAGATCCCAGGGCCCATTGGTGCATATGGCTGGTCCCAGCCCATGAAAAGGCCCCAGACAGGTGGGGAAGACAGATGATATGACACAACATAGGCCTCCACAACACCTTGGTTCCATGAAACATTGCAGGGAGCACAGAGGCTGTGGAAACCCAGAGGAGGCCCCTGACCCAGGCTGAGGGTAGTTGGGGAGGGCTTCCTGGAGGAGGGAGCCATTTACCTGGCTTTTGCAGAAGAGGGCATTGGCTGGCAGCTTGAGAAGGAGGGTGATGGCTGCTTTAAATGTTCAGAGGGTTGTGGGGTGCCTGAAGAGGGGGAGATCCCTTCCACCTAGGGCACTGGGGAAGGTTTTGTGGAGAGGGCTGTGAGGGTTGTGTGGGATTCCAGCAGGGAAAACAGCACTCTTGGCGAGGGAGAACAGCAGATGCCCAGAGGGCAGGCAGGCTGAGCAGCTGGGAGTTGCAGGAAATGCTGTTGGAAGAATCGCCTGGGGGACAGGCCTTGTGTTCCAGGCTAGGGACTGGGGATTGGTTTTGTGGGCTAGGAGGTTGCTGAGAGCTATGAAGCAGGGAAGCCCTGGGCCTGGAGAGCGCACATTCCAGGGGCTCCTTCCAGGGAGGCTGGGGGTTTTCAACAGAGGGGCTGGCAGGGGCCCCACCCGGGAAGGCTCCACCTCCCCCCGTTCCCAGCCCCTTATCAGCTCTGTGACCACAGGAAGGCCCTTCCCATCTCTGAATTTCCTCATCTGCAAAACACACCAGAAGACTTATCTTGAGGTTCCTTGCAGCTGGTGACGCTGTGGCTCTGGCTGTCCGCACTGCAAGCTTTCAGGCAGGGCCTCGAGGATGGCCACAGAAGGCCCCCTTCTTCCCACTCAGGATGGGTCCAGCCCCTGAGGGGTCATCCATGCCATCCCACCCCCAAGGATGTGGCTTCACTTCTCCAAATCCTGTGCAAGGCCCCGCTCTGCCCCAGCCCCTCCAGGTGGTGTCTCAGTCCTCAGCCGGCTCGGGGAGGGAAGAGCACTGGTACTAAGTCCGAGTCTCTCTGGTGCATGCAGAGATTTGGATTATAACATCCTCTTACACCCCAGCCACAGCAAGATCCAGGTGATGAACCACTGCTTCTGTTTCGGGGCCACCTGCCCTGGCCAGGCACTGGGGATACCCCACTTACTCATCTCTTGGTTACTGGTGCTGCCTCCATGAGGGAGGTGACACGGAAGCTCAGAGGGACAGTGATGTGCCTGCGGTGATCCTGTTCCCCTTGGCACCCTGTCTTCACTTGGCAACAGCCAGGACCGCCGACCTCCCTCCTGCCTCCCTGGCTGTTCCTTCTGTCTCCTGTGTCTTCTCTGAGCTTCATCTCCCCAGCCTCCAAGGCAGGAGTGCCCCAGGCCTTGGTCCTCTTTACTCTTCTATCCCACACACTCCCTTAGCGATGACACCCAAATGTGGATCTCCAGCCCTGGCCGCTCCCCAGCACTCCAGACCCGGATATCTGCCCGGCCACTCAGTATTTCCACTAGGAGCGTAAACTGTATCACAATCCCCACGGGCCCAAATCTGAACCCCAGGCCTCTCCCCACCCCCATGTCGGCATTCGGCCCCTTCAGCCTTCCCAGTGCTCCAGCCAAAACCCCGGCAGTCATTCTTGGGCCTCCTTCCCCTTACACCCCACATGCAAAAAGAGAACAAATCCTGTTGGCTCCCCCTTCAAAACAGAACCAGAATCCAACCACTTCTCAACACGTCCAATGCTGCCAGCCTCCAGGCACGAGGCCTTTCCCAACCTTCAGCCTTCCTCCCCACCACTCCCATTTTACAAATGGGGAAACTGCAGCTGGCAGAGAGCCCTCCCCAGGGTCACGCAGAAAACCCACCAGGGCTAGCTAGAGCCTGGATCTGCACCACCTCCCCGAAGTCTGCATCCCAGCTGCCCAGGGAGTGTTTTCCCTTGAAGCCAGCTTAGCAGGCAGGCCTGACAACACGGCCAGGCTTTGAGCTGCGCCTGCGTGTGTGTCCCTGAGGAAAAAAGATGCTGCCAGCTGGGTTTATGTTTCAAGACGTCTGTCCTCGCCCTTGACCAAGAGCTCTTACAGGGAGATCAGGGCCAGGGCCTGGTGTGGGGGGAGCGCGGGGGGAGAAGGGACATCAATCGGAAGCCGCCTTGCCTGGAAACTGGAGAGCTCCCTCTGCCAGCCCCAGGGTCTGCCGAGTTCACTTGACGAGGCCGGGAACTGCAGGGGCGGGCTGGGGCTCACTCAGCATTTATTTCATACAGCTGCTTAAAAAGCTAGTTTTAAAATAGAGATCATTATATATATACATATATATTTATATATATAAAATATATAAAGAGGAATTGAGAAGTGCCACCCCAAAGAAAAAGCTATGTTTTATAAATATTTCTGTAGCTTCCACATCCCAAAGGAAGAAAAAGCAAAAAACAAAAGAAAACATTTACAACCCAAGCTAGTGATTCCATGTGGTGGGCCCAGCAGGCTCAGACCCCAGGGTGGGCCAGGGGGTCCCGCAGAACATTCTGAAGAAGGCGGGCAGACCCCTTCCCGGAGGCTGGTCTCTGTGGCCCTGAAAGGTCAAGTCTGTATCAGTCTCACCGATCCCAAGCCCCGCTCCTTACACCAGCCTGTGGGCACTCCAGAGCCTCAGGCTGCCAAGTTATTTTTAATCTTGTCGGTTTCCTTTGATGTCCTGCCCTCCTTCCAGGGTGGCCAGACCTTCTGTTCCTGGTGGCTTCCAAGTGAAGGCAAAGCACAAGCCGCCTCCCATGCCTGGCATCTGGAATTCACAAGCAGAGCTCCATGGAGTGTCTCCAGGCCCCTGGCCCCAGTTGCTGAGGGTCCTTGAGCAGAGTCCTCGCTCCTGCGTGGGGCGGAGGGCAGGGCCTCACTTGCAGACATAGCGCTCCACGGTACGCTCACACCTGCGGCAGGTGACGTAGCAGCACCAGTGGTACTTACAGTGGCACCGCTCGACCACGCGGTCTGTGTAGGGGTTGTAGCCACGCCCGCAGCACATAAGGTCGCAGCTGTCGCTTCCGTTGGATGTCTTGTTGCACTGCCTATTGTGGGGGCAGGAAGGAGGTCAGTGCATGCCTTGGTCACCACCCCACCAACACCCCATGACTCCCAGCCAGGCAGCCGGCAGCGTCTCCCATGGCCACCGACTCAGCCCTTCTTAGAAGCTGTCTTGATCTTTGGGGAATTTTAAATAATCCTCTTACCTAAAGGTACTTCTAACTTTTCCCTATATTTCTAATAAGGGGTTACCAAAATGATGGGGCTGTTTTCTTTTATTTTTTTGAGATGGGGTCTCACTCTGTTGCCCAGGCTGGAGTGCAGTGGTTGTGATCATGGCTCCCTGCAGCCTTGACCCCCGCCTTCCCCACCACCCAGGCCCCCGGCTCAAGTGCTCCTCCCACCCTGGCCTCCTGAGTAGCTGGGACTACAGGCACACACCACCATGTCCGGCTAATTTTTTATTTTTGTAGCGATGGAATCCCACTATATTGCTCAGGCTGGTCTTGAACTCCTAGGCTCAAGCAATCCTCCCACCTCAGCCTTCCAAAGTGCTAGGATTACAGGCATGAGCTGCTGTGCCCAGCCTTGTTTTGTTGTCTTGGAGATAGCTTTTTTCTATTTCTTCTACTTCTAAATACTGGAAGGACCCTCCAACCAATCTAATAAGCCTATCTTTATGTGTAACCTTTTACAGAGTCTCGCTCTGTTGCCCAGGCTGGAGTGCAGTGGTGCAATCTCAGCTCACTGCAACCTCTGCCTCCTGGGTTCAAGCGATTCTCTTGCCTCAGCCTCCCGAGTAGCTGGGATTACAGGCGTGTGCCACCACACACAGCCATATTTAATCTTTAATTAAATATTATGAGAGATGTCAAGATCATTTGATTTTTAGAATCCTAGGATAAATGCTGAAATACTCGAACCCCCACTGGGCATCAGACACGCTGCTCGTGGAGGAATAGGGGTCTGTTGGCCATGTGCCTCCTGTGGGTCAGGCTCTCCCTCCAGTGTCTTATCTTAGTGGAGGCCTGTAGGGCCCTTGGGTCAGTGGAATGATTACGTCCATTATGCAGATGAAAACAGGCTCAGCAAAGGGCAGAGGCTTAAACTTGGGGACTAAAACTAAGGCCCTGACTTGCTCTCCCTACCCTAAAGGGTGGGGCATGGGAGCCAGCAGGGGCTGCATTTCTTCCCAAATGTGGGATGCGAAGACATTGAAGGTCCCTATAAAATGCAAACATCCTTCCACTGCTCTCAGTTCTTCTGTCTAGTGACAAATCATCTGTTCAGACTGGTGGCTCCTCTAGCTGGGCTGAGGCTAGACAGGGAGTGTTTTCATGAGATGTAGTTGGGGACAGAGCAGCAGGGGGCTGGGGCACTGACAGGGACAAAGGGTCCCCACATGTGGGCCGAGGAATCCCAGAATGTCCAAGATGGGAAAGTCCTAGAGATGACCGAATGCAATCCTCATATTTACTGATGGGGAAACAGACACAGAAGGGAGAGGGGCCTTGCCCGTGGTGAGTACAAGGTCTGTGAGAGTTCAGCAGGGCCTCCTGGAAGAGGAAAGGCCATCTAGGCCATTCATGAAGGATAAGCAAGACTCCGCCGTGCAGAGGAGGGAAGGAGTGCTGGGGTAGAGGGAACAGCCTGGGCAAAGGCAGAAGACGAGGCCTGCCCTCAGAACAGTGAGAGCAGATGGAAGGGGAGGGCTGGAGGCCCGGAGGAGGCTGATCAGTGCTGGGGGAGAGGCCAGGCCTGAGCCGGAAGGGGCCATGGGCAGAAGGAGGGGAGCGCCTGGGGAGAGTCAGCCGGTGACCAGCAAGTGGGGGCTGCCAGCAGTTCCCAGAACACCTGCCCCAGAGCTGGACAGACCTGGGTTCAAGCCCCAGCTCTGCCACTTAGTGGCTGTGTGACTTAAGGCAGGTCACTGAACCTTTTTGGGCTTTGTTTAGCCACTTGGCATCCATGAGTTCCCCCTCAGCCTTCTCCTGAAGGCTCTGGCTGAGCACTCTACCCTGAAGGGTAGGAAGGAGGCAGAGTTCTTTTTTAAATTTCTGGATCCCTGACATGCATTGTCTGAAAACTTGGCCTCCAGTGTCAGATCCAGACAAGGCCCGGGTGCCTGGGACCAGGATTGGGGCCAGTGGGGCCATAGGCCCAGGGAAGGGCCGTTGGATGCCTGGCTCCCAGGGTACAGGGTGGCTCAGACTGTGGGTGGGGGTGGGTTTCAGAGGTGCAGGCCTCTGGAAGAAATATGACAAGAGGGCTAGGGTTTGGAATATTGTCTGCAGATTAGGCCTTGGTTTCCCCAGGTTAGATTTGAGGAGGCTGCAAGGCATCTTCCGCAGAGAGGGAGGCAGCCTCTAGAGATACCCCGCATGCACACGCCTTTCACAGTTCACCAGGCTCACTTACACCCAACCCCCAACCTCATCATCAATCTTAAATTTCCCCTCCTCTAGGAAGCCTTCCTTGATGTCCAGGCTGGATCAGGGACCCTCTGGGCTCCCTTCACACCAGGCTTTTCTGTCACGACCTGAGCCCTTGGGGACCTCCCACCAGCACCTGCCAGAGCCAGGCAGAGACACAGCTGACATGCAGTCTCATGTAATGGGCACAAGAAATGCTTGTGGTTATGAACTACTGAGAAATTGGGGGTGTTTGTTACTGCAGCAAAAGCCAACTAATACAGATGCCTGCAAGGGTCCCCCTAGGGAAGGACCGGGAGCCGCAAGGCAGGAAACCTGTGGGGGCTGTGAAGGAAGCCAGGAGGGTAAGTGGTGCTGAGGGCGGGGCCTCCTCATGAGGAGTGAGGGGCAGCTGGGAGAGAGGGGCCTGGCAGCCTGAGGGCACGGGGGAGGGGAGACTGCCCGGGAGGGGAGGGGAGAGGGGAGATGCTAGGTAAGTGCGCTTGGAGATCACTCGACAACCCTGTGAGCGGTGGGGTGCCCTCCCCACTGTGCGGAAGACGAGGCTGAGCTTCAGATCAGTGAGGGATGTGCTCAAGTCCCCCTGTTGGGAAGCTGTGCCCTCCCTGACACACACAGAGCCACATATGGATCCAGGAAGACCCTTTCTTCACTCTCGGGTCCTCCGTGGGCCTCCTGCAGCCCTCCATGTTCTAGAATCCTCCTCTAACTCCCCCATCCCCATCTACCTCAGCCCAGCCTCTGGCTCCTTCCTGTCTCCCTGGCCTGACCTGGTTCCATCTTCCCTCTGCCGACCCCCTCAATCTGGCCTCCAGATGGGAGCCTGGGCCTCCTCACAGAGCCTGCTGCCCTGGCCTGTGGGGATGCAGCCCCCCAGCCCACCCCCTCCCTCTCCTGGAGACAGGAACGTGGGCTGCGGAGGAAGTCAACGCTGGCTGTGCACCAACTATGTGCCAGACACGTTCCCAGACACCCACTCTCTGGTGCAATATTCTTTTAACCCCGAGAACACGAGTTTTGTGGAATGCTATTAGGGGCTCCTTAATAAAAGAGTTCCATGGCCAAACACCTCTGGGAAACACTGGCTTAAACAGATCCTTTACTGCAGATTCCTCAGAGCCTTTCATATGTTCTAGTGCCTTGTGAATCGCCAGAGAATTTCCCAAATGCATGTGACGACAGAGCTCTTTCTCTCGTAGGAGATCGGGACCAGCTTTCGCCAGCACCGTCTTTGGGAAATGCTGCTTGTGCAGTCCTCACCAGCCCCACCCATCACACGGTAGGTCTGCAGTCACCCCTGGCTCCCTCACTCTCCTGTCCTGAGCCTGCTGCAGCAGCTGTGACTGGGGCTGTGGTAGGGTTCCAGGCCTGGGGTCCCCAGGAGGAGATGGGGGCGTGCGGGGAGAGGGCTCACAGGGGCGAGGACACAGGGGCAGTGTTGCTGCACGGAATGCAGGCAGACATCACTCTCCCTCACACAGTGTAGGCTGTCCCCATCTCCCCTGGCACCTCAGTCCCTTTGCTGTGCAACGAGCAGGCTGTATGGCCTTTACCCGTCATCTGTTCATCTGACAAACATTTTCTGAGCACCTATCTTACGTTGGGCAGCCTCGTTCCTGTCCTGTCCCCCAGTAGCGTCATTGTCTCTTCCCATCTGTCTCCCCAGCTGGGGAAGGTGGAGCAGGGGCCCCCCATCAGCCTACATTCACTGGCCCCTGCCAGGTGCAGTGCAGAACAGGCGCTCCCAGCAGCTCTGCAGGGGACCCTAGAACCCTGGCATCTCCACTTAGCAGTCCTGGGGCCAACTCTCTCAACTGAGCAGGGTCTCCATTCCCCACATGCCACCTGAGTCCCTGCTGTGTGCGTGACCCTGAGCTGGGGAACAGTATGTGCAACACCAGTGACCCTTTCCCACCAAGGTGGCAGCAGGCCTCACCTGTCTTGTGTCCCGTGGGAGCCCACCTTCTCATTCTTCATGCAGAAGTCAGGTGAGCTCTGCAGATAGACGAGTTCCGAGTCCTTCACAGGCCGGATATCCAGGTCCTTGGGCACCAGGTGCTTGCGGGTGCCCATGGGTCGGTGCACTACCTTGGTGGCCGACAGGTATCGGGTCTTGAGGTCAGCAGCCACATCCTGCAGCTCCTGCAGCCCCTTCCAGCAGGTGCGGATGGAGCAGGAGCCAGACACCCCATGGCACTTACACTTCATTTCCAGAGAGGCGCGCAGAGCCTGCGGACAGGGGAAGGCGTCAGCTGGGTGGCCAGAGTCCCCTCCCTGGCCTGACCCGGGACCCCAGCCCCACCCACCCATGGCTGGGTGCTCTCAGGGAGTCACTGCCTGCTGGAGTCTGAAGTGATAGAGCTTTTTGCTTTAAAGCTTGGAGGTGGTGTGGGCCTTCCTGCAACCGTGGGGGGCACAGCTGAGGGGCAGGAAGAAAGGCATTTTCAGGGATAGGGATGCCATTGTTTAGCACCTGCTGTATACCAAGCGCTCTAACACATAATGGAGATTGATCACCACAACGGCCCAAGGGAGGTATCCTTACTTCCCCCATTTTAAAAAGAAGAAACAATAGCTCAGAGAGGCTAAGTCTCATGCCCAAGGGTGCAGATAGAAAATCATGGAGCTTGAATTTGAACCCAGATCTGAGGCTGATTCCAAAAGTGGTGGCTTTTAATTGTTTCATGCTTTTTCTCTCACTAAATGCTTGCTGGAAAAAAGGCAGAAAAGAAGAGAAGGAAGGAAGGGAGGAGGGTAGGAAGGGGAGAAGAGGCAGGGGTAAGTGCAGGGGGCACCTCCCCGCCGCCTGGCTGACTTTCCCCCCACTGCCAGTGCTCCTGCCAGGCCACCCTCAGCAAGCCACATCGCCACTCAGGGCCTCTGTCTTCTTTCGTGCAAGGCGAGCACATAATTCCTGCCTTGCAGAGAGCTGTAAGGATGAAATGAGATCACACACACAAAAGGGTTTTGTGAACCATAAAAGTTAAATCAATATTGGTTTTGAAAAATCCATTTAAGTAATAACTATGGTGGAGCCCCCTTGGGCTCAGAGGCTTGGGGAGACTCTTGCCCTGGCTTCAAAAAGGACTCGGGCCCACCAGCTTCCCTGGCCCTCAGTTTCCCTATTCATACCTGAGGGGCAGAAGTTAGATGCCTTCTACGGGCCTTCCAGTTCTGCCTTTTAAACCCTTCTTTCAACACAAGACTTGGATTCCTCTGCCCAGGCCTACCCTCCTGCCTCTCCTGTACAGAGACCTGCAAGAGTCATGGGAACCTGGGCCCATCCCCTGCATCAGAGACATGGGGAAACTGAGGCACAGAGTGGGCAGGACTTGCCCAAGACAAGTGAGTTAGTGGGGGAGCTGGCCAAGGTCCCAGGACTCCTTCCCCTCACCAGTGCCAGGAAGTGAGGACCCAGGGAGTGTGTTTGGGTACCCAATCTGGAATTGTCTGTGGAGGTCACAGGGATGAAGTCAGCAGGACTGCAGGGCACCGAGGCACTGGTGAGCCATCGAGGGCAGGTGAACTAGGTTCTGCTGCTCAGCATAAGCTGGGGAAAGGGGCTTGGAGCTTCCTGGTGTATTAAACACGTTTGTGATCTCATTTAATCCTCACGCAGCCCTGCACCTTGCAGGGACACTGGCCCCTTTTGCAGATGGCCTCAGGGACGGGCCTGATTTGCCCTGAGGCGGAGGACCCTCTTTGGGCTGCATGGTGGGGAGAGGAGGGCTGTGGCCCTGGCAGCATGTGGCGCCCAGCTGGCCTGGCCATGATGGTGGGCGTGGCCATGGTGGTGGGCGTGGCCATGGTGGTGGGCGTGCTGGCCGCTGGCGAAGGGCTCCCACTGGGTTTCATGAGCAGGGGTAGGGGACAGGTCAGCAGGGCCAGGAGGCAGGAGTCCTGAGTCCCTGGCCAGGCTCTGCTATAGACCCACAGTATGATTTGGCTTCAGTTTCCCTAACTGTCCAAGGATGGCCTGGACACCCTAGAATCCTCACACAAGGAAGACCCTTGAGAACAGGTGAGGCCACTGAAGCCCCTGGACTTGGGAGTCCCACAGTCCTGGGCTCTATTGTGCCGTGGGGCTGAGCCGCTGAAGTGCTTTCAGCCTCACTTAGTGCCTCTGTAAAATGGGGCTAAAGGGTGCAGGGAGGAGCTGATGAGATGCCATCTGCACATGCAGCTCTGGCCAAGTGGCCATCCCTGCCATTCACGGTCCTTTCCCTATCTGTAAAAAGGGGACAACAGGGCCTGCCCGAGTTGTTCTGTGACCACAGAACAGAAAGGTATGGAGCACCAAACACAGTGTCTGCAACACAGATTGGTAGAAAGTTCATTCACTGACAGGTCCACTCACCCCAGTCTTTTGGGCAGTGAGGTGAGGAATGAATGAAAACCTGATAATAATGAATGCCGGAGGAAACTGTTCTAGCAGCTTCGGTTGGTGTGGGTGGGAGTCCCCGTTAAATCCAAGCAGATGACCCCTTAGCATAGGCTTCTGTTGACCACAGCCCTCTCCACGCCCTGGAGGGAGGGACAGCTTGAGGAACATGACAGATGGGGACTCAGCACCAGGTCACCCCCACCATTTCATAGATGGGAACAGCTGAGGCTGGAGAGGCACTGACTTTCCCAAAGTCCCTAAGCGAGTTTAGTGCCAGAGCCAAGGCCAGAACTCAGAGCTCCTGACTCCTAGTTCAGTGCTCCCTCTGCTTGGACAACCCAAACCCCAGTGGACGCCTTGGAGGAGGAAAGCGACACAAGCCCCAAGCAGCTGGCGAGGGAAGGGCTGAGGATGAGGATGGTGCGAGGCACATCAGGTGTGGGCCAGTCAGGGCCCGTCCCCCCGCACCCCCCACCACTGGGGCAAGCTGGGTGGCCCTTTTCTGGCCAATGGCACAAGCACAACTATCTGGGGGTGGGTGGGGTGGGTGGTTACCTGTCTCCCCACTTCACTGTTGTGTAGACGCATCAGTTTATTGGCTTGGGATCCTGTTTTTTTCACCTTCATAGGAGCATCGGAAAACTTGGCCCCCATGAGGAGCCCGTAGCTGAGGTTGTCCGCACATCCTCCCCAGCGGTTCCCGGGCCCGGGTGGCTCACCTGGGACGGGGCCGCAGGAGCAGCCGGGCAGGTCGCCGGAGGTGCAGGCCCGGGCGATGGCGTGGCTGATGGCGGCGGCCGACAGCGCATACACGAAGGCCGACTCCCGGGTCCCTGAGGGTGGGAGGGGAAGGTCAGCCGACGCTGATCCAGGGCTAGGACCCTGCCCAGGTCAGAGGTCCTCCACCTTCGCCCACACCCTGCTGTAACCAAGGTGACGCCAGCAGGGGTCGGCACTAGGGCCATTGAGATGTCACCCCTGCTTCCCCAATTCCTTCTGAATATACCAGCTGACAGCCACACTCAGGACCCCACACCCACAGGCATGCCCTCACCCACGTCCTCCTACTCACACTCACAGCTCTAGGCTTCCACCCACTTGCCCTGCACTGGCATTAGGGGATGCTTTACAGTAGTGAGGCCCAGGCTCTGAGCTCCTGATGCGCCAGACAAATGCACAAAGGACCTGCTATGCGTGGACCTGTGTCCCCCCGAAGGATGTGTTCAAGTCCTGACCCCTGTACCTGTGAGCATAATCTTATGACGAAGTGGGGTCTTTGCAGATGTAATGGGGCTGAGACGAGGTCATACCGGATCAGGGTGGGCCCTAGGCCAGTGGCTGGTGTCCTTATAAGAAAGGGGAATTTCGGATACACAGACACACAAAGAGGGAGCTTGCCCTGTGATGACAGAGGCAGAGACCGCAGTGACACAGCTGCAAGCTAAAGAATGCCAAGGATGGCGGGCCGCCACCAGGAGCTAGGGACGGGCCAGGAAGGATCCTCCCTAGCACCTTCAGGGGGAGCACGGCCCTGCTGACACCTCGATTTCAGACTTCCGGCCTCCAGAACTTTGAGACAATACACATCTGTTGTTTGCAAGCAGCCAGTTGTGGCCCATTGGACAGCAGCCCTGGGAAACGAATACGGCACTCAGGAGCCTCAGCTGCGGGGCCCTGGCCATCGGTCCGAGCCATGGCTCTGTCTCTTAACTAGCAAGCCACTTTCCCTTCTCCAGCCTCAGTTTCCTTAACTGTAGAATACGGGTGATAACAGCTACCTCACAGGCTGCCTCTGGAGTTCAAATAATTCAGTAAGAAAAGAATGTTTGTCAAACATTAGCTGCTACTGTTTAGGACCCACAAGAAAAGTTATCATAGTGCAGGGGAGAGATTACACCTACTGGGGCGCTTCTGTCTGTCAAAAGCCTCCCTATTGTACATGGGTCCCCCAGACTCCCCCCACCAGAAGCCACCTCCTGCAGGAAGTCTTCGAGATGTTCTGTCCCCACACTGCTTTGCGCATGGTGCAACAGTTTCTGCAGTCTGGTTCAGTGTTACCTGTGGCACACCTGTCTGCCCTGCGGGTGGGCTCTATAGCATTATTGTTTCTAGACTCCCCTCCCAGGAGCCTCCCTGACATGTGGCCTCACGTACAGCAGGCCACAGCCTTGGGTCATTCCTTCATTCATGCATGGGGGCACACAGGTACATGTGCTGTCCAGGCTCCCCTGTGATGATATCGCCACTCATCTGTGTTTACTCGTTTGTGAATTCATGCCTGCACACCCATATTTATGATTAATTCATCCACCCATACCCCATCCATCCATGCCTGTATCCACCCGTCATTCATCCATGAATCCATCATCCACCCACCCATGAACCCATCCCTCCATCTAAACACACACAGATTGATGCCTGAATTCCTTCACCCGCACCCACATGCATTCAGCAGCCTCGCCAGCTCCTACCTCTCTCCAGGTCAAGCAAATAGTTGGGGGCGAGCTCAATGGAGGAGCAGTTCCAGCGCATGTCGGCAAAGGCCCGGCGACAGGCCTTCATGACCTCGCGGGCGGCGTGCACCACCGTGTGCATGAGCTCCAGGTTGCTGCGGCACAGCTGCACCTGTGCAGACACCAGACCCTCCAGCTGCTTGCAGTGTTGCGTCTGGTTCAGTGCCAGGGCCGATGGTGTCTTGGACAGCGCCCTGCACACCATGGAAAGGCCATGACCGATGGAAGGAGAGACAGGGTTGTCAGGGGCCACATGGCCTCCACCCGCCCTTCTGGCCCCAGCCTTTCCCTCAATGGACTTTGCCTCCTGGTTTCCTGGCTCCTTCCAAAAAAGGCTCCCAAACTGTCAGCTGGCAGAGCAGTGGATCCCCCTCACACCCCATGTGACCTTGGGCACATCACCGTCCCTCTCTGGGCCTCAGGCCCTATTCATAACATAGGATCACAACCCCATCCTACCTAAGCTTTAGGATAATTATACTAACAAAACAGCTGTACAGTTCACAAAGCTCACCTCCACCACCTGATTTAGTTCTCACACAGCTGTGAATTATTAGTCTTTATTCAACATTCATTCAACACTGAGCAGCTACGTGCCAGAAACCATGAGAAATGCTAGATTCTTATGATCACAATAATTATACATACTATTAACTGAAGCCTTTCTAGATGCGCTACATGTGGTAGGAGTTTTCCATCATTGTTTCATGTGATTACTAAACCCATTTATTATGTTGTAAAGTCCCATATCCATGCAAGGAATTCCTAATAAAGGATTAAAGAGCCACTCAGTTTTGTGATGACCTGGAACTTGAAAAATTTAGTATCTAATTCAGACTTGGCCATTAACTTGTTGTGTGATCTTAGATAATTCATTGCCCCTCTTTGGGCCTCAGTGTTTGTACTTATAAACCGTATTTCCCAGAATGGGCTCCAGTGAGACACTCTGACAAAAGGGATCCATGTGGGGAACACGATGTACTATGTCCCTGCTTGGAGAGTCAGGATGCACATTTACGTTTTAAAGGTCCTGAGAAGTCCTGCAGCAAAGCAACAGGCTTGGTGTTAAAATTCAACTCAGGGAGTCTATTGAGTACAGTGAGCACAGAGCCCTTTGCTTGAGGCTGCTGACTTCATCCACCTCGTCCGTGCTTTGGGAAACGTTAGCCTGGTGGGTCCCTATGAACCCTGGTGATGTTAGAGGACCCAAGAGCCTCCCAGATCCCAGCTCTGGGCACCTGGGTTCCAAGACTCTAGGACCAGGCCCCTCCTCGATCTGCCGTTCTCCTAGGCCTTCTCTGAGGGCAGCCTGCATCGGCAGCACTTAAGGACCCCACAACCTTAAAGGACTCCACATGGACTCACTCTCAGTGCCCCCACCCACAGCAGAGGCCGTCTGGAACCCAGAGTCAGCTGGCCTTCAGCAACCCAGCAGAGACCCAGGAGCGACAGGGAACCAAGAGGGGGCCATTCTGCAGCCAGAAGTGCTGAGTGCCCCGCCTGCTGTGGACCCAGCGGTCCTCACCCAGGGTCAGGGCTGAGACCTGGCAAGGTAGAGATCCCAGAACCCCTGGGCTGAGTTCTGAGGGAGGCAGCCCATTGCCAAGGGCACTGCACAGGCTTGGGTAGACTCCAGGCTATATCACTCCCCTTGCGACCTTGAGCAAGTCACTTAACCTCTCCTCTCCCATCAACCTCCCAGTATTAACTGAGGGCTTAAATCAGACAATGTGTGTCACACGTTCTGCCCAGGGCTGACACTCTGTGGTCAGTGGTCAGTGATGGAAGCTACTACAGTTACCACCTTGGTGGTCTTTTCCTACCTGTGGGCAGCCTCCCTGGACCTGCCTAGTCAAGGCCAAGGGCTGCTGCTTGACATTCAGGGCCCCTCAAAGCCTGGCCTCCCAGCTCTCGCCAGCCTCCCATCCTCATCCTGACATCCAGCTACACCAGGTTCTTGACTTCTCTGAAAGGAACTGTCTTGCCACCATGCCTTTGCCCAAGCTTTTCCTGATGCCAGGAATGCCTTTCCCCCTGCTTCTGGACATGAATGAACTTGATCTGCTTGTGGAAGAAGTATTTACTAAGCACCAACTCTTCCCAGACTCATTTGGTAATGAATATGACATAGATCCTTTCCTCAAGGATGCCCTAGTCTAATGGCTGGATAAAGCTACCAATCATTATAAATCAATGACCCAGCTGTTCTCACTCCTGGCCTAGCCCCAGGAAGAGCACAAGCCTTGGACACCAGCTGTGTGACCTAGGTAAGTTATCCAACCTCTCTGGGCTTCATGTTCCTCATCTGTTACAAAGAAATGATAAGGCCAGGCGCGGTGGCTTACACCTGTAATATCCCAGCACTTTGGGAGGCCAAGGCGGGCAGATCATCTGAGGTCAGGAGTTTGACACCAGCCTGGTTAACGTGGTGAAACCCTGTATCTACTCAAAAAATACAAAAATTAGCCAGGCATGGTGGCGCATGCCTGTAATCCCAGCTGCTCAGGAGGCTGAGGCAGAATTGCTTGAACCCAGGAGGCAGAGGTTTCAGTGAGCCGAGATTGCACCACTGCACTCCAGCCTGGGCGATAGAACGAGACTCTGTCTCAAAAAAATAAAATAAAATAAATTAAAATAAAATAAAATAGAAATAATTACTACTTCAAAAGGCTATGATGAGGCTGGGGGTTGTTGCTCATGTCTATGATCTCAGCTACTCTGAGGCCAAAGTAGGAGGATCCTTTGAGGCCAGGAGTTTAAGACCACCCTGGGCAACATAGTGAGAGCCGTCTCTACCAAAAAGTAAAAAAATTAGCCGGGTGTTGTGGTGCATGCCTATAGTCTGAACTACTTGAGAGGATCACTTGAGCCCGGGGGTTTGAGGTTACAGTGAACTATGATTACACTGCTGCACTCCAGTCTGGGTGACACAGTGAAACCTTGTCTACTTAAAAAAAAAAAAGGCTATGGTGAGACTTAAATAACAGAACGTAGGCAAAGTGTTTAAAACATTCATAGATGTGTAATCCCAGCAATTTGGGAGGCTGAGGCGGGCAAATCATGAGGTCAGAAGATCAAGACCATTCTGGCCAATATGGTGAAACCCCGTCTCTACTAAAATACAAAAAATTAGCTGGGCGTGGTGGTGCGCGCCTGTAGTCCCAGTTACTTGAGAGGCTGAGGCAGGACCTGGGAGGCAGAGATTGCAGTGAGCCAAGATTGTGACACTGCACTCCAGCCTGGCGATAGAGTGAGGCTCCATCTCAAAAAACAAAACAAACAAACAAAAAATTCATAGATGAAGCTAAGTCCCCCGCTTGTTGCCCAGCAAGTATTGGACCAGACGGAGTGAGAAGGCCTGGGTTCTCACTCAAGCTCTGTCCTCTATGTGCTGTGCAAACTTGGGCAAACTATTGCCCCTCTCTGGGCATCAACTACAACGTGAGGACCTCTCAGGGTCCTGCCAAGGCTGAATGATATGTGCTACGGTAAGTACTCAATAGGTTCTTTCATTTCCTCCTGCCTCTCACGCTCTGCCATGTCCCACCCACCCTATAACCCCCAAAGATAGAAACCTTCCCAGAGACCCAGAAAGCAGGGCCTGGTGTCTGTGGTTAGGGCGGCGTGACTCGCCCTGTGTAAGATCAACTGTGGTGTCCAGGGCAGTCTCCCCTCACTGCCACCCCCTAAACTATGAGTCGGGAAATGTCTGGTGTGTCTAGATGCCAGCATCCGGCACAGGGTGGGCCACACAGCATCCCTCAGACGCGGTTTCTTGACCTAAATGGAACTGTTCTGGCCTGCCCTGGCCTCACCTTCTTGGGGAACCTGTTGCTGAACCCTGCCTTACTTCCTGGGTGGGCTCTGACCACACAGAGGCAAACGTCATCACCTCAGTGTGTTTCCCGGTTGTCAACAGCTCTTCCACCTCCACCCAGCAAACCCTGTCCCTGCGTGCAGTGCCGTCATGGGGTAAACAGCTCCATATGGGCATGGCCCTTCCCGGTTGACAGAGCCTCCCACTTCACACCTCAGAGGGCAGCCCGGAGGGGATGATCAGCCCTGCTTTAGGGGCTGTGCTTGTCCAGCACCCGCCAGCAGGCCCCGTCATCCTTCTTGGTGAGGCTGTCAGTCCCTGCAGGCACTGGGGTCACTTCTCTCTGGGTCCCCACTCTGCTTTGCTCTGAGCGGTCCCCACCCAGCCCGTCCTGAGCCTGCTCTGCCGCTTGCCCTCGCCCAACTTTCTTCCCGCTCCTTCTGAGCCAGCTTCCTCCATTTTCAAATGAGAAGGACAACGTGGGCGACAGCACATCAGCGCATGGCCTAGCAGCAGGCTCATGGCACATGGTGGGCGTTCAGGCAGTGAAGGCAGCCTCCTGTGTCTTTCCCTGGGCTCCGGCTCAAGCCACGGGGTGGGACGATGGGGGCTGAGCCTCTTCCTGGGGAGCTCAGTGCAGACAGCTTGTGAGTGCTGGGTGCTGCAGCTCTAAAGGAAGGGAGCCTGGTGCTCCTGGTGCCTGGGTCTCCTAGGCTGGGACCCTGGGGTGAGCCCTGGAGCTACCCTGGGTCTCAGTCTTTCCATCCTCCCCAGAAGGCTCAGGGAGAAGGTGCTGTCAGAGCACCTTCCAGACGAGGCTCAGACTCCCCAGGCGGCCCAAGGGTAAATGAGAAACAGATCCAGAGGCCCTGGTGGGCCCAGAGCAGTGTGAAGGCCCAGGGGCCCGCCTTGGAGGCTGACGCTGGGACAGGAGCAGGCTGCCATGCGTACTAGGGAGGCCACCCGCCCACAGGGGCTGCAGGCAGAGATCACAGGCGGGAGGCAGCAGATTCCACTCCCGAGGAGGGCCATGCGGTCATCTGGTAATTAGTGGTAATGACCGTTTCCAAATAAATCCCCCTTGGGGAGGTAATCAAGGATTAGGATGGGAGGTGGGGGAGTTCTCCTTGTGGACATCTTGCTCGCTTCACTCCAACAGACCCCTAATTGGAAACATTTCGGTTTATCTGGGGGTGGGGGCCTGGGGGAGAGGGTGGAAGAAAGGACAGGAGGGAATGCAGAGTTCACAGGCGAGGCCCGAGCTCAGGGCCCTACCGGGGTGGCAAGGCCTCCTCTCATTCAGGAGTTGGGGGCCTTGCTGGGACTGGCTGGGGCAGAGACCTGGGTTCAAGCTCTGGCTCAGCAGCTCTCTCCCTGTGAGACCTTGGGCAAGTCACTGCCCCTTGCTCCACCTCAATTTCCCCATCCATACTGCTCAATGCTTAAGAACAATGCAGGCTTTGACATTGGTAACACAAGCTGCCAAATGACTTCACTGAGGTATTTTCCTGGTGGCGCCAGCAACCCTACCCTCAGGCCGCTCTAGGGGACCCGCCTGTGTAAGGCACCTTCAAAGAAGGGCTTCCTTCCTGGACCTGCACTTCACAGCATCCCTCTCCCTCTAGGCACAGGGGTCAGGTCACATGATGAATTCTAGGCCAGAGACCTGGCAGCCAGGTTCAGGCTCCTTTAAGTGACCTGGGCCCCAAGTTCCCTCTCTGCAGTTCTGCAGCTCGGCCGCCCACGGTGCTGAGTGGTATTGCCAGACCATTTCCAGGTGAGGCTTCGGCAGAGCTGGGCTCAGAGGGCCTCAGAAGGTGCCCCCATCAGCGCCACCCAGAATGTAGCCTGGCAGCTGCCCACCCAGGGAGAGAGATGGGGTGAGGTCAACAGATGGCGATGAGAGAGACCCTGATGCCCACATCTGTGCTTCTGGGATGAGGAGGATGCTGATGAGGGCTGCGGGCTGGCTTAGGGACTCAGTCTTGCCCTGGAATCCCCATGCTTCTGCATCTGTGGACCCTGCTGACCCTGAGGTGGGAGAACAATTGAGTCGAGGAGATCCTGTTCTCCCAACCAGACCTTTGTCCCTCCTTTCCCCGTGTCTCTTTGGGCTTTCCTGGGCCCCACCTCATGCTGGTGCCCATGTGGCAGGGAGGATGGAGCAGGACCCCAGGCTCTAGGCCACCCAGGCAAGCCCAGCCTCTCCCCAGGCTTCCGTCTACTCCCCTGGGGCAACCTTGGGGAAGCTCTCCCTCCACGACTCCTCAATTAACTCTTCAATTAGGCACCAGGTCTAGGAACCGGGGAGAGGTCTAGGAACCTCGGAAGTGCCCCTTCTTCACCAGCCATCCCAGCTTGGGGCTGCAGCTGCCCGTTCAGGAAGAAGAAGCCCCTGGGGCCCCACAGCCTGAGAGTCCTCCTGTTCTCTCCCTCCTGGGCTTTGTCCCAGGACTCCAGAGTGAAGAGGGACTAGTCCAGCCCTTGTCCTCACTGTATAGATAGAGAAATGGAGGCTGATGAAGGGCCTTGAGCCTGCAGATCCAGTCCTGCCTGGAAATGACACTGGGTCCCCTTCACACCTGACTGCCCAGACCTCAGAGATGGAAGCCTGTCCCCTTGGCCTCACACATGCTGACCCACCTGTGCAGCCCATCTTGCAAAGGTAAAGCCCTAACAGGCCTTGGTCTGATGCTTCTCAACCAAGAAACCAAACGGCAGCTGCCACAGCATCATGAACTCCCACTGTGCAAGTGGGGAAACTGAGGCCCGGAAAGGGCAGGGCTTGCCCAGATCTGTACGCAGCCAATCAGAGGCAGAGACAAGCTAGACCCCAGGCCTCCTGCATCCTGAGGTAGGGCTCCTTCTACCTCTATCTTAGAGCTGAGGAAACTGAGGCTCAGAGAAGCTAAAGCGATTGACCTGCAGAACTCAGGCTGGGCCTTGCAGTCCCAGTCTGGCGCTCCTTCCACCCTACTCTGCAGCGCCATGGCCCTCTAGAGCCTCCTGGCCCCACCTCCGTGGGAGTGGCAGGTGTGGGACTGCCCAGGGAAGGGGGCGGCCTTTATGGATGTTCCCAACCGGCCTGGGCCTTTCCTCTCACCCCACCGCTTCCGTGGTTCACAGGAGAGTGGGACTCCCCTCAAACCCTCCCCCTACCCAGGAAAGCCAAGAAGGGGGTGGACAGCCCAGACCTGGGACCCCGAATACTTGAGGGGCTGGGAGTCTTCTGGTGCCTGGCCTGGGTGGAGGTAAGGTAGGGAAGGATCCCCAGGTTATTTCTGGGCAGGTGCCTCTATGGGCAGCCAGGTTCTGATCCCCTCTCCCCAGCCCCCATCCCACCAGCTCAGCCTGCGTCCCAGGCACCCACCAGGTGAGCATTCCAGGCCACTGGGCCATGTTGGCTTTCAGTTCCTGTGCCAAGTGCCCCTTTCATCTCCAGCTCACTCTCCAAAGCCCAGGCCAGCGGAGGCTCCTGGGTGAGTCCCCGGCTTTCCAGCCTCACTGAACACTTCCCTGCTCCCAGCTGTGCTGGGGCTCCCTGTGCCCAACAGTCCACAGAGCTAGGCAGCTTAACTCAAATCCTGCCTCTACTACCTCTGAGCTGTGACACCCTGCTAGGTAGAGTCCCCCATCTCTGTGTGCCCCAGTCTCTGTTTCCTCTTCTGTGCAACGGGGGTAATAGCAGCACCCACCTCACAGGGTGGTTGGGATATTTAAATGGAACAATATACATAAGGCACTTAGAACGGCACCTAGCACAAAGTGAGGCCATGTGTGTGTAGACATATATGTACATATACATAGATATATGCACGTGGCCTACACACGTGTATCTATATATACACATGCATACACAGATCGTTGTTATTCTTAAACTCCACCCCTTTTCCCACCTCCCCCTCTATCTTAAACTCTAGCAAGACTTTAATCCCCTATTGCTAGACTATCAGTTTCTCATAGGAGTGCAGTATGATCTAACTTACATGACCCAAGCTCTCGGAGCAGCGTCTGGGGCACTTAGGAGTAGGCTCTTGTGGTGCCTGGTTTCTCCAGGTCTCCCCGCATGCGCTGTTCGGCCTCCAGGCTTCTGCTCGTGCTGTGCCTCCCGCCTAGGACGCCTGCTTTGCACTCCGTCTCTGACCATCCAAATCCTCCCTGTCCTTCCAATCCTGGCCTATGCATCTCCCTTAGATAGAACTGATCACTCCTCCTCTGGGCTGCCATGCTCCCTCTGCTAGGACACAGACCATAGTCCACTTTGTATTTCTATATGTCCATCTCCCCCAAGAGCCTGGGGGCTTATTTAAGGCACACAATGAGTTGTACCCATTTCTGTGGCAGCCTGACTTTGCAGTGGGGACAGAGGACATGGACGTCAGGTTTAGCCAGCCGTCCATCCCACCACAGGCCAGCGTGGGGGCTTGCGTGCATCATGCCCTTTGCAGGGTCTCGGTGTTCCCACTGTGGAGCAGGGATGATGGCAGTGACCCCACAGGACTCTTATGGGCGGCAAATGACACCCAAGCCCACTGCAAGGCCTCTGACGCTCCTTCAGCCAATCCTCTCCTTCCCTGGACCTTAGTATCCTTATCTGTAAAATGGTGGCGGTGGATGAGAGAGCTTGGACTCGCTGATCGGAGGTCCCTGCCAGCTGGAACAGTGCTGGGTACCCCATTGCAAAAGGAAGGTGGCTGGTTTCTCACAGAACTCCTCAGGGACAGCTGGGAAAAGCTAGTGCCCAGGGCTGGGAGATTGCTGAGACCAGGCTTCTTGTAAACAAGAAAGGCAGGAAGACGGGGTTCCCTCCTCGAATCGTCAATTAATCAATAACTTGGCCTGAGAAGGGGCAGGGCCAGTGACCTCCAGACTGTTTGCTGGCGGCGCAGCCACTATCACCCTGTCTTCCAACTAATTCACAAACCCTTTGCAGCGCCCTCCCCAGCCCCCACAACCTGCCCCCTGCTGTCTTATCTGCAGGCTCCCTGCCCTGGCCCCAGATTCCAGACCCTTGTCCTGTCCTGGACTTTCCCTCTCAGGGAGCCCCTCTGCCCACAGCGTCCTCTCCATTGCCCGAACCAGCCAACTCCCAGCAGCGCTTCAGTCACCAGAGGCACAGCCTCGGAAAAGCTTCCCGGTGTCTCACATCTGTGTCCCCACCAGGTGGGCTTCCTTCCTCTAGGCCTCCAGATTCCCGCTCTGGTTTCTCCTCGGGCACTTGGACACTTGTGGAGTTATTTACAGCCTGGGCTTATCTCTCTCAACTTAGAGCGCAGCTCCTCCGGGAAGGGGCTGGTGTTTACTCCTCTCTTCACCACCCCCAGCCCCCTGAGCAGGCACTCCCTTCAGCTCGGCACCAAGCCTCTCTCTCCCTCCTACCCCTGCGTGAATAATTTCTATCTAAAGGAATGCCCTGCACATGTGCACAGTGGCATCTGACAGCTTCTGAGGTCCTTTCAGGAGCCTCTTCTCATCTGATTTGAGGGAGGTGGGGAGTCTCACCCTCCCGTGACAGAGGAGGACAAGGAGGCCCCAAGAAGTAGAGTGACACTTTCCCAAGGTCGCCCAGGTGGAGGGGTCAGGAGTGTCTCAGCGGAACTCCCGCTAGGGTCAAGGAGACTGACGGACAAGGACCGCTCCTGGGCTGGCCGCTCTGGATTGCGCCCCCTGAACAGAATGTCTTTTTCCATCTGCCCCTGCGGAGGTGGCCAGAAACTCCGTGGCCCTTGCGCCACCGTCAGCTGCACAGGACCAGGCGCTTCCATTGTGGTCCACGCCCGTCTCACTCCCTTTTCGCAAGCCTGCGGGAGGCAGGGACATTTTACAGAGGAGGAAACAGAGGCTGAGGGATGACTTGCCCACGACCGCCAAGCCAGCTTAGGCTCCCGGGTCTTGGTGCGCTCGCCCCATCCAGGGGACCCCAAAACGCCCTCCGCCGCCCCAGTCCCTGGCCTGTGCGCGTGGACGCGGGGTCCCTACTCACAGCCACTTGATGCCATAGCACACGCCGGTCTGGAGCGCCAGGGCGAAGAGCAGCGCCTCGCAGACCTGCGGCCGCGCCCTCATCGTCGCGCGGCGGGCGCGCCCGGGGTCACACCCAGGAGGAGCCGCGCCGAAGTCCTCCGCCTGCACGGCCGCCGCTGGTCCTGCACGCCGCCTGCAGCCGGGGAGAGCGGAGGCGGCGGGTTAAGGCGGCGCGCGGGCGGGGGAGGCGTTTTATTCAAATTACAAAGGAGGGGTCGGGGCCCGGGGAGGCCGAGCGCGGCGGGCGTCCCCTCCCGCTCCGCCCGGCCGGGGGACGCGTCCCGCGCCTGGCTCGAATTAGGCGCGGCCGAAGGCGTGTCTCCCAGCGTGGCCCCGGGCCCCAACGCGCCTTCGAGCCCCTCTGGCCGGGGCAGCCGGAAGGAGGGACAGGAGGCGGCAGAACCGGAGACCCAGGAGAGACCGGGCAGACACAGCGAGAGGGAGAAGGACGCTCAGAGGACAAGGCTGAGAGCCACGGAGACAGAGGGGGAAACCCGGACAGACGCAACCTGGGACGGAAAGGAGAGGAATGAGGAATCAGGAGTCCAGGCGAGGCAGCAGAGTCGAGGACCCGGAGCTGGGGCTTATCCCTGCAATATTGAGCATTAGTTAATAGGGCCTCGGCAATTCTCCTTCCCAAACGTGTTTCAGTTTACCTCCTCAGTAAGCTGGGGCAATTCGGGCACAATTCCGCTTTTATAAAGAACGTTCCCTGGCCGGGCAGGGTGGCTCACGCCTGTAATCCCAGCACTTTGGGAGGTCGAGGCGGGCGGGTCACCTGAGGTCAGGAGCTCGAGACCAGCCTGCCCAACATGGCAAAACCCCGTCTCTACTACGAATACAAAA